>NC_000017.11:23506241-23817464 GCF_000001405.40 Homo sapiens | reverse complement strand
GTTTCCAACGAATTCCTCAGAGAGGTCCAAATATGCACTTGCAGATTCTGCAGAAAGTGTGTTTCTAAACTGCTACATCGCAAGGAATGTTCAGCTCTGTGAGTTCCACTCAATCATCCCAAAGAATTTTCTGAGAAAGCTTCTGTCTAGATGTCGTGTGAAGATATACCCGTTTCGAACGAAGGACACAGAGTGGTCCAAATATCCACTTGTAGATCCTGCAAAAAGAGTGTTTCAAACGTGAACTTTGAAAGGAAAGTTCAACTCTGGGATTTGAATGCAAACATCACAAAGAAGATTCTGAGACTGCTTCTGTATAGTTTTTATGTGAAGATGATTCCGTTTCCAACGAAATCTTCAAAGAGGTCCACATGTCCCCTTGCGGATGCCACAGAAAGAGAGTTTCAAAACTGCGCTCTCAAAAGGAGTGTTCAACTCCGTGAGTTGAATGCAGTCATCACAGAGAAGCTTCTGAGAATGCTTCTATCTAGTATTTAGGTGAAGATATTTCCTTTTCCACCACAAACCACAAAGCCCTCCAAACGTCCACTTGCAGATTCTAGAAAAAGAGTGTTTCATAGCTGCTCTTTCCAAAGGAAAGTTCAACTCTGGGAGTTGAATACAAACATCACCAAAAAGTTCCTGAGAATGCATCTGTCTAGTTTTTCTATGAAGCTATTCCCTTTACTAACATAGGCCTCAAAGCGCTCCAAATCTCCACTTGCACATTCCACAACAAGAGTGTTTCCAAACTGCTCTATCAATAGGAATGTTCAACTCTGTGAGGTGAATGCAATCATCACAAAGCAGTTTCTGAGAATGCTTCCGTTTAGTTAGGTGCAGTTATCCCGTTTCCAACGAAATCCTCAGAGAGGTCCAAATATCCACTTGTAGATTCTACAA
Source organism: Homo sapiens (assembly GCF_000001405.40). Taxonomy (NCBI): domain Eukaryota; kingdom Metazoa; phylum Chordata; class Mammalia; order Primates; family Hominidae; genus Homo; species Homo sapiens. The sequence goes on along the minus strand of NC_000017.11, from coordinate 23,816,561 downwards.
AAAGTGTGTCTCAAACCTGCTCCATCCAAAGGAATGGTCAGCTCTGTGATTTAAACTCAATCATCACAAAGTATTTTCTGAGAATGCTTCTGTCTAGATTTTATGCGAAGATATACCCGTTTCGAACGAAGGCCACAGAGTGGTCCAAATAGCCACTTGCAGATCCTACAGAAAGAGTGTTTCAAACCTGAACTATCAAAGGAAGGTTCAACTCTGGGATTTGAATGCAAACATCACCAAGAAGTTTCTGAGAATGCTTCTGTTTAGTTTTTATGTGAAGATATTCCCGTTTCCAAAGACATCTTCGGAGAGGTCCACATATCCACTTGCAGATTCCACAAAAAGAGAGTTTCAACACTGCTCTATCCATAGGAGGGTTCAACTCTGTGAGTTGAATGCAATCATCACAGAGAAGTTTCTGAGAAGGCTTCTCTCCAGTTTTTATGTGACCATAATTCGTTTTCCACCACAGGCCTGAAAGCGCTCCAAATGTCCACTTGCAGACACTACGAAAAGCATGTTTCAGAACTACTCTATGAAAAGCAACGTGAAACTCTGGGAGTTGAACACAAACATCACAGAGAAGTTTCTGAGAATGCTTCTGTTTAGCTTTTCTGTGAAGATTCTCCCGTTTCCAACGAAATCTTCAAAGAGGTCGAAATATCCACTTGCAGATTCCACAGAAAGAGTGATTGGAAACTGCTGTTTGAAAAGGAACCTTCAACTCTGTGAGTTGAATGCAATCATCACAAAGAAGTTTCTGACAATGCTTCTATCTAGCTTTTACGGGAAGATAATTCCTTTTCCACCACAGGCCTCAAAGCTCCCCAAATGTCCACTTGCACATTCTGGAAAAAGAGTGTTTCAAAGCTTCTCTCTCGAAAGGAAAGTTCAACTCTGTGAGTTGAATGCAAGCATCACAAAGAAGTTTCTGAGAATGCTACTGTCTAGCTTTTATATGAAGCTATTTCCTTTACTACCATAGGCCTCAAAGCGGTCCATATCTCCACTTGCAGATTCTACACAAAGAGAGTTTCCAAACTGTTCTGTCAAAGGGAATGTTCAACTCTGTGACTTGAATGCAATCATCACAAAGTAGTTTCTGAGAATGCTTCTCTTTAGTTCTGTGCGGTTTATCGCGTTTCCAACGAAATCCTCAGAGAGGCCCAAATATCCACTTGCACATTCTACAAATAGTGTGTTTCGAAACTGCTCCATCCAAAGGAATGTTCAGCTCTGTGAGTTAAACTCAGTCGTCACCAAGAGTTTTCTGTGAATGCTTCTGTTTTAGTTCTGTGCGGTTTATCCCGTTTCCAACGAAATCCTCAGAGAGGTCCAAATATCTACTTGCAGTTTCTACAGAAAGACCGTTTCCAACCTGAACTATCAAAGAAAGGTTCAACACTGTGAGTTGAATGCAATCATCACGAAGAAGATTCTGAGAATGCTTCTGTTTAGTTCTGTGCGGTTTATCCCGTTTCCAACGAAATCCTCAGAGAGGACCAAATATCCACTTGCAGTTTCTACAAGAAGAGTGTTTCAAAGCTGAACTATCAAAGAAAGGTTCAGCACTGTGAGTTGAATGCAAACATCACGAAGAGGGTTCTGAGAATGCTTCTGTCTTCTTTCTATAGGAAGTTATTTCCTTTACTACGGTAGGCCTCAAAGAAGTGCAATTATCCCCTTGCAGTTTCTACAAAAAGAGTGTTTCAAACCTGAACTATCAAAGAAAGGTTCCACACTGTGAGTTGAATGCAGACATCACGAAGAAGGTTCTGAGAATGCTTCTGTTTAGTCAGCTGAAATTATCCCGTTTCCAACGAATTCCTCAGAGAGGTCCAAATATGCACTTGCAGATTCTGCAGAAAGTGTGTTTCTAAACTGCTACATCGCAAGGAATGTTCAGCTCTGTGAGTTCCACTCAATCATCCCAAAGAATTTTCTGAGAAAGCTTCTGTCTAGATGTCGTGTGAAGATATACCCGTTTCGAACGAAGGACACAGAGTGGTCCAAATATCCACTTGTAGATCCTGCAAAAAGAGTGTTTCAAACGTGAACTTTGAAAGGAAAGTTCAACTCTGGGATTTGAATGCAAACATCACAAAGAAGATTCTGAGACTGCTTCTGTATAGTTTTTATGTGAAGATGATTCCATTTCCAACGAAATCTTCAAAGAGGTCCACATGTCCCCTTGCGGATGCCACAGAAAGAGAGTTTCAAAACTGCGCTCTCAAAAGGAGTGTTCAACTCCGTGAGTTGAATGCAGTCATCACAGAGAAGCTTCTGAGAATGCTTCTATCTAGTATTTAGGTGAAGATATTTCCTTTTCCACCACAAACCACAAAGCCCTCCAAACGTCCACTTGCAGATTCTAGAAAAAGAGTGTTTCATAGCTGCTCTTTCCAAAGGAAAGTTCAACTCTGGGAGTTGAATACAAACATCACCAAAAAGTTCCCTGAGAATGCATTCTGTCTAGTTTTTCTATGAAGCTATTCCCTTTGCTACCACAGGCCTCAAAGCGCTCCAAATCTCCACTTGCACATTCCACAACAAGAGTGTTTCCAAACTGCTCTATCAATAGGAATGTTCAACTCTGTGAGGTGAATGCAATCATCACAAAGCAGTTTCTGAGAATGCTTCCGTTTAGTTAGGTGCAGTTATCCCGTTTCCAACGAAATCCTCAGAGAGGTCCAAATATCCACTTGTAGATTCTACAAAAAGTGTGTCTCAAACCTGCTCCATCCAAAGGAATGGTCAGCTCTGTGATTTAAACTCAATCATCACAAAGTATTTTCTGAGAATGCTTCTGTCTAGATTTTATGCGAAGATATACCCGTTTCGAACGAAGGCCACAGAGTGGTCCAAATAGCCACTTGCAGATCCTACAGAAAGAGTGTTTCAAACCTGAACTATCAAAGGAAGGTTCAACTCTGGGATTTGAATGCAAACATCACCAAGAAGTTTCTGAGAATGCTTCTGTTTAGTTTTTATGTGAAGATATTCCCGTTTCCAAAGACATCTTCGGAGAGGTCCACATATCCACTTGCAGATTCCACAAAAAGAGAGTTTCAACACTGCTCTATCCATAGGAGGGTTCAACTCTGTGAGTTGAATGCAATCATCACAGAGAAGTTTCTGAGAAGGCTTCTCTCCAGTTTTTATGTGACCATAATTCGTTTTCCACCACAGGCCTGAAAGCGCTCCAAATGTCCACTTGCAGACACTACGAAAAGCATGCTTCAGAACTACTCTATGAAAAGCAACGTGAAACTCTGGGAGTTGAACACAAACATCACAGAGAAGTTTCTGAGAATGCTTCTGTTTTAGTTCTGTGCGTTTTATCCCGTTTCCAACGAAATCCTCAGAGAGGCCCAAATATCCACTTGCAGATTCCACAGAAAGAGTGATTGGAAACTGCTGTTTGAAAAGGAACCTTCAACTCTGTGAGTTGAATGCAATCATCACAAAGAAGTTTCTGACAATGCTTCTGTTTTAGTTCTGTGCGGTTTATCCCGTTTCCAACGAAATCCTCAGAGAGGACCAAACATCCACTTGCAGTTTCTACAAAAAGAGTGTTTCAAAGCTGCACTATCAAAGAAAGGTTCAGCACTGTGAGTTGAATGCAAACATCACGAAGAGGGCTCTGAGAATTCTTCTGTTTAGTTCTGTGCGGTTTATCCCGTTTCCAACGAAATCCTCAGAGAGGACCAAATATCCACTTGCAGTTTCTACAAGAAGAGTGTTTCAAAGCTGAACTATCAAAGAAAGGTTCAGCACTGTGAGTTGAATGCAAACATCACGAAGAGGGTTCTGAGAATGCTTCTGTCTTCTTTCTATAGGAAGTTATTTCCTTTACTACGGTAGGCCTCAAAGAAGTGCAATTATCCCCTTGCAGTTTCTACAAAAAGAGTGTTTCAAACCTGAACTATCAAAGAAAGGTTCCACACTGTGAGTTGAATGCAGACATCACGAAGAAGGTTCTGAGAATGCTTCTGTTTAGTCAGCTGAAATTATCCCGTTTCCAACGAATTCCTCAGAGAGGTCCAAATATGCACTTGCAGATTCTGCAGAAAGTGTGTTTCTAAACTGCTACATCGCAAGGAATGTTCAGCTCTGTGAGTTCCACTCAATCATCCCAAAGAATTTTCTGAGAAAGCTTCTGTCTAGATGTCGTGTGAAGATATACCCGTTTCGAACGAAGGACACAGAGTGGTCCAAATATCCACTTGTAGATCCTGCAAAAAGAGTGTTTCAAACGTGAACTTTGAAAGGAAAGTTCAACTCTGGGATTTGAATGCAAACATCACAAAGAAGATTCTGAGACTGCTTCTGTGTAGTTTTTATGTGAAGATGATTCCGTTTCCAACGAAATCTTCAAAGTAGGTCTACATGTCCCCTTGCAGATGCCACAGAAAGAGAGTTTCAAAACTGCGCTCTCAAAAGGAGTGTTCAACTCCGTGAGTTGAATGCAGTCATCACAGAGAAGCTTCTGAGGATGCTTCTATCTAGTATTTAGGTGAAGATATTTCCTTTTCCACCACAAACCACAAAGCCCTCCAAACGTCCACTTGCAGATTCTAGAAAAAGAGTGTTTCATAGCTGCTCTTTCCAAAGGAAAGTTCAACTCTGGGAGTTGAACACAAACATCACCAAAAAATTCCTGAGAATGCATCTGTCTAGTTTTTCTATGAAGCTATTCCCTTTACTACCATAGGCCCCAAAGCGCTCCAAATCTCCACTTGCACATTCCACAAGAAGAGTGTTTCCAAACTGCTCTATCAATACGAATGTTCAACTCTGTGAGGTGAATGCAATCATCACAAAGCAGTTTCTGAGAATGCTTCCGTTTAGTTAGGTGCAGTTATCCCGTTTCCAACGAAATCCTCAGAGAGGTCCAAATATCCACTTGTAGATTCTACAAAAAGTGTGTCTCAAACCTGCTCCATCCAAAGGAATGTTCAGCTCTGTGATTTTAACTCAATCATCACAAAGTATTTTCTGAGAATGCTTCTCTCCAGTTTTTATGTGACCATAATTCGTTTTCCACCACAGGCCTGAAAGCGCTCCAAATGTCCACTTGCAGACACTACGAAAAGCATGTTTCAGAACTACTCTATGAAAAGCAACGTGAAACTCTGGGAGTTGAACACAAACATCACAGAGAAGTTTCTGAGAATGCTTCTGTTTTAGTTCTGTGCGTTTTATCCCGTTTCCAACGAAATCCTCAGAGAGGCCCAAATATCCACTTGCAGATTCCACAGAAAGAGTGATTGGAAACTGCTGTTTGAAAAGGAACCTTCAACTCTGTGAGTTGAATGCAATCATCACAAAGAAGTTTCTGACAATGCTTCTGTTTTAGTTCTGTGCGGTTTATCCCGTTTCCAACGAAATCCTCAGAGAGGACCAAACATCCACTTGCAGTTTCTACAAAAAGAGTGTTTCAAAGCTGCACTATCAAAGAAAGGTTCAGCACTGTGAGTTGAATGCAAACATCACGAAGAGGGCTCTGAGAATTCTTCTGTTTAGTTCTGTGCGGTTTATCCCGTTTCCAACGAAATCCTCAGAGAGGACCAAATATCCACTTGCAGTTTCTACAAGAAGAGTGTTTCAAAGCTGAACTATCAAAGAAAGGTTCAGCACTTGTGAGTTGAATGCAAACATCACGAAGAGGGTTCTGAGAATGCTTCTGTCTTCTTTCTATAGGAAGTTATTTCCTTTACTACGGTAGGCCTCAAAGAAGTGCAATTATCCCCTTGCAGTTTCTACAAAAAGAGTGTTTCAAACCTGAACTATCAAAGAAAGGTTCCACACTTGTGAGTTGAATGCAGACATCACGAAGAAGGTTCTGAGAATGCTTCTGTTTAGTCAGCTGAAATTATCCCGTTTCCAACGAATTCCTCAGAGAGGTCCAAATATGCACTTGCAGATTCTGCAGAAAGTGTGTTTCTAAACTGCTACATCGCAAGGAATGTTCAGCTCTGTGAGTTCCACTCAATCATCCCAAAGAATTTTCTGAGAAAGCTTCTGTCTAGATGTCATGTGAAGATATACCCGTTTCGAACGAAGGACACAGAGTGGTCCAAATATCCACTTGTAGATCCTGCAAAAAGAGTGTTTCAAACGTGAACTTTGAAAGGAAAGTTCAACTCTGGGATTTGAATGTAAACATCACAAAGAAGATTCTGAGACTGCTTCTGTATAGTTTTTATGTGAAGATGATTCCGTTTCCAACGAAATCTTCAAAGAGGTCTACATGTCCCCTTGCAGATGCCACAGAAAGAGAGTTTCAAAACTGCGCTCTCAAAAGGAGTGTTCAACTCCGTGAGTTGAATGCAGTCATCACAGAGAAGCTTCTGAGAATGCTTCTATCTAGTATTTAGGTGAAGATATTTCCTTTTCCACCACAAACCACAAAGCCCTCCAAACGTCCACTTGCAGATTCTAGAAAAAGAGTGTTTCATAGCTGCTCTTTCCAAAGGAAAGTTCAACTCTGGGAGTTGAATACAAACATCACCAAAAAGTTCCTGAGAATGCATCTGTCTAGTTTTTCTATGAAGCTATTCCCTTTGCTACCACAGGCCTCAAAGCGCTCCAAATCTCCACTTGCACATTCCACAACAAGAGTGTTTCCAAACTGCTCTATCAATAGGAATGTTCAACTCTGTGAGGTGAATGCAATCATCACAAAGCAGTTTCTGAGAATGCTTCCGTTTAGTTAGGTGCAGTTATCCCGTTTCCAACGAAATCCTCAGAGAGGTCCAAATATCCACTTGTAGATTCTACAAAAAGTGTGTCTCAAACCTGCTCCATCCAAAGGAATGGTCAGCTCTGTGATTTAAACTCAATCATCACAAAGTATTTTCTGAGAATGCTTCTGTCTAGATTTTATGCGAAGATATACCCGTTTCGAACGAAGGCCACAGAGTGGTCCAAATAGCCACTTGCAGATCCTACAGAAAGAGTGTTTCAAACCTGAACTATCAAAGGAAGGTTCAACTCTGGGATTTGAATGCAAACATCACCAAGAAGTTTCTGAGAATGCTTCTGTTTAGTTTTTATGTGAAGATATTCCCGTTTCCAAAGACATCTTCGGAGAGGTCCACATATCCACTTGCAGATTCCACAAAAAGAGAGTTTCAACACTGCTCTATCCATAGGAGGGTTCAACTCTGTGAGTTGAATGCAATCATCACAGAGAAGTTTCTGAGAAGGCTTCTCTCCAGTTTTTATGTGACCATAATTCGTTTTCCACCACAGGCCTGAAAGCGCTCCAAATGTCCACTTGCAGACACTACGAAAAGCATGTTTCAGAACTACTCTATGAAAAGCAACGTGAAACTCTGGGAGTTGAACACAAACATCACAGAGAAGTTTCTGAGAATGCTTCTGTTTTAGTTCTGTGCGTTTTATCCCGTTTCCAACGAAATCCTCAGAGAGGCCCAAATATCCACTTGCAGATTCCACAGAAAGAGTGATTGGAAACTGCTGTTTGAAAAGGAACCTTCAACTCTGTGAGTTGAATGCAATCATCACAAAGAAGTTTCTGACAATGCTTCTGTTTTAGTTCTGTGCGGTTTATCCCGTTTCCAACGAAATCCTCAGAGAGGACCAAACATCCACTTGCAGTTTCTACAAAAAGAGTGTTTCAAAGCTGCACTATCAAAGAAAGGTTCAGCACTGTGAGTTGAATGCAAACATCACGAAGAGGGCTCTGAGAATTCTTCTGTTTAGTTCTGTGCGGTTTATCCCGTTTCCAACGAAATCCTCAGAGAGGACCAAATATCCACTTGCAGTTTCTACAAGAAGAGTGTTTCAAAGCTGAACTATCAAAGAAAGGTTCAGCACTGTGAGTTGAATGCAAACATCACGAAGAGGGTTCTGAGAATGCTTCTGTCTTCTTTCTATAGGAAGTTATTTCCTTTACTACGGTAGGCCTCAAAGAAGTGCAATTATCCCCTTGCAGTTTCTACAAAAAGAGTGTTTCAAACCTGAACTATCAAAGAAAGGTTCCACACTGTGAGTTGAATGCAGACATCACGAAGAAGGTTCTGAGAATGCTTCTGTTTAGTCAGCTGAAATTATCCCGTTTCCAACGAATTCCTCAGAGAGGTCCAAATATGCACTTGCAGATTCTGCAGAAAGTGTGTTTCTAAACTGCTACATCGCAAGGAATGTTCAGCTCTGTGAGTTCCACTCAATCATCCCAAAGAATTTTCTGAGAAAGCTTCTGTCTAGATGTCGTGTGAAGATATACCCGTTTCGAACGAAGGACACAGAGTGGTCCAAATATCCACTTGTAGATCCTGCAAAAAGAGTGTTTCAAACGTGAACTTTGAAAGGAAAGTTCAACTCTGGGATTTGAATGCAAACATCACAAAGAAGATTCTGAGACTGCTTCTGTATAGTTTTTATGTGAAGATGATTCCGTTTCCAACGAAATCTTCAAAGAGGTCTACATGTCCCCTTGCAGATGCCACAGAAAGAGAGTTTCAAAACTGCGCTCTCAAAAGGAGTGTTCAACTCCGTGAGTTGAATGCAGTCATCACAGAGAAGCTTCTGAGAATGCTTCTATCTAGTATTTAGGTGAAGATATTTCCTTTTCCACCACAAACCACAAAGCCCTCCAAACGTCCACTTGCAGATTCTAGAAAAAGAGTGTTTCATAGCTGCTCTTTCCAAAGGAAAGTTCAACTCTGGGAGTTGAATACAAACATCACCAAAAGGTTCCTGAGAATGCATCTGTCTAGTTTTTCTATGAAGCTATTCCCTTTACTACCATAGGCCTCAAAGCGCTCCAAATCTCCACTTGCACATTCCACAACAAGAGTGTTTCCAAACTGCTCTATCAATAGGAATGTTCAACTCTGTGAGGTGAATGCAATCATCACAAAGCAGTTTCTGAGAATGCTTCCGTTTAGTTAGGTGCAGTTATCCCGTTTCCAACGAAATCCTCAGAGAGGTCCAAATATCCACTTGTAGATTCTACAAAAAGTGTGTCTCAAACCTACTCCATCCAAAGGAATGTTCAGCTCTGTGATTTAAACTCAATCATCACAAAGTATTTTCTGAGAATGCTTCTGTCTAGATTTTATGCGAAGATATACCCGTTTCGAACGAAGGCCACAGAGTGGTCCAAATAGCCACTTGCAGATCCTACAAAAAGAGTGTTTCAAACCTGAACTATCAAAGGAAGGTTCAACTCCTGGGATTTGAATGCAAACATCACCAAGAAGTTTCTGAGAATGCTTCTGTTTAGTTTTTATGTGAAGATATTCCCGTTTCCAAAGACATCTTCGGAGAGGTCCACATATCCACTTGCAGATTCCACAAAAAGAGAGTTTCAACACTGCTCTATCCATAGGAGGGTTCAACTCTGTGAGTTGAATGCAATCATCACAGAGAAGTTTCTGAGAAGGCTTCTCTCCAGTTTTTATGTGACCATAATTCGTTTTCCACCACAGGCCTGAAAGCGCTCCAAATGTCCACTTGCAGACACTACGAAAAGCATGTTTCAGAACTACTCTATGAAAAGCAACGTGAAACTCTGGGAGTTGAACACAAACATCACAGAGAAGTTTCTGAGAATGCTTCTGTTTTAGTTCTGTGCGTTTTATCCCGTTTCCAACGAAATCCTCAGAGAGGCCCAAATATCCACTTGCAGATTCCACAGAAAGAGTGATTGGAAACTGCTGTTTGAAAAGGAACCTTCAACTCTGTGAGTTGAATGCAATCATCACAAAGAAGTTTCTGACAATGCTTCTGTTTTAGTTCTGTGCGGTTTATCCCGTTTCCAACGAAATCCTCAGAGAGGACCAAACATCCACTTGCAGTTTCTACAAAAAGAGTGTTTCAAAGCTGCACTATCAAAGAAAGGTTCAGCACTGTGAGTTGAATGCAAACATCACGAAGAGGGCTCTGAGAATTCTTCTGTTTAGTTCTGTGCGGTTTATCCCGTTTCCAACGAAATCCTCAGAGAGGACCAAATATCCACTTGCAGTTTCTACAAGAAGAGTGTTTCAAAGCTGAACTATCAAAGAAAGGTTCAGCACTGTGAGTTGAATGCAAACATCACGAAGAGGGTTCTGAGAATGCTTCTGTCTTCTTTCTATAGGAAGTTATTTCCTTTACTACGGTAGGCCTCAAAGAAGTGCAATTATCCCCTTGCAGTTTCTACAAAAAGAGTGTTTCAAACCTGAACTATCAAAGAAAGGTTCCACACTGTGAGTTGAATGCAGACATCACGAAGAAGGTTCTGAGAATGCTTCTGTTTAGTCAGCTGAAATTATCCCGTTTCCAACGAATTCCTCAGAGAGGTCCAAATATGCACTTGCAGATTCTGCAGAAAGTGTGTTTCTAAACTGCTACATCGCAAGGAATGTTCAGCTCTGTGAGTTCCACTCAATCATCCCAAAGAATTTTCTGAGAAAGCTTCTGTCTAGATGTCGTGTGAAGATATACCCGTTTCGAACGAAGGACACAGAGTGGTCCAAATATCCACTTGTAGATCCTGCAAAAAGAGTGTTTCAAACGTGAACTTTGAAAGGAAAGTTCAACTCTGGGATTTGAATGCAAACATCACAAAGAAGATTCTGAGACTGCTTCTGTATAGTTTTTATGTGAAGATGATTCCGTTTCCAACGAAATCTTCAAAGAGGTCTACATGTCCCCTTGCAGATGCCACAGAAAGAGAGTTTCAAAACTGCGCTCTCAAAAGGAGTGTTCAACTCCGTGAGTTGAATGCAGTCATCACAGAGAAGCTTCTGAGAATGCTTCTATCTAGTATTTAGGTGAAGATATTTCCTTTTCCACCACAAACCACAAAGCCCTCCAAACGTCCACTTGCAGATTCTAGAAAAAGAGTGTTTCATAGCTGCTCTTTCCAAAGGAAAGTTCAACTCTGGGAGTTGAATACAAACATCACCAAAAGGTTCCTGAGAATGCATCTGTCTAGTTTTTCTATGAAGCTATTCCCTTTACTACCATAGGCCTCAAAGCGCTCCAAATCTCCACTTGCACATTCCACAACAAGAGTGTTTCCAAACTGCTCTATCAATAGGAATGTTCAACTCTGTGAGGTGAATGCAATCATCACAAAGCAGTTTCTGAGAATGCTTCTGTTTAGTTCTGTGCGATTTATCCCGTTTCCAACGAAATCCTCAGAGAGGCCCACATATCCACTTGCAGATTCTACAAATAGTATGTTTCGAAACTGCTCCATCCAAAGGAATGTTCAGCTCTGTGAGTTCAACTCAATCATCACAAAGTATTTTCTGAGAATGCTTCTGTCTAGATTTTATGCGAAGATGTACCCGTTTCGAACGAAGGCCACAGGGTGGTCCAAATATCCACTTGCAGATCCTACAAAAAGAGTGTTTCAAACCTGAACTATCAAAGGAAGGTTCAACTCTGGGATTTGAATGCAAACATCACCAAGAAGTTTCTGAGAATGCTTCTGTTTAGTTTTTATGTGAAGATATTCCCGTTTCCAAAGACATCTTCGGAGAGGTCCACATATCCACTTGCAGATTCCACAAAAAGAGAGTTTCAACACTGCTCTATCCATAGGAGGGTTCAACTCTGTGAGTTGAATGCAATCATCACAGAGAAGTTTCTGAGAAGTCTTCTCTCCAGTTTTTATGTGACCATAATTCGTTTTCCACCACAGGCCTGAAAGCGCTCCAAATGTCCACTTGCAGACACTACGAAAAGCATGTTTCAGAACTACTCTATGAAAAGCAATGTGAAATTCTGGGAGTTGAACACAAACATCACAGAGAAGTTTCTGAGAATGCTTCTGTTTAGCTTTTCTGTGAAGATTCTCCCGTTTCCAACGAAATCTTCAAAGAGGTCCAAATATCCACTTGCAGATTCCACAGAAAGAGTGATTGGAAACTGCTGTTTGAAAAGGAACCTTCAACTCTGTGAGTTGAATGCAATCATCACAAAGTAGTTTCTGACAATGCTTCTATCTAGCTTTTACGGGAAGATAATTCCTTTTCCACCACAGGCCTCAAAGCCCTCCAAATGTCCACTTGCAGATTCTGGAAAAAGAGTGTTTCAAAGCTTCTCTCTCGAAAGGAAAGTTCAACTCTGTGAGTTGAATGCAAGCATCACAAAGAAGTTTCTGAGAATGCTACTGTCTAGCTTTTATATGAAGCTATTTCCTTTACTACCATAGGCCTCAAAGCGGTCCATATCTCCACTTGCAGATTTTACACAAAGAGAGTTTCCAAACTGCTCTGTCAAAGGGAATGTTCAACTCTGTGACTTGAATGCAATCATCACAAAGTAGTTTCTGAGAATGCTTCTGTTTAGTTCTGTGCGGTTTATCCCGTTTCCAACGAAATCCTCAGAGAGGCCCAAATATCCACTTGCACATTCTACAAATAGTGTGTTTCGAAACTGCTCCATCCAAAGGAATGTTCAGCTCTGTGAGTTAAACTCAGTCGTCACCAAGAGTTTTCTGTGAATGCTTCTGTTTTAGTTCTGTGCGGTTTATCCCGTTTCCAACGAAATCCTCAGAGAGGTCCAAATATCTACTTGCAGTTTCTACAGAAAGACCGTTTCAAACATGAACTATCAAAGAAAGGTTCAACACTGTGAGTTGAATGCAAACATCACGAAGAAGGTTCTGAGAATGCTTCTGTTTAGTTCTGTGCGGTTTATCCCGTTTCCAACGAAATCCTCAGAGAGGACCAAATATCCACTTGCAGTTTCTACAAAAAGAGTGTTTCAAAGCTGAACTATCAAAGAAACGTTCAGCACCGTGAGTTGAATGCAAACATCACCAAGAGGGTTCTGAGAATGCTTCTGTCTTCTTTTTATAGGAAGTTATTTCCTTTACTACGGTAGGCCTCAAAGAAGTGCAATTATCCCCTTGCAGTTTCTACAAAAAGAGTGTTTCAAACCTGAACTATCAAAGAAAGGTTCCACACTGTGAGTTGAATGCAGACATCACGAAGAAGGTTACTGAGAATGCTTCTGTTTAGTCAGCTGAAATTATCCCGTTTCCAACGAATTCCTCAGAGAGGTCCAAATATGCACTTGCAGATTCTGCAGAAAGTGTGTTTCTAAACTGCTACATCGCAAGGAATGTTCAGCTCTGTGAGTTCCACTCAATCATCCCAAAGAATTTTCTGAGAAAGCTTCTGTCTAGATGTCGTGTGAAGATATACCCGTTTCGAACGAAGGACACAGAGTGGTCCAAATATCCACTTGTAGATCCTGCAAAAAGAGTGTTTCAAACGTGAACTTTGAAAGGAAAGTTCAACTCTGGGATTTGAATGCAAACATCACAAAGAAGATTCTGAGACTGCTTCTGTATAGTTTTTATGTGAAGATGATTCCGTTTCCAACGAAATCTTCAAAGAGGTCTACATGTCCCCTTGCAGATGCCACAGAAAGAGAGTTTCAAAACTGCGCTCTCAAAAGGAGTGTTCAACTCCGTGAGTTGAATGCAGTCATCACAGAGAAGCTTCTGAGAATGCTTCTGTCTAGTATTTAGGTGAAGATATTTCCTTTTCCACCACAAACCACAAAGCCCTCCAAACGTCCACTTGCAGATTCTAGAAAAAGGGTGTTTCATAGCTGCTCTTTCCAAAGGAAAGTTCAACTCTGGGAGTTGAATACAAACATCACCAAAAAGTTCCTGAGAATGCATCTGTCTAGTTTTTCTATGAAGCTATTCCCTTTACTACCATAGGCCTCAAAGCGCTCCAAATCTCCACTTGCACATTCCACAACAAGAGTGTTTCCAAACTGCTCTATCAATAGGAATGGTCAACTCTGTGAGGTGAATGCAATCATCACAAAGCAGTTTCTGAGAATGCTTCCGTTTAGTTAGGTGCAGTTATCCCGTTTCCAACGACATCCTCAGAGAGGTCCAAATATCCACTTGTAGATTCTATAAAAAGTGTGTCTCAAACCTGCTCCATCCAAAGGAATTTTCAGCTCTGTGAGTTAAACTCAATCATCACAAAGTATTTTCTGAGAATGCTTCTGTCTAGATTTTATGCGAAGATATACCCGTTTCGAACGAAGGCCACAGAGTGGTCCAAATAGCCACTTGCAGATCCTACAGAAAGAGTGTTTCAAACCTGAACTATCAAAGGAAGGTTCAACTCTGGGATTTGAATGCAAACATCACCAAGAAGTTTCTGAGAATGCTTCTGTTTAGTTTTTATGTGAAGATATTCCCGTTTCCAAAGACATCTTCGGAGAGGTCCACATATCCACTTGCAGATTCCACAAAAAGAGAGTTTCAACACTGCTCTATCCATAGGAGGGTTCAACTCTGTGAGTTGAATGCAATCATCACAGAGAAGTTTCTGAGAAGGCTTCTCTCCAGTTTTTATGTGAACATAATTCGTTTTCCACCACAGGCCTGAAAGCGCTCCAAATGTCCACTTGCAGACACTACGAAAAGCATGTTTCAGAACTACTCTATGAAAAGCAATGTGAAACTCTGGGAGTTGAACACAAACATCACAGAGAAGTTTCTGAGAATGCTTCTGTTTAGCTTTTCTGTGAAGATTCTCCCGTTTCCAACGAAATCTTCAAAGAGGTCCATACATCCACGTGCAGATTCCACAGAAAGAGTGTTTGGAAACCGCTGTTTAAAAAGGAACCTTCAACTCTGTGAGTTGAATGCAATCATCACAAAGAAGTTTCTGACAATGCTTCTATCTAGCTTTTACGGGAAGATAATTCCTTTTCCACCACAGGCCTCAAAGCCCTCCAAATGTCCACTTGCAGATTCTGGAAAAAGAGTGTTTCGAAGCTTCTCTCTCGAAAGGAAAGTTCAACTCTGTGAGTTGAATGCAAGCATCACAAAGAAGTTTCTGAGAATGCTACTGTCTAGCTTTTATATGAAGCTATTTCCTTTACTACCATAGTCCTCAAAGCATTCCATATCTCCACTTGCAGATTCTACACAAAGAGAGTTTCCAAACTGCTCTGTCAAAGGGAATGTTCAGCTCTGTGACTTGAATGCAATCATCACAAAGTAGTTTCTGAGAATGCTTCTGTTTAGTTCTGTGCGGTTTATCCCGTTTCCAACGAAATCCTCAGAGAGGCCCAAATATCCACTTGCACATTCTACAAATAGTGTGTTTCGAAACTGCTCCATCCAAAGGAATGTTCAGCTCTATGAGTTAAACTCAGTCGTCACCAAGAGTTTTCTGTGAATGCTTCTGTTTTAGTTCTGTGCGGTTTATCCCGTTTCCAACGAAATCCTCAGAGAGGTCCAAATATCTACTTGCAGTTTCTACAGAAAGACCGTTTCCAACCTGAACTATCAAAGAAAGGTTCAACACTGTGAGTTGAATGCAAACATCACGAAGAAGTTCTGAGAATGCTTCTGTTTAGTTCTGTGCGGTTTATCCCGTTTCCAACGAAATCCTCAGAGAGGACCAAATATCCACTTGCAGTTTCTACAAGAAGAGTGTTTCAAAGCTGAACTATCAAAGAAAGGTTCAGCACTGTGAGTTGAATGCAAACATCACGAAGAGGGTTCTGAGAATGCTTCTGTCTTCTTTCTATAGGAAGTTATTTCCTTTACTACGGTAGGCCTCAAAGAAGTGCAATTATCCCCTTGCAGTTTCTACAAAAAGAGTGTTTCAAACCTGAACTATCAAAGAAAGGTTCCACACTGTGAGTTGAATGCAGACATCACGAAGAAGGTTCTGAGAATGCTTCTGTTTAGTCAGCTGAAATTATCCCGTTTCCAACGAATTCCTCAGAGAGGTCCAAATATGCACTTGCAGATTCTGCAGAAAGTGTGTTTCTAAACTGCTACATCGCAAGGAATGTTCAGCTCTGTGAGTTCCACTCAATCATCCCAAAGAATTTTCTGAGAAAACTTCTGTCTAGATGTCATGTGAAGATATACCCGTTTCGAACGGAGGACACAGAGTGGTCCAAATATCCACTTGTAGATCCTGCAAAAAGAGTGTTTCAAACGTGAACTTTGAAAGGAAAGTTCAACTCTGGGATTTGAATGCAAACATCACAAAGAAGATTCTGAGACTGCTTCTGTATAGTTTTTATGTGAAGATGATTCCGTTTCCAACGAAATCTTCAAAGAGGTCCACATGTCCCCTTGCGGATGCCACAGAAAGAGAGTTTCAAAACTGCGCTCTCAAAAGGAGTGTTCAACTCCGTGAGTTGAATGCAGTCATCACAGAGAAGCTTCTGAGAATGCTTCTATCTAGTATTTAGGTGAAGATATTTCCTTTTCCACCACAAACCACAAAGCCCTCCAAACGTCCACTTGCAGATTCTAGAAAAAGAGTGTTTCATAGCTGCTCTTTCCAAAGGAAAGTTCAACTCTGGGAGTTGAATACAAACATCACCAAAAAGTTCCTGAGAATGCATCTGTCTAGTTTTTCTATGAAGCTATTCCCTTTACTACCATAGGCCTCAAAGCGCTCCAAATCTCCACTTGCACATTCCACAACAAGAGTGTTTCCAAACTGCTCTATCAATAGGAATGTTCAACTCTGTGAGGTGAATGCAATCATCACAAAGCAGTTTCTGAGAATGCTTCCGTTTAGTTAGGTGCAGTTATCCCGTTTCCAACGAAATCCTCAGAGAGGTCCAAATATCCACTTGTAGATTCTACAAAAAGTGTGTCTCAAACCTGCTCCATCCAAAGGAATGGTCAGCTCTGTGATTTAAACTCAATCATCACAAAGTATTTTCTGAGAATGCTTCTGTCTAGATTTTATGCGAAGATATACCCGTTTCGAACGAAGGCCACAGAGTGGTCCAAATAGCCACTTGCAGATCCTACAGAAAGAGTGTTTCAAACCTGAACTATCAAAGGAAGGTTCAACTCTGGGATTTGAATGCAAACATCACCAAGAAGTTTCTGAGAATGCTTCTGTTTAGTTTTTATGTGAAGATATTCCCGTTTCCAAAGACATCTTCGGAGAGGTCCACATATCCACTTGCAGGTTCCACAAAAAGAGAGTTTCAACACTGCTCTATCCATAGGAGGGTTCAACTCTGTGAGTTGAATGCAATCATCACAGAGAAGTTTCTGAGAAGGCTTCTCTCCAGTTTTTATGTGACCATAATTCGTTTTCCACCACAGGCCTGAAAGCGCTCCAAATGTCCACTTGCAGACACTACGAAAAGCATGTTTCAGAACTACTCTATGAAAAGCAACGTGAAACTCTGGGAGTTGAACACAAACATCACAGAGAAGTTTCTGAGAATGCTTCTGTTTTAGTTCTGTGCGTTTTATCCCGTTTCCAACGAAATCCTCAGAGAGGCCCAAATATCCACTTGCAGATTCCACAGAAAGAGTGATTGGAAACTGCTGTTTGAAAAGGAACCTTCAACTCTGTGAGTTGAATGCAATCATCACAAAGAAGTTTCTGACAATGCTTCTGTTTTAGTTCTGTGCGGTTTATCCCGTTTCCAACGAAATCCTCAGAGAGGACCAAACATCCACTTGCAGTTTCTACAAAAAGAGTGTTTCAAAGCTGCACTATCAAAGAAAGGTTCAGCACTGTGAGTTGAATGCAAACATCACGAAGAGGGCTCTGAGAATTCTTCTGTTTAGTTCTGTGCGGTTTATCCCGTTTCCAACGAAATCCTCAGAGAGGACCAAATATCCACTTGCAGTTTCTACAAGAAGAGTGTTTCAAAGCTGAACTATCAAAGAAAGGTTCAGCACTGTGAGTTGAATGCAAACATCACGAAGAGGGTTCTGAGAATGCTTCTGTCTTCTTTCTATAGGAAGTTATTTCCTTTACTACGGTAGGCCTCAAAGAAGTGCAATTATCCCCTTGCAGTTTCTACAAAAAGAGTGTTTCAAACCTGAACTATCAAAGAAAGGTTCCACACTGTGAGTTGAATGCAGACATCACGAAGAAGGTTCTGAGAATGCTTCTGTTTAGTCAGCTGAAATTATCCCGTTTCCAACGAATTCCTCAGAGAGGTCCAAATATGCACTTGCAGATTCTGCAGAAAGTGTGTTTCTAAACTGCTACATCGCAAGGAATGTTCAGCTCTGTGAGTTCCACTCAATCATCCCAAAGAATTTTCTGAGAAAGCTTCTGTCTAGATGTCGTGTGAAGATATACCCGTTTCGAACGAAGGACACAGAGTGGTCCAAATATCCACTTGTAGATCCTGCAAAAAGAGTGTTTCAAACGTGAACTTTGAAAGGAAAGTTCAACTCTGGGATTTGAATGCAAACATCACAAAGAAGATTCTGAGACTGCTTCTGTATAGTTTTTATGTGAAGATGATTCCGTTTCCAACGAAATCTTCAAAGAGGTCTACATGTCCCCTTGCAGATGCCACAGAAAGAGAGTTTCAAAACTGCGCTCTCAAAAGGAGTGTTCAACTCCGTGAGTTGAATGCAGTCATCACAGAGAAGCTTCTGAGAATGCTTCTATCTAGTATTTAGGTGAAGATATTTCCTTTTCCACCACAAACCACAAAGCCCTCCAAACGTCCACTTGCAGATTCTAGAAAAAGAGTGTTTCATAGCTGCTCTTTCCAAAGGAAAGTTCAACTCTGGGAGTTGAATACAAACATCACCAAAAAGTTCCTGAGAATGCATCTGTCTAGTTTTTCTATGAAGCTATTCCCTTTACTACCATAGGCCTCAAAGCGCTCCAAATCTCCACTTGCACATTCCACAACAAGAGTGTTTCCAAACTGCTCTATCAATAGGAATGTTCAACTCTGTGAGGTGAATGCAATCATCACAAAGCAGTTTCTGAGAATGCTTCCGTTTAGTTAGGTGCAGTTATCCCGTTTCCAACGAAATCCTCAGAGAGGTCCAAATATCCACTTGTAGATTCTACAAAAAGTGTGTCTCAAACCTGCTCCATCCAAAGGAATGGTCAGCTCTGTGATTTAAACTCAATCATCACAAAGTATTTTCTGAGAATGCTTCTGTCTAGATTTTATGCGAAGATATACCCGTTTCGAACGAAGGCCACAGAGTGGTCCAAATAGCCACTTGCAGATCCTACAGAAAGAGTGTTTCAAACCTGAACTATCAAAGGAAGGTTCAACTCTGGGATTTGAATGCAAACATCACCAAGAAGTTTCTGAGAATGCTTCTGTTTAGTTTTTATGTGAAGATATTCCCGTTTCCAAAGACATCTTCGGAGAGGTCCACATATCCACTTGCAGATTCCACAAAAAGAGAGTTTCAACACTGCTCTATCCATAGGAGGGTTCAACTCTGTGAGTTGAATGCAATCATCACAGAGAAGTTTCTGAGAAGGCTTCTCTCCAGTTTTTATGTGACCATAATTCGTTTTCCACCACAGGCCTGAAAGCGCTCCAAATGTCCACTTGCAGACACTACGAAAAGCATGTTTCAGAACTACTCTATGAAAAGCAACGTGAAACTCTGGGAGTTGAACACAAACATCACAGAGAAGTTTCTGAGAATGCTTCTGTTTTAGTTCTGTGCGTTTTATCCCGTTTCCAACGAAATCCTCAGAGAGGCCCAAATATCCACTTGCAGATTCCACAGAAAGAGTGATTGGAAACTGCTGTTTGAAAAGGAACCTTCAACTCTGTGAGTTGAATGCAATCATCACAAAGAAGTTTCTGACAATGCTTCTGTTTTAGTTCTGTGCGGTTTATCCCGTTTCCAACGAAATCCTCAGAGAGGACCAAACATCCACTTGCAGTTTCTACAAAAAGAGTGTTTCAAAGCTGCACTATCAAAGAAAGGTTCAGCACTGTGAGTTGAATGCAAACATCACGAAGAGGGCTCTGAGAATTCTTCTGTTTAGTTCTGTGCGGTTTATCCCGTTTCCAACGAAATCCTCAGAGAGGACCAAATATCCACTTGCAGTTTCTACAAGAAGAGTGTTTCAAAGCTGAACTATCAAAGAAAGGTTCAGCACTGTGAGTTGAATGCAAACATCACGAAGAGGGTTCTGAGAATGCTTCTGTCTTCTTTCTATAGGAAGTTATTTCCTTTACTACGGTAGGCCTCAAAGAAGTGCAATTATCCCCTTGCAGTTTCTACAAAAAGAGTGTTTCAAACCTGAACTATCAAAGAAAGGTTCCACACTGTGAGTTGAATGCAGACATCACGAAGAAGGTTCTGAGAATGCTTCTGTTTAGTCAGCTGAAATTATCCCGTTTCCAACGAATTCCTCAGAGAGGTCCAAATATGCACTTGCAGATTCTGCAGAAAGTGTGTTTCTAAACTGCTACATCGCAAGGAATGTTCAGCTCTGTGAGTTCCACTCAATCATCCCAAAGAATTTTCTGAGAAAGCTTCTGTCTAGATGTCCTGTGAAGATATACCCGTTTCGAACGAAGGACACAGAGTGGTCCAAATATCCACTTGTAGATCCTGCAAAAAGAGTGTTTCAAACGTGAACTTTGAAAGGAAAGTTCAACTCTGGGATTTGAATGCAAACATCACAAAGAAGATTCTGAGACTGCTTCTGTATAGTTTTTATGTGAAGATGATTCCGTTTCCAACGAAATCTTCATAGAGGTCCACATGTCCCCTTGCGGATGCCACAGAAAGAGAGTTTCAAAACTGCGCTCTCAAAAGGAGTGTTCAACTCCGTGAGTTGAATGCAGTCATCACAGAGAAGCTTCTGAGAATGCTTCTATCTAGTAATTAGGTGAAGATATTTCCTTTTCCACCATAACCCACAAAGCCCTCCAAACGTCCACTTGCAGATTCTAGAAAAAGAGTGTTTCATAGCTGCTCTTTCCAAAGGAAAGTTCAACTCTGGGATTTGAATACAAACATCACCAAAAAGTTCCTGAGAATGCATCTGTCTAGTTTTTCTATGAAGCTATTCCCTTTACTACCATAGGCCTCAAAGCGCTCCAAATCTCCACTTGCACATTCCACAACAAGAGTGTTTCCAAACTGCTCTATCAATAGGAATGTTCAACTCTGTGAGGTGAATGCAATCATCACAAAGCAGTTTCTGAGAATGCTTCCGTTTAGTTAGGTGCAGTTATCCCGTTTCCAACGAAATCCTCAGAGAGGTCCAAATATCCACTTGTAGATTCTACAAAAACTGTGTCTCAAGCCTGCTCCATCCAAAGGAATGTTCAGCTCTGTGAGTTCAACTCAATCATCACAAAGTATTTTCTGAGAATGCTTCTGTCTAGATGTTATGTGAAGATGTACCCGTTTCGAACGAAGGCCACAGAGTGGTCCAAATATCCACTTGCAGATCGTACAGAAAGAGTGTTTCAAACCTGACCTATCAAAGGAAGTTTCAACTCTGGGATTTGAATGCAAATATCACAAAGAAGTTTCTGAGAATGCTTCTGTTTAGTTTTTATGTGAAGATATTCCCGTTTCCAAAGACATCTTCGGAGAGGTCCACATATCCACTTGCAGATTCCACAAAAAGAGAGTTTCAACACTGCTCTATCCATAGGAGGGTTCAACTCTGTGAGTTGAATGCAATCATCACAGAGAAGTTTCCTGAGAAGGCTTCTCTCCAGTTTTTATGTGACCATAATTCGTTTTCCACCACAGGCCTGAAAGCGCTCCAAATGTCCACTTGCAGACACTACGAAAAGCATGTTTCAGAACTACTCTATGAAAAGCAACGTGAAACTCTGGGAGTTGAACACAAACATCACAGAGAAGTTTCTGAGAATGCTTCTGTTTTAGTTCTGTGCGTTTTATCCCGTTTCCAACGAAATCCTCAGAGAGGCCCAAATATCCACTTGCAGATTCCACAGAAAGAGTGATTGGAAACTGCTGTTTGAAAAGGAACCTTCAACTCTGTGAGTTGAATGCAATCATCACAAAGAAGTTTCTGACAATGCTTCTGTTTTAGTTCTGTGCGGTTTATCCCGTTTCCAACGAAATCCTCAGAGAGGACCAAACATCCACTTGCAGTTTCTACAAAAAGAGTGTTTCAAAGCTGCACTATCAAAGAAAGGTTCAGCACTGTGAGTTGAATGCAAACATCACGAAGAGGGCTCTGAGAATTCTTCTGTTTAGTTCTGTGCGGTTTATCCCGTTTCCAACGAAATCCTCAGAGAGGACCAAATATCCACTTGCAGTTTCTACAAGAAGAGTGTTTCAAAGCTGAACTATCAAAGAAAGGTTCAGCACTGTGAGTTGAATGCAAACATCACGAAGAGGGTTCTGAGAATGCTTCTGTCTTCTTTCTATAGGAAGTTATTTCCTTTACTACGGTAGGCCTCAAAGAAGTGCAATTATCCCCTTGCAGTTTCTACAAAAAGAGTGTTTCAAACCTGAACTATCAAAGAAAGGTTCCACACTGTGAGTTGAATGCAGACATCACGAAGAAGGTTCTGAGAATGCTTCTGTTTAGTCAGCTGAAATTATCCCGTTTCCAACGAATTCCTCAGAGAGGTCCAAATATGCACTTGCAGATTCTGCAGAAAGTGTGTTTCTAAACTGCTACATCGCAAGGAATGTTCAGCTCTGTGAGTTCCACTCAATCATCCCAAAGAATTTTCTGAGAAAGCTTCTGTCTAGATGTCGTGTGAAGATATACCCGTTTCGAACGAAGGACACAGAGTGGTCCAAATATCCACTTGTAGATCCTGCAAAAAGAGTGTTTCAAACGTGAACTTTGAAAGGAAAGTTCAACTCTGGGATTTGAATGCAAACATCACAAAGAAGATTCTGAGACTGCTTCTGTATAGTTTTTATGTGAAGATGATTCCGTTTCCAACGAAATCTTCAAAGAGGTCTACATGTCCCCTTGCAGATGCCACAGAAAGAGAGTTTCAAAACTGCGCTCTCAAAAGGAGTGTTCAACTCCGTGAGTTGAATGCAGTCATCACAGAGAAGCTTCTGAGAATGCTTCTATCTAGTATTTAGGTGAAGATATTTCCTTTTCCACCACAAACCACAAAGCCCTCCAAACGTCCACTTGCAGATTCTAGAAAAAGAGTGTTTCATAGCTGCTCTTTCCAAAGGAAAGTTCAACTCTGGGAGTTGAATACAAACATCACCAAAAAGTTCCTGAGAATGCATCTGTCTAGTTTTTCTATGAAGCTATTCCCTTTACTACCATAGGCCTCAAAGCGCTCCAAATCTCCACTTGCACATTCCACAACAAGAGTGTTTCCAAACTGCTCTATCAATAGGAATGTTCAACTCTGTGAGGTGAATGCAATCATCACAAAGCAGTTTCTGAGAATGCTTCTGTTTAGTTAGGTGCAGTTATCCCGTTTCCAACGAAATCCTCAGAGAGGTCCAAATATCCACTTGTAGATTCTACAAAAAGTGTGTCTCAAACCTGCTCCATCCAAAGGAATGTTCAGCTCTGTGAGTTAAACTCAATCATCACAAAGTATTTTCTGAGAATGCTTCTGTCTAGATTTTATGCGAAGATATACCCGTTTCGAACGAAGGCCACAGAGTGGTCCAAATATCCACTTGCAGATCCTACAAAAAGAGTGTTTCAAACCTGAACTATCAAAGGAAGGTTCAACTCTGGGATTTGAATGCAAACATCACCAAGAAGTTTCTGAGAATGCTTCTGTTTAGTTTTTATGTGAAGATATTCCCGTTTCCAAAGACATCTTCGGAGAGGTCCACGTATCCACTTGCAGATTCCACAAAAAGAGAGTTTCAACACTGCTCTATCCATAGGAGGGTTCAACTCTGTGAGTTGAATGCAATCATCACAGAGAAGTTTCTGAGAAGGCTTCTCTCCAGTTTTTATGTGACCATAATTCGTTTTCCACCACAGGCCTGAAAGCGCTCCAAATGTCCACTTGTAGACACTACGAAAAGCATGTTTCAGAACTACTCTATGAAAAGCAATGTGAAACTCTGGGAGTTGAACACAAACATCACAGAGAAGTTTCTGAGAATGCTTCTGTTTAGCTTTTCTGTGAAGATTCTCCCGTTTCCAACGAAATCTTCAAAGGAGGTCCAAATATCCACTTGCAGATTCCACAGAAAGAGTGATTGGAAACTGCTCTTTGAAAAGGAACCTTCAACTCTGTGACTTGAATGCAATCATCACAAAGAAGTCTCTGACAATGCTTCTATCTAGCTTTTACGGGAAGATAATTCCTTTTCCACCACAGGCCTCAAAGCCCTCCAAATGTCCACTTGCAGATTCTGGAAAAAGAGTGTTTCAAAGCTTCTCTCTCGAAAGGAAAGTTCAACTCTGTGAGTTGAATGCAAGCATCACAAAGAAGTTTCTGAGAATGCTACTGTCTAGCTTTTATATGAAGCTATTTCCTTTACTACCATAGGCCTCAAAGCGGTCCATATCTCCACTTGCAGATTCTACACAAAGAGAGTTTCCAAACTGCTCTGTCAAAGGGAATGTTCAACTCTGTGACTTGAATGCAATCATCACAAAGTAGTTTCTGAGAATGCTTCTGTTTAGTTCTGTGCGGTTTATCCCGTTTCCAACGAAATCCTCAGAGAGGACCACATATCCACTTGCACATTCTACAAATAGTGTGTTTCGAAACTGCTCCATCCAAAGGAATGTTCTGCTCTGTGAGTTAAACTCAGTCGTCACCAAGAGTTTTCTGTGAATGCTTCTGTTTTAGTTCTGTGCGGTTTATCCCGTTTCCAACGAAATCCTCAGAGAGGTCCAAATATCTACTTGCAGTTTCTACAGAAAGACCGTTTCAAACCTGAACTATCAAAGAAAGGTTCAACACTGTGAGTTGAATGCAAACATCACGAAGAAGGTTCTGAGAATGCTTCTGTTTAGTTCTGTGCGGTTTATCCCGTTTCCAACGAAATCCTCAGAGAGGACCAAATATCCACTTGCAGTTTCTACAAGAAGAGTGTTTCAAAGCTGAACTATCAAAGAAAGGTTCAGCACTGTGAGTTGAATGCAAACATCACGAAGAGGGTTCTGAGAATGGTTCTGTCTTCTTTCTATAGGAAGTTATTTCCTTTACTACGGTAGGCCTCAAAGAAGTGCAATTATCCCCTTGCAGTTTCTACAAAAAGAGTGTTTCAAACCTGAACTATCAAAGAAAGGTTCCACACTGTGAGTTGAATGCAGACATCACGAAGAAGGTTCTGAGAATGCTTCTGTTTAGTCAGCTGAAATTATCCCGTTTCCAACGAATTCCTCAGAGAGGTCCAAATATGCACTTGCAGATTCTGCAGAAAGTGTGTTTCTAAACTGCTACATCGCAAGGAATGTTCAGCTCTGTGAGTTCCACTCAATCATCCCAAAGAATTTTCTGAGAAAGCTTCTGTCTAGATGTCGTGTGAAGATATACCCGTTTCGAACGAAGGACACAGAGTGGTCCAAATATCCACTTGTAGATCCTGCAAAAAGAGTGTTTCAAACGTGAACTTTGAAAGGAAAGTTCAACTCTGGGATTTGAATGCAAACATCACAAAGAAGATTCTGAGACTGCTTCTGTATAGTTTTTATGTGAAGATGATTCCGTTTCCAACGAAATCTTCAAAGAGGTCTACATGTCCCCTTGCAGATGCCACAGAAAGAGAGTTTCAAAACTGCGCTCTCAAAAGGAGTGTTCAACTCCGTGAGTTGAATGCAGTCATCACAGAGAAGCTTCTGAGAATGCTTCTATCTAGTATTTAGGTGAAGATATTTCCTTTTCCACCACAAACCACAAAGCCCTCCAAACGTCCACTTGCAGATTCTAGAAAAAGAGTGTTTCATAGCTGCTCTTTCCAAAGGAAAGTTCAACTCTGGGAGTTGAATACAAACATCACCAAAAGGTTCCTGAGAATGCATCTGTCTAGTTTTTCTATGAAGCTATTCCCTTTACTACCATAGGCCTCAAAGCGCTCCAAATCTCCACTTGCACATTCCACAACAAGAGTGTTTCCAAACTGCTCTATCAATAGGAATGTTCAACTCTGTGAGGTGAATGCAATCATCACAAAGCAGTTTCTGAGAATGCTTCCGTTTAGTTAGGTGCAGTTATCCCGTTTCCAACGAAATCCTCAGAGAGGTCCAAATATCCACTTGTAGATTCTACAAAAAGTGTGTCTCAAACCTGCTCCATCCAAAGGAATGTTCAGCTCTGTGATTTTAACTCAATCATCACAAAGTATTTTCTGAGAATGCTTCTGTCTAGATTTTATGCGAAGATATACCCGTTTCGAACGAAGGCCACAGAGTGGTCCAAATAGCCACTTGCAGATCCTACAGAAAGAGTGTTTCAAACCTGAACTATCAAAGGAAGGTTCAACTCTGGGATTTGAATGCAAACATCACCAAGAAGTTTCTGAGAATGCTTCTGTTTAGTTTTTATGTGAAGATATTCCCGTTTCCAAAGACATCTTCGGAGAGGTCCACATATCCACTTGCAGATTCCACAAAAAGAGAGTTTCAACACTGCTCTATCCATAGGAGGGTTCAACTCTGTGAGTTGAATGCAATCATCACAGAGAAGTTTCTGAGAAGGCTTCTCTCCAGTTTTTCTGTGACCATAATTCGTTTTCCACCACAGGCCTGAAAGCGCTCCAAATGTCCACTTGCAGACACTACGAAAAGCATGTTTCAGAACTACTCTATGAAAAGCAACGTGAAACTCTGGGAGTTGAACACAAACATCACAGAGAAGTTTCTGAGAATGCTTCTGTTTAGCTTTTCTGTGAAGATTCTCCCGTTTCCAACGAAATCTTCAAAGAGGTCGAAATATCCACTTGCAGATTCCACAGAAAGAGTGATTGGAAACTGCTGTTTGAAAAGGAACCTTCAACTCTGTGAGTTGAATGCAATCATCACAAAGAAGTTTCTGACAATGCTTCTATCTAGCTTTTACGGGAAGATAATTCCTTTTCCACCACAGGCCTCAAAGCTCCCCAAATGTCCACTTGCACATTCTGGAAAAAGAGTGTTTCAAAGCTTCTCTCTCGAAAGGAAAGTTCAACTCTGTGAGTTGAATGCAAGCATCACAAAGAAGTTTCTGAGAATGCTACTGTCTAGCTTTTATATGAAGCTATTTCCTTTACTACCATAGGCCTCAAAGCGGTCCATATCTCCACTTGCAGATTCTACACAAAGAGAGTTTCCAAACTGCTCTGTCAAAGGGAATGTTCAACTCTGTGACTTGAATGCAATCATCACAAAGTAGTTTCTGAGAATGCTTCTGTTTTAGTTCTGTGCGTTTTATCCCGTTTCCAACGAAATCCTCAGAGAGGCCCAAATATCCACTTGCAGATTCTACAAATAGTGTGTTTCGAAACTGCTCCATCCAAAGGAATGTTCAGCTCTGTGAGTTAAACTCAGTCGTCACCAAGAGTTTTCTGTGAATGCTTCTGTTTTAGTTCTGTGCGGTTTATCCCGTTTCCAACGAAATCCTCAGAGAGGACCAAATATCCACTTGCAGTTTCTACAAAAAGAGTGTTTCAAAGCTGCACTATCAAAGAAAGTTTCAGCACTGTGAGTTGAATGCAAACATCACGAAGAGGGCTCTGAGAATTCTTCTGTTTAGTTCTGTGCGGTTTATCCCGTTTCCAACGAAATCCTCAGAGAGGACCAAATATCCACTTGCAGTTTCTACAAGAAGAGTGTTTCAAAGCTGAACTATCAAAGAAAGGTTCAGCACTGTGAGTTGAATGCAAACATCACGAAGAGGGTTCTGAGAATGCTTCTGTCTTCTTTCTATAGGAAGTTATTTCCTTTACTACGGTAGGCCTCAAAGAAGTGCAATTATCCCCTTGCAGTTTCTACAAAAAGAGTGTTTCAAACCTGAACTATCAAAGAAAGGTTCCACACTGTGAGTTGAATGCAGACAGCACGAAGAAGGTTCTGAGAATGCTTCTGTTTAGTCAGCTGAAATTATCCCGTTTCCAACGAATTCCTCAGAGAGGTCCAAATATGCACTTGCAGATTCTGCAGAAAGTGTGTTTCTAAACTGCTACATCGCAAGGAATGTTCAGCTCTGTGAGTTCCACTCAATCATCCCAAAGAATTTTCTGAGAAAGCTTCTGTCTAGATGTCGTGTGAAGATATACCCGTTTCGAACGAAGGACACAGAGTGGTCCAAATATCCACTTGTAGATCCTGCAAAAAGAGTGTTTCAAACGTGAACTTTGAAAGGAAAGTTCAACTCTGGGATTTGAATGCAAACATCACAAAGAAGATTCTGAGACTGCTTCTGTATAGTTTTTATGTGAAGATGATTCCGTTTCCAACGAAATCTTCAAAGAGGTCTACATGTCCCCTTGCAGATGCCACAGAAAGAGAGTTTCAAAACTGCGCTCTCAAAAGGAGTGTTCAACTCCGTGAGTTGAATGCAGTCATCACAGAGAAGCTTCTGAGAATGCTTCTGTCTAGTATTTAGGTGAAGATATTTCCTTTTCCACCACAAACCACAAAGCCCTCCAAACGTCCACTTGCAGATTCTAGAAAAAGAGTGTTTCATAGCTGCTCTTTCCAAAGGAAAGTTCAACTCTGGGAGTTGAATACAAACATCACCAAAAAGTTCCTGAGAATGCATCTGTCTAGTTTTTCTATGAAGCTATTCCCTTTACTACCATAGGCCTCAAAGCGCTCCAAATCTCCACTTGCACATTCCACAACAAGAGTGTTTCCAAACTGCTCTATCAATAGGAATGTTCAACTCTGTGAGGTGAATACAATCATCACAAAGCAGTTTCTGAGAATGCTCCGTTTAGTTAGGTTCAGTTATCCCGTTTCCAACGAAATCCTCAGAGAGGTCCAAATATCCACTTGTAGATTCTACAAAAAGTGTGTCTCAAACCTGCTCCATCCAAAGGAATGGTCAGCTCTGTGATTTAAACTCAATCATCACAAAGTATTTTCTGAGAATGCTTTCTGTCTAGATTTTATGCGAAGATATACCCGTTTCGAACGAAGGCCACAGAGTGGTCCAAATAGCCACTTGCAGATCCTACAGAAAGAGTGTTTCAAACCTGAACTATCAAAGGAAGGTTCAACTCTGGGATTTGAATGCAAACATCACCAAGAAGTTTCTGAGAATGCTTCTGTTTAGTTTTT
This sequence comes from Homo sapiens, assembly GCF_000001405.40. NCBI lineage: Eukaryota > Metazoa > Chordata > Mammalia > Primates > Hominidae > Homo > Homo sapiens. Next base: position 23,787,624 of record NC_000017.11, on the reverse strand, counting down.
ATGTGAAGATATTCCCGTTTCCAAAGACATCTTCGGAGAGGTCCACATATCCACTTGCAGATTCCACAAAAAGAGAGTTTCAACACTGCTCTATCCATAGGAGGGTTCAACTCTGTGAGTTGAATGCAATCATCACAGAGAAGTTTCTGAGAAGGCTTCTCTCCAGTTTTTATGTGACCATAATTCGTTTTCCACCACAGGCCTGAAAGCGCTCCAAATGTCCACTTGCAGACACTACGAAAAGCATGTTTCAGAACTACTCTATGAAAAGCAACGTGAAACTCTGGGAGTTGAACACAAACATCACAGAGAAGTTTCTGAGAATGCTTCTGTTTTAGTTCTGTGCGTTTTATCCCGTTTCCAACGAAATCCTCAGAGAGGCCCAAATATCCACTTGCAGATTCCACAGAAAGAGTGATTGGAAACTGCTGTTTGAAAAGGAACCTTCAACTCTGTGAGTTGAATGCAATCATCACAAAGAAGTTTCTGACAATGCTTCTGTTTTAGTTCTGTGCGGTTTATCCCGTTTCCAACGAAATCCTCAGAGAGGACCAAACATCCACTTGCAGTTTCTACAAAAAGAGTGTTTCAAAGCTGCACTATCAAAGAAAGGTTCAGCACTGTGAGTTGAATGCAAACATCACGAAGAGGGCTCTGAGAATTCTTCTGTTTAGTTCTGTGCGGTTTATCCCGTTTCCAACGAAATCCTCAGAGAGGACCAAATATCCACTTGCAGTTTCTACAAGAAGAGTGTTTCAAAGCTGAACTATCAAAGAAAGGTTCAGCACTGTGAGTTGAATGCAAACATCACGAAGAGGGTTCTGAGAATGCTTCTGTCTTCTTTCTATAGGAAGTTATTTCCTTTACTACGGTAGGCCTCAAAGAAGTGCAATTATCCCCTTGCAGTTTCTACAAAAAGAGTGTTTCAAACCTGAACTATCAAAGAAAGGTTCCACACTGTGAGTTGAATGCAGACATCACGAAGAAGGTTCTGAGAATGCTTCTGTTTAGTCAGCTGAAATTATCCCGTTTCCAACGAATTCCTCAGAGAGGTCCAAATATGCACTTGCAGATTCTGCAGAAAGTGTGTTTCTAAACTGCTACATCGCAAGGAATGTTCAGCTCTGTGAGTTCCACTCAATCATCCCAAAGAATTTTCTGAGAAAGCTTCTGTCTAGATGTCGTGTGAAGATATACCCGTTTCGAACGAAGGACACAGAGTGGTCCAAATATCCACTTGTAGATCCTGCAAAAAGAGTGTTTCAAACGTGAACTTTGAAAGGAAAGTTCAACTCTGGGATTTGAATGCAAACATCACAAAGAAGATTCTGAGACTGCTTCTGTATAGTTTTTATGTGAAGATGATTCCGTTTCCAAAGTAAATCTTCAAAGAGGTCTACATGTCCCCTTGCAGATGCCACAGAAAGAGAGTTTCAAAACTGCGCTCTCAAAAGGAGTGTTCAACTCCGTGAGTTGAATGCAGTCATCACAGAGAAGCTTCTGAGGATGCTTCTATCTAGTATTTAGGTGAAGATATTTCCTTTTCCACCACAAACCACAAAGCCCTCCAAACGTCCACTTCCAGATTCTAGAAAAAGAGTGTTTCATAGCTGCTCTTTCCAAAGGAAAGTTCAACTGCTGGGAGTTGAATACAAACATCACCAAAAAGTTCCTGAGAATGCATCTGTCTAGTTTTTCTATGAAGCTATTCCCTTTACTACCATAGGCCTCAAAGCGCTCCAAATCTCCACTTGCACATTCCACAACAAGAGTGTTTCCAAACTGCTCTATCAATAGGAATGTTCAACTCTGGTGAGGTGAATGCAATCATCACAAAGCAGTTTCTGAGAATGCTTCCGTTTAGTTAGGTGCAGTTATCCCGTTTCCAACGAAATCCTCAGAGAGGTCCAAATATCCACTTGTAGATTCTACAAAAAGTGTGTCTCAAACCTGCTCCATCCAAAGGAATGGTCAGCTCTGTGATTTAAACTCAATCATCACAAAGTATTTTCTGAGAATGCTTCTGTCTAGATTTTATGCGAAGATATACCCGTTTCGAACGAAGGCCACAGAGTGGTCCAAATAGCCACTTGCAGATCCTACAGAAAGAGTGTTTCAAACCTGAACTATCAAAGGAAGGTTCAACTCTGGGATTTGAATGCAAACATCACCAAGAAGTTTCTGAGAATGCTTCTGTTTAGTTTTTATGTGAAGATATTCCCGTTTCCAAAGACATCTTCGGAGAGGTCCACATATCCACTTGCAGATTCCACAAAAAGAGAGTTTCAACACTGCTCTATCCATAGGAGGGTTCAACTCTGTGAGTTGAATGCAATCATCACAGAGAAGTTTCTGAGAAGGCTTCTCTCCAGTTTTTATGTGACCATAATTCGTTTTCCACCACAGGCCTGAAAGCGCTCCAAATGTCCACTTGCAGACACTACGAAAAGCATGTTTCAGAACTACTCTATGAAAAGCAACGTGAAACTCTGGGAGTTGAACACAAACATCACAGAGAAGTTTCTGAGAATGCTTCTGTTGAGCTTTTCTGTGAAGATTCTCCCGTTTCCAACGAAATCTTCAAAGAGGTCGAAATATCCACTTGCAGATTCCACAGAAAGAGTGATTGGAAACTGCTGTTTGAAAAGGAACCTTCAACTCTGTGAGTTGAATGCAATCATCACAAAGAAGTTTCTGACAATGCTTCTATCTAGCTTTTACGGGAAGATAATTCCTTTTCCACCACAGGCCTCAAAGCTCCCAAAATGTCCACTTGCACATTCTGGAAAAAGAGTGTTTCAAAGCTTCTCTCTCGAAAGGAAAGTTCAACTCTGTGAGTTGAATGCAAGCATCACAAAGAAGTTTCTGAGAATGCTACTGTCTAGCTTTTATATGAAGCTATTTCCTTTACTACCATAGGCCTCAAAGCGGTCCATATCTCCACTTGCAGATTCTACACAAAGAGAGTTTCCAAACTGCTCTGTCAAAGGGAATGTTCAACTCTGTGACTTGAATGCAATCATCACAAAGTAGTTTCTGAGAATGCTTCTGTTTAGTTCTGTGCGGTTTATCCGGTTTCCAACAAAATCCTCAGAGAGGCCCAAATATCCACTTGCACATTCTACAAATAGTGTGTTTCGAAACTGCTCCATCCAAAGGAATGTTCAGCTCTGTGAGTTAAACTCAGTCGTCACCAAGAGTTTTCTATGAATGCTTCTGTTTTAGTTCTGTGCGGTTTATCCCGTTACCAACGAAATCCTCAGAGAGGTCCAAATATCTACTTGCAGTTTCTACAGAAAGACCGTTTCCAACCTGAACTATCAAAGAAAGGTTCAACCCTGTGAGTTGAATGCAAACATCACGAAGAAGGTTCTGAGAATGCTTCTGTTTATTTCCGTGCGGTTTATCCCGTTTACAACGAAATCCTCAGAGAGGACAAAATATCCACTTGCAGTTTCTACAAGAAGAGTGTTTCAAAGCTGAACTATCAAAGAAAGGTTCAGCACTGTGAGTTGAATGCAAACATCACGAAGAGGGTTCTGAGAATGCTTCTGTCTTCTTTCTATAGGAAGTTATTTCCTTTACTACGGTAGGCCTCAAAGAAGTGCAATTATCCCCTTGCAGTTTCTACAAAAAGAGTGTTTCAAACCTGAACTATCAAAGAAAGGTTCCACACTGTGAGTTGAATGCAGACATCACGAAGAAGGTTCTGAGAATGCTTCTGTTTAGTCAGCTGAAATTATCCCGTTTCCAACGAATTCCTCAGAGAGGTCCAAATATGCACTTGCAGATTCTGCAGAAAGTGTGTTTCTAAACTGCTACATCGCAAGGAATGTTCAGCTCTGTGAGTTCCACTCAATCATCCCAAAGAATTTTCTGAGAAAGCTTCTGTCTAGATGTCGTGTGAAGATATACCCGTTTCGAACGAAGGACACAGAGTGGTCCAAATATCCACTTGTAGATCCTGCAAAAAGAGTGTTTCAAACGTGAACTTTGAAAGGAAAGTTCAACTCTGGGATTTGAATGCAAACATCACAAAGAAGATTCTGAGACTGCTTCTGTATAGTTTTTATGTGAAGATGATTCCGTTTCCAACGAAATCTTCAAAGAGGTCTACATGTCCCCTTGCAGATGCCACAGAAAGAGAGTTTCAAAACTGCGCTCTCAAAAGGAGTGTTCAACTCCGTGAGTTGAATGCAGTCATCACAGAGAAGCTTCTGAGAATGCTTCTGTCTAGTATTTAGGTGAAGATATTTCCTTTTCCACCACAAACCACAAAGCCCTCCAAACGTCCACTTGCAGATTCTAGAAAAAGAGTGTTTCATAGCTGCTCTTTCCAAAGGAAAGTTCAACTCTGGGAGTTGAATACAAACATCACCAAAAAGTTCCTGAGAATGCATCTGTCTAGTTTTTCTATGAAGCTATTCCCTTTACTTCCACAGGCCTCAAAGCGCTCCAAATCTCCACTTGCACACTCCACAACAAGAGTGTTTCCAAACTGCTCTATCAATAGGAATGTTCAACTCTGTGAGGTGAATGCAATCATCACAAAGCAGTTTCTGAGAATGCTTCCGTTTAGTTAGGTGCAGTTATCCCGTTTCCAACGAAATCCTCAGAGAGGTCCAAATATCCACTTGTAGATTCTACAAAAAGTGTGTCTCAAACCTGCTCCATCCAAAGGAATGGTCAGCTCTGTGATTTAAACTCAATCATCACAAAGTATTTTCTGAGAATGCTTCTGTCTAGATTTTATGCGAAGATATACCCGTTTCGAACGAAGGCCACAGAGTGGTCCAAATAGCCACTTGCAGATCCTACAGAAAGAGTGTTTCAAACCTGAACTATCAAAGGAAGGTTCAACTCTGGGATTTGAATGCAAACATCACCAAGAAGTTTCTGAGAATGCTTCTGTTTAGTTTTTATGTGAAGATATTCCCGTTTCCAAAGACATCTTCGGAGAGGTCCACATATCCACTTGCAGGTTCCACAAAAAGAGAGTTTCAACACTGCTCTATCCATAGGAGGGTTCAACTCTGTGAGTTGAATGCAATCATCACAGAGAAGTTTCTGAGAAGGCTTCTCTCCAGTTTTTATGTGACCATAATTCGTTTTCCACCACAGGCCTGAAAGCGCTCCAAATGTCCACTTGCAGACACTACGAAAAGCATGTTTCAGAACTACTCTATGAAAAGCAACGTGAAACTCTGGGAGTTGAACACAAACATCACAGAGAAGTTTCTGAGAATGCTTCTGTTTTAGTTCTGTGCGTTTTATCCCGTTTCCAACGAAATCCTCAGAGAGGCCCAAATATCCACTTGCAGATTCCACAGAAAGAGTGATTGGAAACTGCTGTTTGAAAAGGAACCTTCAACTCTGTGAGTTGAATGCAATCATCACAAAGAAGTTTCTGACAATGCTTCTGTTTTAGTTCTGTGCGGTTTATCCCGTTTCCAACGAAATCCTCAGAGAGGACCAAACATCCACTTGCAGTTTCTACAAAAAGAGTGTTTCAAAGCTGCACTATCAAAGAAAGGTTCAGCACTGTGAGTTGAATGCAAACATCACGAAGAGGGCTCTGAGAATTCTTCTGTTTAGTTCTGTGCGGTTTATCCCGTTTCCAACGAAATCCTCAGAGAGGACCAAATATCCACTTGCAGTTTCTACAAGAAGAGTGTTTCAAAGCTGAACTATCAAAGAAAGGTTCAGCACTGTGAGTTGAATGCAAACATCACGAAGAGGGTTCTGAGAATGCTTCTGTCTTCTTTCTATAGGAAGTTATTTCCTTTACTACGGTAGGCCTCAAAGAAGTGCAATTATCCCCTTGCAGTTTCTACAAAAAGAGTGTTTCAAACGTGAACTATCAAAGAAAGGTTCCACACTGTGAGTTGAATGCAGACATCACGAAGAAGGTTCTGAGAATGCTTCTGTTTAGTCAGCTGAAATTATCCCGTTTCCAACGAATTCCTCAGAGAGGTCCAAATATGCACTTGCAGATTCTGCAGAAAGTGTGTTTCTAAACTGCTACATCGCAAGGAATGTTCAGCTCTGTGAGTTCCACTCAATCATCCCAAAGAATTTTCTGAGAAAGCTTCTGTCTAGATGTCGTGTGAAGATATACCCGTTTCGAACGAAGGACACAGAGTGGTCCAAATATCCACTTGTAGATCCTGCAAAAAGAGTGTTTCAAACGTGAACTTTGAAAGGAAAGTTCAACTCTGGGATTTGAATGCAAACATCACAAAGAAGATTCTGAGACTGCTTCTGTATAGTTTTTATGTGAAGATGATTCCGTTTCCAACGAAATCTTCAAAGAGGTCTACATGTCCCCTTGCAGATGCCACAGAAAGAGAGTTTCAAAACTGCGCTCTCAAAAGGAGTGTTCAACTCCGTGAGTTGAATGCAGTCATCACAGAGAAGCTTCTGAGAATGCTTCTATCTAGTATTTAGGTGAAGATATTTCCTTTTCCACCACAAACCACAAAGCCCTCCAAACGTCCACTTGCAGATTCTAGAAAAAGAGTGTTTCATAGCTGCTCTTTCCAAAGGAAAGTTCAACTCTGGGAGTTGAATACAAACATCACCAAAAAGTTCCTGAGAATGCATCTGTCTAGTTTTTCTATGAAGCTATTCCCTTTACTACCATAGGCCTCAAAGCGCTCCAAATCTCCACTTGCACATTCCACAACAAGAGTGTTTCCAAACTGCTCTATCAATAGGAATGTTCAACTCTGTGAGGTGAATGCAATCATCACAAAGCAGTTTCTGAGAATGCTTCCGTTTAGTTAGGTGCAGTTATCCCGTTTCCAACGAAATCCTCAGAGAGGTCCAAATATCCACTTGTAGATTCTACAAAAAGTGTGTCTCAAACCTGCTCCATCCAAAGGAATGTTCAGCTCTGTGAGTTCAACTCAATCATCACAAAGTATTTTCTGAGAATGCTTCTGTCTAGATTTTATGCGAAGATATACCCGTTTCGAACGAAGGCCACAGAGTGGTCCAAATATCCACTTGCAGATCCTACAAAAAGAGTGTTTCAAACCTGAACTATCAAAGGAAGGTTCAACTCTGGGATTTGAATGCAAACATCACCAAGAAGTTTCTGAGAATGCTTCTGTTTAGTTTTTATGTGAAGATATTCCCGTTTCCAAAGACATCTTCGGAGAGGTCCACATATCCACTTGCAGATTCCACAAAAAGAGAGTTTCAACACTGCTCTATCCATAGGAGGGTTCAACTCTGTGAGTTGAATGCAATCATCACAGAGAAGTTTCTGAGAAGGCTTCTCTCCAGTTTTTATGTGACCATAATTCGTTTTCCACCACAGGCCTGAAAGCGCTCCAAATGTCCACTTGTAGACACTACGAAAAGCATGTTTCAGAACTACTCTATGAAAAGCAATGTGAAACTCTGGGAGTTGAACACAAACATCACAGAGAAGTTTCTGAGAATGCTTCTGTTTAGCTTTCCTGTGAAGATTCTCCCGTTTCCAACGAAATCTTCAAAATAGGTCCAAATATCCACTTGCAGATTCCACAGAAAGAGTGATTGGAAACTGCTCTTTGAAAAGGAACCTTCAACTCTGTGAGTTGAATGCAATCATCACAAAGAAGTTTCTGACAATGCTTCTATCTAGCTTTTACGGGAAGATAATTCCTTTTCCACCACAGGCCTCAAAGCCCTCCAAATGTCCACTTGCAGATTCTGGAAAAAGAGTGTTTCGAAGCTTCTCTCTCGAAAGGAAAGTTCAACTCTGTGAGTTGAATGCAAGCATCACAAAGAAGTTTCTGAGAATGCTACTGTCTAGCTTTTATATGAAGCTATTTCCTTTACTACCATAGGCCTCAAAGCGGTCCATATCTCCACTTGCAGATTCTACACAAAGAGAGTTTCCAAACTGCTCTGTCAAAGGGAATGTTCAACTCTGTGACTTGAATGCAATCATCACAAAGTAGTTTCTGAGAATGCTTCTGTTTAGTTCTGTGCGGTTTATCCCGTTTCCAACGAAATCCTCAGAGAGGCCCAAATATCCACTTGCACATTCTACAAATAGTGTGTTTCGAAACTGATCCATCCAAAGGAATGTTCAGCTCTGTGAGTTAAACTCAGTCGTCACCAAGAGTTTTCTGTGAATGCTTCTGTTTTAGTTCTGTGCGGTTTATCCCGTTTCCAACGAAATCCTCAGAGAGGTCCAAATATCTACTTGCAGTTTCTACAGAAAGACCGTTTCAAACCTGAACTATCAAAGAAAGGTTCAACAGTGTGAGTTGAATGCAAACATCACGAAGAAGGTTCTGAGAATGCTTCTGTTTAGTTCTGTGCGGTTTATCCCGTTTCCAACGAAATCCTCAGAGAGGACCAAACATCCACTTGCAGTTTCTACAAAAAGAGTGTTTCAAAGCTGCACTATCAAAGAAAGGTTCAGCACTGTGAGTTGAATGCAAACATCACGAAGAGGGCTCTGAGAATTCTTCTGTCTTCTTTCTATAGGAAGTTATTTCCTTTACTACGGTAGGCCTCAAAGAAGTGCAATTATCCCCTTGCAGTTTCTACAAAAAGAGTGTTTCAAACCTGAACTATCAAAGAAAGGTTCCACACTGTGAGTTGAATGCACACATCACGAAGAAGGTTCTGAGAATGCTTCTGTTTAGTCAGCTGAAATTATCCCGTTTCCAACGAATTCCTCAGAGAGGTCCAAATATGCACTTGCAGATTCTGCAGAAAGTGTGTTTCTAAACTGCTACATCGCAAGGAATGTTCAGCTCTGTGAGTTCCACTCAATCATCCCAAAGAATTTTCTGAGAAAGCTTCTGTCTAGATGTCATGTGAAGATATTCCCGTTTCGAACGAAGGACACAGAGTGGTCCAAATATCCACTTGTAGATCCTGCAAAAAGAGTGTTTCAAACGTGAACTTTGAAAGGAAAGTTCAACTCTGGGATTTGAATGCAAACATCACAAAGAAGATTCTGAGACTGCTTCTGTATAGTTTTTATGTGAAGATGATTCCGTTTCCAACGAAATCTTCAAAGAGGTCTACATGTCCCCTTGCAGATGCCACAGAAAGAGAGTTTCAAAACTGCGCTCTCAAAAGGAGTGTTCAACTCCGTGAGTTGAATGCAGTCATCACAGAGAAGCTTCTGAGAATGCTTCTATCTAGTATTTAGGTGAAGATATTTCCTTTTCCACCACAAACCACAAAGCCCTCCAAACGTCCACTTGCAGATTCTAGAAAAAGAGTGTTTCATAGCTGCTCTTTCCAAAGGAAAGTTCAACTCTGGGAGTTGAATACAAACATCACCAAAAAGTTCCTGAGAATGCATCTGTCTAGTTTTTCTATGAAGCTATTCCCTTTACTACCATAGGCCTCAAAGCGCTCCAAATCTCCACTTGCACATTCCACAACAAGAGTGTTTCCAAACTGCTCTATCAATAGGAATGTTCAACTCTGTGAGGTGAATGCAATCATCACAAAGCAGTTTCTGAGAATGCTTCCGTTTAGTTAGGTGCAGTTATCCCGTTTCCAACGAAATCCTCAGAGAGGTCCAAATATCCACTTGTAGATTCTACAAAAAGTGTGTCTCAAACCTGCTCCATCCAAAGGAATGGTCAGCTCTGTGATTTAAACTCAATCATCACAAAGTATTTTCTGAGAATGCTTCTGTCTAGATTTTATGCGAAGATATACCCGTTTCGAACGAAGGCCACAGAGTGGTCCAAATAGCCACTTGCAGATCCTACAGAAAGAGTGTTTCAAACCTGAACTATCAAAGGAAGGTTCAACTCTGGGATTTGAATGCAAACATCACCAAGAAGTTTCTGAGAATGCTTCCGTTTAGTTTTTATGTGAAGATATTCCCGTTTCCAAAGACATCTTCAAAGAGGTCCACATATCCACTTGCAGATTCCACAAAAAGAGAGTTTCAACACTGCTCTATCCATAGGAGGGTTCAACTCTGTGAGTTGAATGCAATCATCACAGAGAAGTTTCTGAGAAGGCTTCTCTCCAGTTTTTATGTGACCATAATTCGTTTTCCACCACAGGCCTGGAAGCGCTCCAAATGTCCACTTGTAGACACTACGAAAAGCATGTTTCAGAACTACTCTATGAAAAGCAATGTGAAACTCTGGGAGTTGAACACAAACATCACAGAGAAGTTTCTGAGAATGCTTCTGTTTAGCTTTTCTGTGAAGATTATCCCGTTTCCAACGAAATCTTCAAAATAGGTCGAAATATCCACTTGCAGATTCCACAGAAAGAGTGATTGGAAACTGCTCTTTGAAAAGGAACCTTCAACTCTGTGAGTTGAATGCAATCATCACAAAGAAGTTTCTGACAATGCTTCTATCTAGCTTTTACGGGAAGATAATTCCTTTTCCACCACAGGCCTCAAAGCCCTCCAAATGTCCACTTGCACATTCTGGAAAAAGAGTGTTTCAAAGCTTCTCTCTCGAAAGGAAAGTTCAACTCTGTGAGTTGAATGCAAGCATCACAAAGAAGTTTCTGAGAATGCTACTGTCTAGCTTTTATATGAAGCTATTTCCTTTACTAAAATAGGCCTCAAAGCGGTCCATATCTCCACTTGCAGATTCTACACAAAGAGAGTTTCCAAACTGCTCTGTCAAAGGGAATGTTCAACTCTGTGACTTGAATGCAATCATCACAAAGTAGTTTCTGAGAATGCTTCTGTTTAGTTCTGTGCGGTTTATCCCGTTTCCAGCGAAATCCTCAGAGAGGCCCAAATATCCACTTGCACATTCTACAAATAGTGTGTTTCGAAACTGCTCCATCCAAAGGAATGTTCAGCTCTGTGAGTTAAACTCAGTCGTCACCAAGAGTTTTCTGTGAATGCTTCTGTTTTAGTTCTGTGCGGTTTATCCCGTTTCCAACGAAATCCTCAGAGAGGTCCAAATATCTACTTGCAGTTTCTACAGAAAGACCGTTTCCAACCTGAACTATCAAAGAAAGGTTCAACACTGTGAGTTGAATGCAAACATCACGAAGAAGGTTCAGAGAATGCTTCTGTTTAGTTCTGTGCGGTTTATCCCGTTTCCAACGAAATCCTCAGAGAGGACCAAATATCCACTTGCAGTTTCTACAAGAAGAGTGTTTCAAAGCTGAACTATCAAAGAAAGGTTCAGCACTGTGAGTTGAATGCAAACATCACGAAGAGGGTTCTGAGAATGCTTCTGTCTTCTTTCTATAGGAAGTTATTTCCTTTACTACGGTAGGCCTCAAAGAAGTGCAATTATCCCCTTGCAGTTTCTACAAAAAGAGTGTTTCAAACCTGAACTATCAAAGAAAGGTTCCACACTGTGAGTTGAATGCAGACATCACGAAGAAGGTTCTGAGAATGCTTCTGTTTAGTCAGCTGAAATTATCCCGTTTCCAACGAATTCCTCAGAGAGGTCCAAATATGCACTTGCAGATTCTGCAGAAAGTGTGTTTCTAAACTGCTACATCGCAAGGAATGTACAGCTCTGTGAGTTCCACTCAATCATCCCAAAGAATTTTCTGAGAAAGCTTCTGTCTAGATGTCATGTGAAGATATACCCGTTTCGAACGAAGGACACAGAGTGGTCCAAATATCCACTTGTAGATCCTGCAAAAAGAGTGTTTCAAACGTGAACTTTGAAAGGAAAGTTCAACTCTGGGATTTGAATGCAAACATCACAAAGAAGATTCTGAGACTGCTTCTGTATAGTTTCTATGTGAAGATGATTCCGTTTCCAACGAAATCTTCAAAGAGGTCTACATGTCCCCTTGCAGATGCCACAGAAAGAGAGTTTCAAAACTGCGCTCTCAAAAGGAGTGTTCAACTCCGTGAGTTGAATGCAGTCATCACAGAGAAGCTTCTGAGAATGCTTCTCTCTAGTATTTAGGTGAAGATATTTCCTTTTCCACCACAAACCACAAAGCCCTCCAAACGTCCACTTGCAGATTCTAGAAAAAGAGTGTTTCATAGCTGCTCTTTCCAAAGGAAAGTTCAACTCTGGGAGTTGAATACAAACATCACCAAAAAGTTCCTGAGAATGCATCTGTCTAGTTTTTCTATGAAGCTATTCCCTTTACTACCATAGGCCTCAAAGCGCTCCAAATCTCCACTTGCACATTCCACAACAAGAGTGTTTCCAAACTGCTCTATCAATAGGAATGTTCAACTCTGTGAGGTGAATGCAATCATCACAAAGCAGTTTCTGAGAATGCTTCCGTTTAGTTAGGTGCAGTTATCGCGTTTCCAACGAAATCCTCAGAGAGGTCCAAATATCCACTTGTAGATTCTACAAAAAGTGTGTCTCAAACCTGCTCCATCCAAAGGAATGTTCAGCTCTGTGAGTTAAACTCAATCATCACAAAGTATTTTCTGAGAATGCTTCTGTCTAGATTTTATGTGAAGATGTACCCGTTTCGAACGAAGGCCACAGAGTGGTCCAAATATCCACTTGCAGATCCTACAAAAAGAGTGTTTCAAACCTGAACTATCACAGGAAGGTTCAACTCTGGGATTTGAATGCAAACATCACCAAGAAGTTTCTGAGAATGCTTCTGTTTAGTTTTTATGTGAAGATATTCCCGTTTCCAAAGACATCTTCGGAGAGGTCCACATATCCACTTGCAGATTCCACAAAAAGAGAGTTTCAACAATGCTCTATCCATAGGAGGGTTCAAATCTGTGAGTTGAATGCAATCATCACAGAGAAGTTTCTGAGAAGGCTTCTCTCCAGTTTTTATGGGACCATAATTCGTTTTCCACCACAGGCCTGAAAGCGCTCCAAATGTCCACTTGCAGACACTACGAAAAGCATGTTTCAGAACTACTCTATGAAAAGCAATGTGAAACTCTGGGAGTTGAACACAAACATCACAGAGAAGTTTCTGAGAATGCTTCTGTTTCGCTTTTCTGTGAAGATTCTCCCGTTTCCAACGAAATCTTCAAAGAGGTCCAAATATCCACTTGCAGATTCCACAGAAAGAGTGTTTGGAAACTGCTGTTTGTAAAGGAACCTTCATCTCTGTGAGTTGAATGCAATCATCACAAAGAAGTTTCTGACAATGCTTCTATCTAGCTTTTACGGGAAGTTAATTCCTTTTCCACCACAGGCCTCAAAGCCCTCCAAATGTCCACTTGCAGATTCTGGAAAAAGAGTGTTTCAAAGCTTCTCTCTCGAAAGGAAAGTTCAACTCTGTGAGTTGAATGCAAGCATCAAAAAGAAGTTTCTGAGAATGCTACTGTCTAGCTTTCATATGAAGCTATTACCTTTACTACCATAGGCCTCAAAGCGGTCCATATCTCCACTTGCAGATTCTACACAAAGAGAGTTTCCAAACTGCTCTGTCAAAGGGAATGTTCAACTCTGTGACTTGAATGCAATCGTCACAAAGTAGTTTCTGAGAATGCTTCTGTTTAGTTCTGTGCGGTTTATCCCGTTTCCAACGAAATCCTCAGAGAGGCCCAAATATCCACTTGCACATTCTACAAATAGTGTGTTTCGAAACTGCTCCATCCAAAGGAATGTTCAGCTCTGTGAGTTAAACTCAGTCGTCACCAAGAGTTTTCTGTGAATGCTTCTGTTTTAGTTCTGTGCGGTTTATCCCGTTTCCAACGAAATCCTCAGAGAGGTCCAAATATCTACTTGCAGTTTCTACAGAAAGACCGTTTCAAACCTGAACTATCAAAGAAAGGTTCAACACTGTGAGTTGAATGCAAACATCACGAAGAAGGTTCTGAGAATGCTTCTGTTTAGTTCTGTGCGGTTTATCCCGTTTCCAACGAAATCCTCAGAGAGGACCAAATATCCACTTGCAGTTTCTACAAGAAGAGTGTTTCAAAGCTGAACTATCAAAGAAAGGTTCAGCACTGTGAGTTGAATGCAAACATCACGAAGAGGGTTCTGAGAATGCTTCTGTCTTCTTTCTATTGGAAGTTATTTCCTTTACTACGGTAGGCCTCAAAGAAGTGCAATTATCCCCTTGCAGTTTCTACAAAAAGAGTGTTTCAAACCTGAACTATCAAAGAAAGGATCCACACTGTGAGTTGAATGCAGACATCACGAAGAAGGTTCTGAGAATGCTTCTGTTTAGTCAGCTGAAATTATCCCGTTTCCAACGAATTCCTCAGAGAGGTCCAAATATGCACTTGCAGATTCTGCAGAAAGTGTGTTTCTAAACTGCTACATCGCAAGGAATGTTCAGCTCTGTGAGTTCCACTCAATCATCCCAAAGAATTTTCTGAGAAAGCTTCTGTCTAGATGTCGTGTGAAGATATACCCGTTTCGAACGAAGGACACAGAGTGGTCCAAATATCCACTTGTAGATCCTGCAAAAAGAGTGTTTCAAACGTGAACTTTGAAAGGAAAGTTCAACTCTGGGATTTGAATGCAAACATCACAAAGAAGATTCTGAGACTGCTTCTGTATAGTTTTTATGTGAAGATGATTCCGTTTCCAACGAAATCTTCAAAGAGGTCTACATGTCCCCTTGCAGATGCCACAGAAAGAGAGTTTCAAAACTGCGCTCTCAAAAGGAGTGTTCAACTCCGTGAGTTGAATGCAGTCATCACAGAGAACCTTCTGAGAATGCTTCTATCTAGTATTTAGGTGAAGATATTTCCTTTTCCACCACAAACCACAAAGCCCTCCAAACGTCCACTTGCAGATTCTAGAAAAAGAGTGTTTCATAGCTGCTCTTTCCAAAGGAAAGTTCAACTCTGGGAGTTGAATACAAACATCACCAAAAGGTTCCTGAGAATGCATCTGTCTAGTTTTTCTATGAAGCTATTCCCTTTACTACCATAGGCCTCAAAGCGCTCCAAATCTCCACTTGCACATTCCACAACAAGAGTGTTTCCAAACTGCTCTATCAATAGGAATGTTCAACTCTGTGAGGTGAATGCAATCATCACAAAGCAGTTTCTGAGAATGCTTCCGTTTAGTTAGGTGCAGTTATCCCGTTTCCAACGAAATCCTCAGAGAGGTCCAAATATCCACTTGTAGATTCTACAAAAAGTGTGTCTCAAACCTGCTCCATCCAAAGGAATGGTCAGCTCTGTGATTTAAACTCAATCATCACAAAGTATTTTCTGAGAATGCTTCTGTCTAGATTTTATGCGAAGATATACCCGTTTCGAACGAAGGCCACAGAGTGGTCCAAATAGCCACTTGCAGATCCTACAGAAAGAGTGTTTCAAACCTGAACTATCAAAGGAAGGTTCAACTCTGGGATTTGAATGCAAACATCACCAAGAAGTTTCTGAGAATGCTTCTGTTTAGTTTTTATGTGAAGATATTCCCGTTTCCAAAGACATCTTCGGAGAGGTCCACATATCCACTTGCAGATTCCACAAAAAGAGAGTTTCAACACTGCTCTATCCATAGGAGGGTTCAACTCTGTGAGTTGAATGCAATCATCACAGAGAAGTTTCTGAGAAGGCTTCTCTCCAGTTTTTATGTGACCATAATTCGTTTTCCACCACAGGCCTGAAAGCGCTCCAAATGTCCACTTGCAGACACTACGAAAAGCATGTTTCAGAACTACTCTATGAAAAGCAACGTGAAACTCTGGGAGTTGAACACAAACATCACAGAGAAGTTTCTGAGAATGCTTCTGTTTTAGTTCTGTGCGTTTTATCCCGTTTCCAACGAAATCCTCAGAGAGGCCCAAATATCCACTTGCAGATTCCACAGAAAGAGTGATTGGAAACTGCTGTTTGAAAAGGAACCTTCAACTCTGTGAGTTGAATGCAATCATCACAAAGAAGTTTCTGACAATGCTTCTGTTTTAGTTCTGTGCGGTTTATCCCGTTTCCAACGAAATCCTCAGAGAGGACCAAACATCCACTTGCAGTTTCTACAAAAAGAGTGTTTCAAAGCTGCACTATCAAAGAAAGGTTCAGCACTGTGAGGTTGAATGCAAACATCACGAAGAGGGCTCTGAGAATTCTTCTGTTTAGTTCTGTGCGGTTTATCCCGTTTCCAACGAAATCCTCAGAGAGGACCAAATATCCACTTGCAGTTTCTACAAGAAGAGTGTTTCAAAGCTGAACTATCAAAGAAAGGTTCAGCACTGTGAGTTGAATGCAAACATCACGAAGAGGGTTCTGAGAATGCTTCTGTCTTCTTTCTATAGGAAGTTATTTCCTTTACTACGGTAGGCCTCAAAGAAGTGCAATTATCCCCTTGCAGTTTCTACAAAAAGAGTGTTTCAAACCTGAACTATCAAAGAAAGGTTCCACACTGTGAGTTGAATGCAGACATCACGAAGAAGGTTCTGAGAATGCTTCTGTTTAGTCAGCTGAAATTATCCCGTTTCCAACGAATTCCTCAGAGAGGTCCAAATATGCACTTGCAGATTCTGCAGAAAGTGTGTTTCTAAACTGCTACATCGCAAGGAATGTTCAGCTCTGTGAGTTCCACTCAATCATCCCAAAGAATTTTCTGAGAAAGCTTCTGTCTAGATGTCGTGTGAAGTTATACCCGTTTCGAACGAAGGACACAGAGTGGTCCAAATATCCACTTGTAGATCCTGCAAAAAGAGTGTTTCAAACGTGAACTTTGAAAGGAAAGTTCAACTCTGGGATTTGAATGCAAACATCACAAAGAAGATTCTGAGACTGCTTCTGTATAGTTTTTATGTGAAGATGATTCCGTTTCCAACGAAATCTTCAAAGAGGTCTACATGTCCCCTTGCAGATGCCACAGAAAGAGAGTTTCAAAACTGCGCTCTCAAAAGGAGTGTTCAACTCCGTGAGTTGAATGCAGTCATCACAGAGGAGCTTCTGAGAATGCTTCTATCTAGTATTTAGGTGAAGATATTTCCTTTTCCACCACAAACCACAAAGCCCTCCAAACGTCCACTTGCAGATTCTAGAAAAAGAGTGTTTCATAGCTGCTCTTTCCAAAGGAAAGTTCAACTCTGGGAGTTGAATACAAACATCACCAAAAAGTTCCTGAGAATGCATCTGTCTAGTTTTTCTATGAAGCTATTCCCTTTACTACCACAGGCCTCAAAGCGCTCCAAATCTCCACTTGCACATTCCACAACAAGAGTGTTTCCAAACTGCTCTATCAATAGGAATGTTCAACTCTGTGAGGTGAATGCAATCATCACAAAGCAGTTTCTGAGAATGCCTCCGTTTAGTTAGGTGCAGTTATCCCGTTTCCAACGAAATCCTCAGAGAGGTCCAAATATCCACTTGTAGATTCTACAAAAAGTGTGTCTCAAACCTGCTCCATCCAAAGGAATGGTCAGCTCTGTGATTTAAACTCAATCATCACAAAGTATTTTCTGAGAATGCTTCTGTCTAGATTTTATGTGAAGATGTACCCGTTTGGAACGAAGGCCACAGAGTGGTCCAAATATCCACTTGCAGATCCTACAAAAAGAGTGTTTCAAACCTGAACTATCACAGGAAGGTTCAACTCTGTGATTTGAATGCAAACATCACCAAGAAGTTTCTGAGAATGCTTCTGTTTAGTTTTTAGGTGAAGATATTCCCGTTTCCAAAGACATCTTCGGAGAGGTCCACATATCCACTTGCAGATTCCACAAAAAGAGAGTTTCAACACTGTTCTATCCATAGGAGGGTTCAAATCTGTGAGTTGAATGCAATCATCACAGAGAAGGTTCTGAGAAGTCTTCTCTCCAGTTTTTATGGGACCATAATTCGTTTTCCACCACAGGCCTGAAAGCGCTCCAAATGTCCACTTGCAGACACTACGAAAAGCATGTTTCAGAACTACTCTATGAAAAGCAATGTGAAACTCTGGGAGTTGAACACAAACATCACAGAGAAGTTTCTGAGAATGCTTCTGTTTAGCTTTTCTGTGAAGATTCTCCCGTTTCCAACGAAATCTTCAAAGAGGTCCAAATATCCACTTGCAGATTCCACAGAAAGACTGTTTGGAAACTGCTGTTTGAAAAGGAACCTTCATCTCTGTGAGTTGAATGCAATCATCACAAAGAAGTTTCTGACAATGCTTCTATCTAGCTTTTACGGGAAGTTAATTCCTTTTCCACCACAGGCCTCAAAGCCCTCCAAATGTCCACTTGCAGATTCTGGAAAAAGAGTGTTTCAAAGCTTCTCTCTCGAAAGGAAAGTTCAACTCTCTGAGTTGAATGCAAGCATCACAAAGAAGTTTCTGAGAATGTTACTGTCTAGCTTTTATATGAAGCTATTTCCTTTACTACCATAGGCCTCAAAGCGGTCCATATCTCCACTTGCAGATTCTACACAAAGAGAGTTTCCAAACTGCTCTGTCAAAGGGAATGTTCAACTCTGTGACTTGAATGCAATCATCACAAAGTAGTTTCTGAGAATGCTTCTGTTTTAGTTCTGTGCGTTTTATCCCGTTTCCAACGAAATCCTCAGAGAGGCCCAAATATCCACTTGCAGATTCTACAAATAGTGTGTTTCAAAACTGCTCCATCCAAAGGAATGTTCAGCTCTGTGAGTTAAACTCAGTCGTCACCAAGAGTTTTCTGTGAATGCTTCTGTTTTAGTTCTGTGCGGTTTATCCCGTTTCCAACGAAATCCTCAGAGAGGACCAAATATCCACTTGCAGTTTCTACAAAAAGAGTGTTTCAAAGCTGCACTATCAAAGAAAGGTTCAGCACTGTGAGTTGAATGCAAACATCACGAAGAGGGCTCTGAGAATTCTTCTGTTTAGTTCTGTGCGGTTTATCCCGTTTCCAACGAAATCCTCAGAGAGGACCAAATATCCACTTGCAGTTTCTACAAGAAGAGTGTTTCAAAGCTGAACTATCAAAGAAAGGTTCAGCACTGTGAGTTGAATGCAAACATCACGAAGAGGGTTCTGAGAATGCTTCTGTCTTCTTTTTATACGAAGTTATTTCCTTTACTACGGTAGGCCTCAAAGAAGTGCAATTATCCCCTTGCAGTTTCTACAAAAAGAGTGTTTCAAACCTGAACTACCAAAGAAAGATTCCACACTGTGAGTTGAATGCAGACATCACGAAGAAGGTTCTGAGAATGCTTCTGTTTAGTCAGCTGAAATTATCCCGTTTCCAAGGAATTCCTCAGAGAGGTCCAAATATGCACTTGCAGATTCTGCAGAAAGTGTGTTTCTAAACTGCTACATCGCAAGGAATGTTCAGCTCTGTGAGTTCAACTCAATCATCGCAAAGAATTTTCTGAGAAAGCTTCTGTCTAGATGTCATGTGAAGATATACCCGTTTCGAACGAAGGACACAGAGTGGTCCAAATATCCACTTGTAGATCCTGCAAAAAGAGTGTTTCAAACGTGAACTTTGAAAGGAAAGTTCAACTCTGGGATTTGAATGCAAACATCACAAAGAAGATTCTGAGACTGCTTCTGTATAGTTTTTATGTGAAGATGATTCCGTTTCCAACGAAATCTTCAGAGAGGTCTACATGTCCCCTTGCAGATCCCACAGAAAGAGAGTTTCAAAACTGCACTCTCAAAAGGAGTGTTCAACTCCGTGAGTTGAATGCAGTCATCACAGAGAAGCTTCTGAGAATGCTTCTATCTAATATTTAGGTGAAGATATTTCCTTTTCCACCACAAACCACAAAGCCCTCCAAACGTCCACTTGCAGATTCTAGAAAAAGAGTTTCATAGCTGCTCTTTCCAAAGGAAAGTTCAACTCTGGGAGTTGAATACAAACATCACCAAAAAGTTCCTGAGAATGCATCTGTCTAGTTTTTCTATGAAGCTATTCCCTTTACTACCATAGGCCTCAAAGCGCTCCAAATCTCCACTTGCACATTCCACAACAAGAGTGTTTCCAAACTGCTCTATCAATAGGAATGTTCAACTCTGTGAGGTGAATGCAATCATCACAAAGCAGTTTCTGAGAATGCTTCCGTTTAGTTAGGTGCAGTTATCCCGTTTCCAACGAAATCCTCAGAGAGGTCCAAATATCCACTTGTAGATTCTACAAAAAGTGTGTCTCAAACCTGCTCCATCCAAAGGAATGTTCAGCTCTGTGAGTTAAACTCAATCATCACAAAGTATTTTTCTGAGAATGCTTCTGTCTAGATTTTATGCGAAGATATACCCGTTTCGAACGAAGGCCACAGAGTGGTCCAAATATCCACTTGCAGATCCTACAAAAAGAGTGTTTCAAACCTGAACTATCAAAGGAAGGTTCGACTCTGGGATTTGAATGCAAACATCACCAAGAAGTTTCTGAGAATGCTTCTGTTTAGTTTTTATGTGAAGATATTCCCGTTTCCAAAGACATCTTCGGAGAGGTCCACATATCCACTTGCAGATTCCACAAAAAGAGAGTTTCAACACTGCTCTATCCATAGGAGGGTTCAACTCTGTGAGTTGAATGCAATCATCACAGAGAAGTTTCTGAGAAGGCTTCTCTCCAGTTTTTATGTGACCATAATTCGTTTTCCACCACAGGCCTGAAAGCGCTCCAAATGTCCACTTGCAGACACTACGAAAAGCATGTTTCAGAACTACTCTATGAAAAGCAATGTGAAACTCTGGGAGTTGAACACAAACATCACAGAGAAGTTTCTGAGAATGCTTCTGTTTAACTTTTCTGTGAAGATTCTCCCGCTTCCAACGAAATCTTCAAAATAGGTCCAAATATCCACTTGCAGATTCCACAGAAAGAGTGATTGGAAACTGCTGTTTGAAAAGGAACCTTCAACTCTGTGAGTTGAATGCAATCATCACAAAGAAGTTTCTGACAATGCTTCTATCTAGCTTTTACGGGAAGATAATTCCTTTTCCACCACAGGCCTCAAAGCCCTCCAAATGTCCACTTGCAGATTCTGGAAAAAGAGTGTTTCAAAGCTTCTCTCTCGAAAGGAAAGTTCAACTCTGTGAGTTGAATGCAAGCATCACAAAGAAGTTTCTGAGAATGCTGCTGTCTAGCTTTTATATGAAGCTATTTCCTTTACTACCATAGGCCTCAAAGCGGTCCATATCTCCACTTGCAGATTCTACGCAAAGAGAGTTTCCAAACTGCTCTGTCAAAGGGAATGTTCAACTCTGTGACTTGAATGCAATCATCACAAAGTAGTTTCTGAGAATGCTTCTGTTTAGTTCTGTGCGGTTTATCCCGTTTCCAACGAAATCCTCAGAGAGGCCCACATATCCACTTGCACATTCTACAAATAGTGTGTTTCGAAACTGCTCCATCCAAAGGAATGTTCAGCTCTGTGAGTTAAACTCAGTCGTCACCAAGAGTTTTCTGTGAATGCTTCTGTTTTAGTTCTGTGCGGTTTATCCCGTTTCCAACGAAATCCTCAGAGAGGTCCAAATATCTACTTGCAGTTTCTACAGAAAGACCGTTTCCAACCTGAACTATCAAAGAAAGGTTCAACACTGTGAGTTGAATGCAAACATCACGAAGAAGGTTCTGAGAATGCTTCTGTTTAGTTCTGTGCGGTTTATCCCGTTTCCAACGAAATCCTCAGAGGGGACCAAATATCCACTTGCAGTTTCTACAAAAAGAGTGTTTCAAAGCTGAACTATCAAAGAAAGGTTCAGCACCGTGAGTTGAATGCAAACATCACGAAGAGGGTTCTGAGAATGCTTCTGTCTTCTTTTTATAGGAAGTTATTTCCTTTACTACGGTAGGCCTCAAAGAAGTGCAATGATCCCCTTGCAGTTTCTACAAAAAGAGTGTTTCAAACCTGAACTATCAAAGAAAGGTTCCACACTGTGAGTTGAATGCAGACATCACGAAGAAGGTTCTGAGAATGCTTCTGTTTAGTCAGCTGAAATTATCCCGTTTCCAACGAATTCCTCAGAGAGGTCCACATATGCACTTGCAGATTCTGCAGAAAGGGTGTTTCTAAACTGCTACATCGCAAGGAGTGTTCAGCTCTGTTTGCTCAACTCAATCATCCCAAAGAATTTTCTGAGAAAGCTTCAGTCTAGATGTCATGTGAAGATATACCCGTTTCGAACGAAGGACACAGAGTGGTCCAAATATCCACTTGTAGATCCTGCAAAAAGAGTGTTTCAAACGTGAACTTTGAAAGGAAAGTTCAACTCTGGGATTTGAATGCAAATATCACAAAGAAGATTCTGAGACTGCTTCTGTATAGTTTTTATGTGAAGATGATTCCGTTTACAACGAAATCTTCAAAGAGGTCTACATGTCCCCTTGCAGATGCCACAGAAAGAGAGTTCCAAAACTGCGCTCTCAAAAGGAGTGTTCAACTCCGTGAGTTGAATGCAGTCATCACAGAGAAGCTTCTGAGAATGCTTCTATCTAGTATTTAGGTGAAGATATTTCCTTTTCCACCACAAACCACAAAGCCCTCCAAACGTCCACTTGCAGATTCTAGAAAAAGAGTGTTTCATAGCTGCTCTTTCCAAAGGAAAGTTCAACTCTGGGAGTTGAATACAAACATCACCAAAAAGTTCCTGAGAATGCATCTGTCTAGTTTTTCTATGAAGCTATTCCCTTTACTACCATAGGCCTCAAAGCGCTCCAAATCTCCACTTGCACATTCCACAAGAAGAGTGTTTCCAAACTGCTCTATCAATAGGAATGTTCAACTCTGTGAGGTGAATGCAATCATCACAAAGCAGTTTCTGAGAATGCTTCCGTTTAGTTAGGTGCAGTTATCCCGTTTCCAACGAAATCCTCAGAGAGGTCCAAATATCCACTTGTAGATTCTACAAAAAGTGTGTCTCAAACCTGCTCCATCCAAAGGAATGTTCAGCTCTGTGAGTTCAACTCAATCATCGCAAAGTATTTTCTGAGAATGCTTCTGTCTAGATTTTATGCGAAGATATACCCGTTTCGAACGAAGGCCACAGAGTGGTCCAAATAGCCACTTGCAGATCCTACAAAAAGAGTGTTTCAAACCTGAACTCTCAAAGGAAGGTTCAACTCTGGGATTTGAATGCAAACATCACCAAGAAGTTTCTGAGAATCTTTCTGTTTAGTTTTTATGTGAAGATATTCCCGTTTCCAAAGACATCTTCGGAGAGGTCCACATATCCGCTTGCAGATTCCACAAAAAGAGAGTTTCAACACTGCTCTATCCATAGGAGGGTTCAACTCTGTGAGTTGAATGCAATCATCACAGAGAAGTTTCTGAGAAGGCTTCTCTCCAGTTTTTATGTGACCATAATTCATTTTCCACCACAGGCCTGAAAGCGCTCCAAATGTCCACTTGCAGACACTACGAAAAGCATGTTTCAGAACTACTCTATGAGAAGCAATGTGAAACTGTGGGAGTTGAACACAAACATCACAGAGAAGTTTCTGAGAATGCTTCTGTTTAGCTTTTCTGTGAAGATTCTCCCGTTTCCAACGAAATCTTCAAAGAGGTCCAAATATCCACTTGCAGATTCCACAGAAAGAGTGATTGGAAACTGCTGTTTGAAAAGGAACCTTCAACTCTGTGAGTTGAATGCAATCATCACAAAGAAGTTTCTGACAATGCTTCTATCTAGCTTTTACGGGAAGATAATTCCTTTTCCACCACAGGCCTCAAAGCCCTCCAAATGTCCACTTGCAGATTCTGGAAAAAGAGTGTTTCAAAGCTTCTCTCTCGAAAGGAAAGTTCAACTCTGTGAGTTGAATGCAAGCATCACAAAGAAGTTTCTGAGAATGCTACTGTCTAGCTTTTATATGAAGCTATTTCCTTTACTACCATAGGCCTCAAAGCGGTCCATATCTCCACTTGCAGATTCTACACAAAGAGAGTTTCCAAACTGCTCTGTCAAAGGGAATGTTCAACTCTGTGACTTGAATGCAATCATCACAAAGTAGTTTCTGAGAATGCTTCTGTTTAGTTCTGTGCGGTTTATCCCGTTTCCAACGAAATCCTCAGAGAGGCCCACATATCCACTTGCACATTCTACAAATAGTGTGTTTCGAAACTGCTCCATCCAAAGGAATGTTCAGCTCTGTGAGTTAAACTCAGTCGTCACCAAGTGTTTTCTGTGAATGCTTCTGTTTTAGTTCTGTGCGGTTTATCCCGTTTCCAACGAAATCCTCAGAGAGGTCCAAATATCTACTTGCAGTCTCTACACAAAGACCGTTTCAAACCTGAACTATCAAAGAAAGGTTCAACACTGTGAGTTGAATGCAAACATCACGAAGAAGGTTCTGAGAATGCTTCTGTTTAGTTCTGTGCGGTTTATCCCGTTTCCAACGAAATCCTCAGAGAGGACCAAATATCCACTTGCAGTTTCTACAAAAAGACTGTTTCAAAGCTGAACTATCCAAGAAAGGTTCAGCACCGTGAGTTGAATGCAAACATCACGAAGAGGGTTCTGAGAATGCTTCTGTCTTCTTTTTATAGGAAGTTATCTCCTTTACTACGGTAGGCCTCAAAGAAGTGCAATGATCCCCTTGCAGTTTCTACAAAAAGAGTGTTTCAAACCTGAACTATCAAAGAAAGGTTCCACACTGTGAGTTGAATGCAGACATCACGAAGAAGGTTCTGAGAATGCTTCTGTTTAGTCAGCTGAAATTATCCCGTTTCCAACGAATTCCTCAGAGAGGTCCACATATGCACTTGCAGATTCTGCAGAAAGTGTGTTTCTAAACTGCTACATCGCAAGGAATGTTCAGCTTCTGTGAGTTCCACTCAATCATCCCAAAGAATTTTCTGAGAAAGCTTCTGTCTAGATGTCATGTGAAGATATACCCGTTTCGAACGAAGGACACAGAGTGGTCCAAATATCCACTTGTAGATCCTGCAAAAAGAGTGTTTCAAACGTGAACTTTGAAAGGAAAGTTCAACTCTGGGATTTGAATGCAAACATCACAAAGAAGATGCTGAGACTGCTTCTGTATAGTTTTTATGTGAAGATGATTCCGTTTCCAACGAAATCTTCAAAGAGGTCTACATGTCCCCTTGCAGATGCCACAGAAAGAGAGTTTCAAAACTGCGCTCTCAAAAGGAGTGTTCAACTCCGTGAGTTGAATGCAGTCATCACAGAGAAGCTTCTGAGAATGCTTCTATCTAGTATTTAGGTGAAGATATTTCCTTTTCCACCACAAACCACAAAGCCCTCCAAACGTCCACTTGCAGATTCTAGAAAAAGAGTGTTTCATAGCTGCTCTTTCCAAAGGAAAGTTCAACTCTGGGAGTTGAATACAAACATCACCAAAAAGTTCCTGAGAATGCATCTGTCTAGTTTTTCTATGAAGCTATTCCCTTTACTACCATAGGCCTCAAAGCGCTCCAAATCTCCACTTGCACATTCCACAACAAGAGTGTTTCCAAACTGCTCTATCAATAGGAATGTTCAACTCTGTGAGGTGAATGCAATCATCACAAAGCAGTTTCTGAGAATGCTTCCGTTTAGTTAGGTGCAGTTATCCCGTTTCCAACGAAATCCTCAGAGAGGTCCAAATATCCACTTGTAGATTCTACAAAAAGTGTGTCTCAAACCTGCTCCATCCAAAGGAATGGTCAGCTCTGTGATTTAAACTCAATCATCACAAAGTATTTTCTGAGAATGCTTCTGTCTAGATTTTATGCGAAGATATACCCGTTTCGAACGAAGGCCACAGAGTGGTCCAAATAGCCACTTGCAGATCCTACAGAAAGAGTGTTTCAAACCTGAACTATCAAAGGAAGGTTCAACTCTGGGATTTGAATGCAAACATCACCAAGAAGTTTCTGAGAATGCTTCTGTTTAGTTTTTATGTGAAGATATTCCCGTTTCCAAAGACATCTTCGGAGAGGTCCACATATCCACTTGCAGATTCCACAAAAAGAGAGTTTCAACACTGCTCTATCCATAGGAGGGTTCAACTCTGTGAGTTGAATGCAATCATCACAGAGAAGTTTCTGAGAAGGCTTCTCTCCAGTTTTTATGTGACCATAATTCGTTTTCCACCACAGGCCTGAAAGCGCTCCAAATGTCCACTTGCAGACACTACGAAAAGCATGTTTCAGAACTACTCTATGAAAAGCAACGTGAAACTCTGGGAGTTGAACACAAACATCACAGAGAAGTTTCTGAGAATGCTTCTGTTTTAGTTCTGTGCGTTTTATCCCGTTTCCAACGAAATCCTCAGAGAGGCCCAAATATCCACTTGCAGATTCCACAGAAAGAGTGATTGGAAACTGCTGTTTGAAAAGGAACCTTCAACTCTGTGAGTTGAATGCAATCATCACAAAGAAGTTTCTGACAATGCTTCTGTTTTAGTTCTGTGCGGTTTATCCCGTTTCCAACGAAATCCTCAGAGAGGACCAAACATCCACTTGCAGTTTCTACAAAAAGAGTGTTTCAAAGCTGCACTATCAAAGAAAGGTTCAGCACTGTGAGTTGAATGCAAACATCACGAAGAGGGCTCTGAGAATTCTTCTGTTTAGTTCTGTGCGGTTTATCCCGTTTCCAACGAAATCCTCAGAGAGGACCAAATATCCACTTGCAGTTTCTACAAGAAGAGTGTTTCAAAGCTGAACTATCAAAGAAAGGTTCAGCACTGTGAGTTGAATGCAAACATCACGAAGAGGGTTCTGAGAATGCTTCTGTCTTCTTTCTATAGGAAGTTATTTCCTTTACTACGGTAGGCCTCAAAGAAGTGCAATTATCCCCTTGCAGTTTCTACAAAAAGAGTGTTTCAAACCTGAACTATCAAAGAAAGGTTCCACACTGTGAGTTGAATGCAGACATCACGAAGAAGGTTCTGAGAATGCTTCTGTTTAGTCAGCTGAAATTATCCCGTTTCCAACGAATTCCTCAGAGAGGTCCAAATATGCACTTGCAGATTCTGCAGAAAGTGTGTTTCTAAACTGCTACATCGCAAGGAATGTTCAGCTCTGTGAGTTCCACTCAATCATCCCAAAGAATTTTCTGAGAAAGCTTCTGTCTAGATGTCGTGTGAAGATATACCCGTTTCGAACGAAGGACACAGAGTGGTCCAAATATCCACTTGTAGATCCTGCAAAAAGAGTGTTTCAAACGTGAACTTTGAAAGGAAAGTTCAACTCTGGGATTTGAATGCAAACATCACAAAGAAGATTCTGAGACTGCTTCTGTATAGTTTTGATGTGAAGATGATTCCGTTTCCAACGAAATCTTCAAAGAGGTCCACATGTCCCCTTGCGGATGCCACAGAAAGAGAGTTTCAAAACTGCGCTCTCAAAAGGAGTGTTCAACTCCGTGAGTTGAATGCAGTCATCACAGAGAAGCTTCTGAGAATGCTTCTATCTAGTATTTAGGTGAAGATATTTCCTTTTCCACCACAAACCACAAAGCCCTCCAAACGTCCACTTGCAGATTCTAGAAAAAGAGTGTTTCATAGCTGCTCTTTCCAAAGGAAAGTTCAACTCTGGGAGTTGAATACAAACATCACCAAAAAGTTCCTGAGAATGCATCTGTCTAGTTTTTCTATGAAGCTATTCCCTTTACTACCATAGGCCTCAAAGCGCTCCAAATCTCCACTTGCACATTCCACAACAAGAGTGTTTCCAAACTGCTCTATCAATAGGAATGTTCAACTCTGTGAGGTGAATGCAATCATCACAAAGCAGTTTCTGAGAATGCTTCCGTTTAGTTAGGTGCAGTTATCCCGTTTCCAACGAAATCCTCAGAGAGGTCCAAATATCCACTTGTAGATTCTACAAAAAGTGTGTCTCAAACCTGCTCCATCCAAAGGAATGGTCAGCTCTGTGATTTAAACTCAATCATCACAAAGTATTTTCTGAGAATGCTTCTGTCTAGATTTTATGCGAAGATATACCCGTTTCGAACGAAGGCCACAGAGTGGTCCAAATAGCCACTTGCAGATCCTACAGAAAGAGTGTTTCAAACCTGAACTATCAAAGGAAGGTTCAACTCTGGGATTTGAATGCAAACATCACCAAGAAGTTTCTGAGAATGCTTCTGTTTAGTTTTTATGTGAAGATATTCCCGTTTCCAAAGACATCTTCGGAGAGGTCCACATATCCACTTGCAGGTTCCACAAAAAGAGAGTTTCAACACTGCTCTATCCATAGGAGGGTTCAACTCTGTGAGTTGAATGCAATCATCACAGAGAAGTTTCTGAGAAGGCTTCTCTCCAGTTTTTATGTGACCATAATTCGTTTTCCACCACAGGCCTGAAAGCGCTCCAAATGTCCACTTGCAGACACTACGAAAAGCATGTTTCAGAACTACTCTATGAAAAGCAACGTGAAACTCTGGGAGTTGAACACAAACATCACAGAGAAGTTTCTGAGAATGCTTCTGTTTTAGTTCTGTGCGTTTTATCCCGTTTCCAACGAAATCCTCAGAGAGGCCCAAATATCCACTTGCAGATTCCACAGAAAGAGTGATTGGAAACTGCTGTTTGAAAAGGAACCTTCAACTCTGTGAGTTGAATGCAATCATCACAAAGAAGTTTCTGACAATGCTTCTGTTTTAGTTCTGTGCGGTTTATCCCGTTTCCAACGAAATCCTCAGAGAGGACCAAACATCCACTTGCAGTTTCTACAAAAAGAGTGTTTCAAAGCTGCACTATCAAAGAAAGGTTCAGCACTGTGAGTTGAATGCAAACATCACGAAGAGGGCTCTGAGAATTCTTCTGTTTAGTTCTGTGCGGTTTATCCCGTTTCCAACGAAATCCTCAGAGAGGACCAAATATCCACTTGCAGTTTCTACAAGAAGAGTGTTTCAAAGCTGAACTATCAAAGAAAGGTTCAGCACTGTGAGTTGAATGCAAACATCACGAAGAGGGTTCTGAGAATGCTTCTGTCTTCTTTCTATAGGAAGTTATTTCCTTTACTACGGTAGGCCTCAAAGAAGTGCAATTATCCCCTTGCAGTTTCTACAAAAAGAGTGTTTCAAACCTGAACTATCAAAGAAAGGTTCCACACTGTGAGTTGAATGCAGACATCACGAAGAAGGTTCTGAGAATGCTTCTGTTTAGTCAGCTGAAATTATCCCGTTTCCAACGAATTCCTCAGAGAGGTCCAAATATGCACTTGCAGATTCTGCAGAAAGTGTGTTTCTAAACTGCTACATCGCAAGGAATGTTCAGCTCTGTGAGTTCCACTCAATCATCCCAAAGAATTTTCTGAGAAAGCTTCTGTCTAGATGTCCTGTGAAGATATACCCGTTTCGAACGAAGGACACAGAGTGGTCCAAATATCCACTTGTAGATCCTGCAAAAAGAGTGTTTCAAACGTGAACTTTGAAAGGAAAGTTCAACTCTGGGATTTGAATGCAAACATCACAAAGAAGATTCTGAGACTGCTTCTGTATAGTTTTGATGTGAAGATGATTCCGTTTCCAACGAAATCTTCAAAGAGGTCTACATGTCCCCTTGCAGATGCCACAGAAAGAGAGTTTCAAAACTGCGCTCTCAAAAGGAGTGTTCAACTCCGTGAGCTGAATGCAGTCATCACAGAGAAGCTTCTGAGAATGCTTCTATCTAGTATTTAGGTGAAGATATTTCCTTTTCCACCACAAACCACAAAGCCCTCCAAACGTCCACTTGCAGATTTTAGAAAAAGAGTGTTTCATAGCTGCTCTTTCCAAAGGAAAGTTCAACTCTGGGAGTTGAATACAAACATCACCAAAAAGTTCCTGAGAATGCATCTGCCTAGTTTTTCTATGAAGCTATTCCCTTTACTACCATAGGCCTCAAAGCGCTCCAAATCTCCACTTGCACATTCCACAAGAAGAGTGTTTCCAAACTGCTCTATCAATAGGAATGTTCAACTCTGTGAGGTGAATGCAATCATCACAAAGCAGTTTCTGAGAATGCTTCCGTTTAGTTAGGTGCAGTTATCCCGTTTCCAACGAAATCCTCAGAGAGGTCCAAATATCCACTTGTAGATTCTACAAAAAGTGTGTCTCAAACCTGCTCCATCCAAAGGAATGTTCAGCTCTGTGAGTTCAACTCAATCATCACAAAGTATTTTCTGAGAATGCTTCTGTCTAGATTTTATGCGAAGATGTACCCGTTTCGAACGAAGGCCACAGAGTGGTCCAAATATCCACTTGCAGATCCTACAAAAAGAGTGTTTCAAACCTGAACTCTCAAAGGAAGGTTCAACTCTGGGATTTGAATGCAAACATCACGAAGAAGTTTCTGAGAATGCTTCTGTTTAGTTTTTATGTGAAGATATTCCCGTTGCCAAAGACATCTTCGGAGAGGTCCACATATCCGCTTGCAGATTCCACAAAAAGAGAGTTTCAACACTGCTCTATCCATAGGAGGGTTCAACTCTGTGAGTTGAATGCAATCATCACAGAGAAGTTTCTGAGAAGGCTTCTCTCCAGTTTTTATGTGACCATAATTCGTTTTCCACCACAGACCTGAAAGCGCTCCAAATGTCCACTTGCAGACACTACGAAAAGCATGTTTCAGAACTACTCTATGAGAAGCAATGTGAAACTCTGGGAGTTGAACAAAAACATCACAGAGAAGTTTCTGAGAATGCTTCTGTTTAGCTTTTCTGTGAAGATTCTCCCGTTTCCAACGAAATCTTCAAAGAGGTCCAAATATCCACTTGCAGATTCCACAGAAAGAGTGATTGGAAACTGCTCTTTGTAAAGGAACCTTCAACTCTGTGACTTGAATGCAATCATCACAAAGAAGTTTCTGACAATGCTTCTATCTAGCTTTTACGGGAAGATAATTCCTTTTCCACCACAGGCCTCAAAGCCCTCCAAATGTCCACTTGCAGATTCTGGAAAAAGAGTGTTTCAAAGCTTCTCTCTCGAAAGGAAAGTTCAACTCTGTGAGTTGAATGCAAGCATCACAAAGAAGTTTCTGAGGATGCTACTGTCTAGCTTTTATATGAAGCTATTTCCTTTACTACCATAGGCCTCAAAGCGGTCCATATCTCCACTTGCAGATTCTACACAAAGAGAGTTTCCAAACTGCTCTGTCAAAGGGAATGTTCAGCTCTGTGACTTGAATGCAATCATCACAACGTAGTTTCTGAGAATGCTTCTGTTTAGTTCTGTGCGGTTTATCCCGTTTCCAACGAAATCCTCAGAGAGGCCCACATATCCACTTGCACATTCTACAAATAGTGTGTTTCGAAACTGCTCCATCCAAAGGAATGTTCAGTTCTGTGAGTTAAACTCAGTCGTCACCAAGAGTTTTCTGTGAATGCTTCTGTTTTAGTTGTGTGCGGTTTATCCCGTTTCCAACGAAATCCTCAGAGAGGTCCAAATGTCTACTTGCAGTTTCTACAGAAAGACCGTTTCAAACCTGAACTATCAAAGAAAGGTTCAACACTGTGAGTTGAATGCAAACATCACGAAGAAGGTTCTGAGAATGCTTCTGTTTAGTTCTGTGCGGTTTATCCCGTTTCCAACGAAATCCTCAGAGAGGACCAAATATCCAATTGCA
Organism: Homo sapiens; assembly: GCF_000001405.40. Lineage (NCBI taxonomy): Eukaryota > Metazoa > Chordata > Mammalia > Primates > Hominidae > Homo > Homo sapiens. The sequence continues at coordinate 23,756,349 of NC_000017.11, read as the reverse complement.
GTTTCAACAAAAAGAGTGTTTCAAAGCTGAACTATCAAAGAAAGGTTCAGCACCGTGAGTTGAATGCAAACATCACGAAGAGGGTTCTGAGAATGCTTCTGTCTTCTTTTTATAGGAAGTTATCTCCTTTACTACGGTAGGCCTCAAAGAAGTGCAATGATCCCCTTGCAGTTTCTCCAAAAAGAGTGTTTCAAACCTGAACTATCAAAGAAAGGTTCCACACTGTGAGTTGAATGCAGACATCACGAAGAAGGTTCTGAGAATGCTTCTGTTTAGTCAGCTGAAATTATCCCGTTTCCAACGAATTCCTCAGAGAGGTCCACATATGCACTTGCAGATTCTGCAGAAAGTGTGTTTCTAAACTGCTACATCGCAAGGAGTGTTCAGCTCTGTTTGCTCAACTCAATCATCCCAAAGAATTTTCTGAGAAAGCTTCTGTCTAGATGTCATGTGAAGATATACCCGTTTCGAACGAAGGACACAGAGTGGTCCAAATATCCACTTGTAGATCCTGCAAAAAGAGTGTTTCAAACGTGAACTTTGAAAGGAAAGTTCAACTCTGGGATTTGAATGCAAACATCACAAAGAAGATTCTGAGACTGCTTCTGTATAGTTTTGATGTGAAGATGATTCCGTTTCCAACGAAATCTTCAAAGAGGTCTACATGTCCCCTTGCAGATGCCACAGAAAGAGAGTTTCAAAACTGCGCTCTCAAAAGGAGTGTTCAACTCCGTGAGTTGAATGCAGTCATCACAGAGAAGCTTCTGAGAATGCTTCTCTCTAGTATTTAGGTGAAGATATTTCCTTTTCCACCACAAACCACAAAGCCCTCCAAACGTCCACTTGCAGATTCTAGAAAAAGAGTGCTTCATAGCTGCTCTTTCCAAAGGAAAGTTCAACTCTGGGAGTTGAATACAAACATCACCAAAAAGTTCCTGAGAATGCATCTGTCTAGTTTTTCTATGAAGCTATTCCCTTTACTACCATAGGCCTCAAAGCGCTCCAAATCTCCACTTGCACATTCCACAACAAGAGTGTTTCCAAACTGCTCTATCAATAGGAATGTTCAACTCTGTGAGGTGAATGCAATCATCACAAAGCAGTTTCTGAGAATGCTTCCGTTTAGTTAGGTGCAGTTATCCCGTTTCCAACGAAATCCTCAGAGAGGTCCAAATATCCACTTGTAGATTCTACAAAAAGTGTGTCTCAAACCTGCTCCATCCAAAGGAATGTTCAGCTCTGTGAGTTCAACTCAATCATCACAAAGTATTTTCTGAGAATGCTTCTGTCTAGATTTTATGCGAAGATGTACCCGTTTCGAACGAAGGCCACAGTGTGGTCCAAATATCCACTTGCAGATCCTACAAAAAGAGTGTTTCAAACCTGAACTATCAAAGGAAGGTTCAACTCTGGGATTTGAATGCAAACATCACCAAGAAGTTTCTGAGAATGCTTCTGTTTAGTTTTTATGTGAAGATATTCCCGTTTCCAAAGACATCTTCGGAGAGGTCCACATATCCACTTGCAGATTCCACAAAAAGAGAGTTTCAACACTGCTCTATCCATAGGAGGGTTCAACTCTGTGAGTTGAATGCAATCATCACAGAGAAGTTTCTGAGAAGGCTTCTCTCCAGTTTTTATGTGACCATAATTCGTTTTCCACCACAGGCCTGAAAGCGCTCCAAATGTCCACTTGCAGACACTACGAAAAGCATGTTTCAGAACTACTCTATGAAAAGCAACGTGAAACTCTGGGAGTTGAACACAAACATCACAGAGAAGTTTCTGAGAATGCTTCTGTTTTAGTTCTGTGCGTTTTATCCCGTTTCCAACGAAATCCTCAGAGAGGCCCAAATATCCACTTGCAGATTCCACAGAAAGAGTGATTGGAAACTGCTGTTTGAAAAGGAACCTTCAACTCTGTGAGTTGAATGCAATCATCACAAAGAAGTTTCTGACAATGCTTCTGTTTTAGTTCTGTGCGGTTTATCCCGTTTCCAACGAAATCCTCAGAGAGGACCAAACATCCACTTGCAGTTTCTACAAAAAGAGTGTTTCAAAGCTGCACTATCAAAGAAAGGTTCAGCACTGTGAGTTGAATGCAAACATCACGAAGAGGGCTCTGAGAATTCTTCTGTTTAGTTCTGTGCGGTTTATCCCGTTTCCAACGAAATCCTCAGAGAGGACCAAATATCCACTTGCAGTTTCTACAAGAAGAGTGTTTCAAAGCTGAACTATCAAAGAAAGGTTCAGCACTGTGAGTTGAATGCAAACATCACGAAGAGGGTTCTGAGAATGCTTCTGTCTTCTTTCTATAGGAAGTTATTTCCTTTACTACGGTAGGCCTCAAAGAAGTGCAATTATCCCCTTGCAGTTTCTACAAAAAGAGTGTTTCAAACCTGAACTATCAAAGAAAGGTTCCACACTGTGAGTTGAATGCAGACATCACGAAGAAGGTTCTGAGAATGCTTCTGTTTAGTCAGCTGAAATTATCCCGTTTCCAACGAATTCCTCAGAGAGGTCCAAATATGCACTTGCAGATTCTGCAGAAAGTGTGTTTCTAAACTGCTACATCGCAAGGAATGTTCAGCTCTGTGAGTTCCACTCAATCATCCCAAAGAATTTTCTGAGAAAGCTTCTGTCTAGATGTCGTGTGAAGATATACCCGTTTCGAACGAAGGACACAGAGTGGTCCAAATATCCACTTGTAGATCCTGCAAAAAGAGTGTTTCAAACGTGAACTTTGAAAGGAAAGTTCAACTCTGGGATTTGAATGCAAACATCACAAAGAAGATTCTGAGACTGCTTCTGTATAGTTTTTATGTGAAGATGATTCCGTTTCCAACGAAATCTTCAAAGAGGTCTACATGTCCCCTTGCAGATGCCACAGAAAGAGAGTTTCAAAACTGCGCTCTCAAAAGGAGTGTTCAACTCCGTGAGTTGAATGCAGTCATCACAGAGAAGCTTCTGAGAATGCTTCTATCTAGTATTTAGGTGAAGATATTTCCTTTTCCACCACAAACCACAAAGCCCTCCAAACGTCCACTTGCAGATTCTAGAAAAAGAGTGTTTCATAGCTGCTCTTTCCAAAGGAAAGTTCAACTCCGGGAGTTGAATACAAACATCACCGAAAAGTTCCTGAGAATGCATCTGTCTAGTTTTTCTATGAAGCTATTCCCTTTACTACCATAGGCCTCAAAGCGCTCCAAATCTCCACTTGCACATTCCACAACAAGAGTGTTTCCAAACTGCTCTATCAATAGGAATGTTCAACTCTGTGAGGTGAATGCAATCATCACAAAGCAGTTTCTGAGAATGCTTCCGTTTAGTTAGGTGCAGTTATCCCGTTTCCAACGAAATCCTCAGAGAGGTCCAAATATCCACTTGTAGATTCTACAAAAAGTGTGTCTCAAACCTGCTCCATCCAAAGGAATGTTCAGCTCTGTGAGTTCAACTCAATCATCACAAAGTATTTTCTGAGAATGCTTCTGTCTAGATTTTATGCGAAGATATACCCGTTTCGAACGAAGGCCACAGAGTGGTCCAAATATCCACTTGCAGATCCTACAAAAAGAGTGTTGCAAACCTGAACTATCAAAGGAAGGTTCAACTCTGGGATTTGAATGCAAACATCACCAAGAAGTTTCTGAGAATGCTTCTGTTTAGTTTTTATGTGAAGATATTCCCGTTTCCAAAGACATCTTCGGAGAGGTCCACATATCCACTTGCAGATTCCACAAAAAGAGAGTTTCAACACTGCTCTATCCATAGGAGGGTTCAACTCTGTGAGTTGAATGCAATCATCACAGAGAAGTTTCTGAGAAGGCTTCTCTCCAGTTTTTATGTGACCATAATTCGTTTTCCACCACAGGCCTGAAAGCGCTCCAAATGTCCACTTGCAGACACTACGAAAAGCATGTTTCAGAACTACTCTATGAAAAGCAATGTGAAACTCTGGAAGTTGAACACAAACATCACAGAGAAGTTTCTGAGAATGCTTCTGTTTAGCTTTTCTGTGAAGATTCTCCCGTTTCCAACGAAATCTTCAAAGAGGTCCAAATATCCACTTGCAGATTCCACAGAAAGAGTGATTGGAAACTGCTCTTTGAAAAGGAACCTTCAACTCTGTGAGTTGAATGCAATCATCACAAAGAAGTTTCTGACAATGCTTCTATCTAGCTTTTACAGGAAGATAATTCCTTTTCCACCACAGGCCTCAAAGCCCTCCAAATGTCCACTTGCAGATTCTGGAAAAAGAGTATTTCAAAGCTTCTCTCTCGAAAGGATAGTTCAACTCTGTGAGTTGAATGCAAGCATCACAAAGAAGTTTCTGAGAATGCTACTGTCTAGCTTTTATATGAAGCTATTTCCTTTACTACCATAGGCCTCAAAGCGGTCCATATCTCCACTTGCAGATTCTACACAAAGAGAGTTTCCAAACTGCTCTGTCAAAGGGAATGTTCAACTCTGTGACTTGAATGCAATCATCACAAAGTAGTTTCTGAGAATGCTTCTGTTTAGTTCTGTGCGGTTTATCCCGTTTCCAACGAAATCCTCAGAGAGGCCTAAATATCCACTTGCACATTCTACAAATAGTGTGTTTCCAAACTGCTCCATCGAAAGGAATGTTCAGCTCTGTGAGTTAAACTCAGTCGTCACCAAGAGTTTTCTGTGAATGCTTCTGTTTTAGTTCTGTGCGGGTTATCCCGTTTCCAACGAAATCCTCAGAGCGGTCCAAATATCTACTTGCAGTTTCTGCAGAAAGACCGTTTCAAACCTGAACTATCAAAGAAAGGTTCAACACTGTGAGTTGAATGCAAACATCACGAAGAAGGTTCTGAGAATGCTTCTGTTTAGTTCTGTGCGTTTTATCCCTTTTCCAAAGAAATCCTCAGAGAGGACCAAATATCCATTTGCAGTTTCTACAAAAAGAGTGTTTCAAAGCTGAACTATCAAAGAAAGGTTCAGCACTGTGAGTTGAATGCAAACATCACGAAGAGGGTTCTGAGAATGCTTCTGTCTTCTTTTTATAGGAAGTTATTTCCTTTACTACGGTAGGCCTCAAAGAAGTGCAATGATCCCCTTGCAGTTTCTACAAAAAGAATGTTTCAAACCTGAACTATCAAAGAAAGGTTCCACACTGTGAGTTGAATGCAGACATCACGAAGAAGGTTCTGAGAATGCTTCTGTTTAGTCAGCTGAAATTATCCCGTTTCCAACGAATTCCTCAGAGAGGTCCACATATGCACTTGCAGATTCTGCAGAAAGTGTGTTTCTAAACTGCTACATCGCAAGGAGTGTTCAGCTCTGTTTGCTCAACTCAATCATCCCAAAGAATTTTCTGAGAAAGCTTCTAGTCTAGATGTCGTGTGACGATATACCCGTTTCGAACGAAGGACACAGAGTGGTCCAAATATCCACTTGTAGATCCTGCAAAAAGAGTGTTTCAAACGTGAACTTTGAAAGGAAAGTTCAACTCTGGGATTTGAATGCAAACATCACAAAGAAGATTCTGAGACTGCTTCTGTATAGTTTTTATGTGAAGATGATTCCGTTTCCAAAGAAATCTTCAAAGAGGTCTACATGTCTCCTTGCAGATGCCACAGAAAGAGAGTTTCAAAACTGCGCTCTCAAAAGGAGTGTTCAACTCCGTGAGTTGAATGCAGTCATCACAGAGAAGCTTCTGAGAATGCTTCTATCTAGTATTTAGGTGAAGATATTTCCTTTTCCACCACAAACCACAAAGCCCTCCAAACGTCCACTTGCAGATTCTAGAAAAAGAGTGTTTCATAGCTGCTCTTTCCAAAGGAAAGTTCAACTCTGGGAGTTGAATACAAACATCAAAAAAAAGTTCCTGAGAATGCATCTGTCTAGTTTTTCTATGAAGCTATTCCCTTTACTACCATAGGCCTCAAAGCGCTCCAAATCTCCACTTGCACATTCCACAACAAGAGTGTTTCCAAACTGCTCTATCAATAGGAATGTTCCACTCTGTGAGGTGAATGCAATCATCACAAAGCAGTTTCTGAGAATGCTTCCGTTTAGTTAGGTGCAGTTATCGCGTTTCCAACGAAATCCTCAGAGAGGTCCAAATATCCACTTGTAGATTCTACAAAAAGTGTGTCTCAAACCTGCTCCATCCAAAGGAATGTTCAGCTCTGTGAGTTAAACTCAATCATCACAAAGTATTTTCTGAGAATGCTTCTGTCTAGATTTTATGCGAAGATATACCCTTTTCGAACGAAGGCCACAGAGTGGTACAAATATCCACTTGAAGATCCTACAAAAAGAGTGTTTCAAACCTGAACTATCAAAGGAAGGTTCAACTCTGGGATTTGAATGCAAACATCACCAAGAAGTTTCTGAGAATGCTTCTGTTTAGTTTTTATGTGAAGATATTCCCGTTTCCAAAGACATCTTCGGAGAGGTCCACATATCCGCTTGCAGATTCCACAAAAAGAGAGTTTCAACACTGCTCTATCCATAGGAGGGTTCAACTCTGTGAGTTGAATGCAGTCATCACAGAGAAGTTTCTGAGAAGGCTTCTCTCCAGTTTTTATGTGACCATAATTCGTTTTCCACCACAGGCCTGAAAGCGCTCCAAATGTCCACTTGTAGACACTACGAAAAGCATGTTTCAGAACTACTCTATGAAAAGCAATGTGAAACTCTGGGAGTTGAACACAAACATCACAGAGAAGTTTCTGAGAATGCTTTCTGTTTAGCTTTCCTGTGAAGATTCTCCCGTTTCCAACGAAATCTTCAAAATAGGTCCAAATATCCACTTGCAGATTCCACACAAAGAGTGATTGGAAACTGCTCTTTGAAAAGGAACCTTCAACTCTGTGAGTTGAATGCAATCATCACAAAGAAGTTTCTGACAATGCTTCTATCTAGCTTTTACGGGAAGATAATTCCTTTTCCACCACAGGCCTCAAAGCCCTCCAAATGTCCACTTGCAGATTCTGGAAAAAGAGTGTTTCAAAGCTTCTCTCTCGAAAGGAAAGTTCAACTCTGTGAGTTGAATGCAAGCATCACAAAGAAGTTTCTGAGAATGCTACTGTCTAGCTTTTATATGAAGCTATTTCCTTTACTACCATAGGCCTCAAAGCGGTCCATATCTCCACTTGCAGATTCTACACAAAGAGAGTTTCCAAACTGCTCTGTCAAAGGGAATGTTCAACTCTGTGACTTGAATGCAATCATCACAAAGTAGTTTCTGAGAATGCTTCTGTTTAGTTCTGTGCGGTTTATCCCATTTCCAACGAAATCCTCAGAGAGGCCTAAATATCCACTTGCACATTCTACAAATAGTGTGTTTCGAAACTGCTCCATCCAAAGGAATGTTCAGCTCTGTGAGTTAAACTCAGTCGTCACCAAGAGTTTTCTGTGAATGCTTCTGTTTTAGTTCTGTGCGGGTTATCCCGTTTCCAACGAAATCCTCAGAGAGGTCCAAATATCTACTTGCAGTTTCTACAGAAAGACCGTTTCAAACCTGAACTATCAAAGAAAGGTTCAACACTGTGAGTTGAATGCAAACATCACGAAGAAGGTTCTGAGAATGCTTCTGTTTAGTTCTGTGCAGTTTATCCCGTTTCCAACGAAATCCTCAGAGAGGACCAAATATCCACTTGCAGTTTCTACAAAAAGAGTGTTTCAAAGCTGAACTATCAAAGAAAGGTTCAGCACTGTGAGTTGAATGCAAACATCACGAAGAGGGTTCTGAGAATGCTTCTGTCTTCTTTTTATAGGAAGTTATTTCCTTTACTACGGTACTCCTCAAAGAGTGCAATTATCCCCTTGCAGTTTCTACAGAAAGAGTGTTTCAAACCTGAACTATCAAAGAAAGGTTCCACACTGTGAGTTGAATGCAGACATCACGAAGAAGGTTCTGAGAATGCTTCTGTTTAGTCAGCTGAAATTATCCCGTTTCCAACGAATTCCTCACAGAGGTCCAAATATGCACTTGCAGATTCTGCAGAAAGTGTGTTTCTAAACTGCTACATCGCAAGGAATGCTCAGCTCTGTGAGTTCAACTCAATCATCCCAAAGAATTTTCTGAGAAAGCTTCTGTCTAGATGTCATGTGAAGATATACCTGTTTCGAACGAAGGACACAGAGTGGTCCAAATATCCACTTGTAGATCCTGCAAAAAGAGTGTTTCAAACGTGAACTTTGAAAGGAAAGTTCAACTCGGGGATTTGAATGCAAACATCACAAAGAAGATTCTGAGACTGCTTCTGTGTAGTTTTTATGTGAAGATGATTCCGTTTCCAACGAAATCTTCAAAGAGGTCTACATGTCCCCTTGCAGATGCCACAGAAAGAGAGTTTCAAAACTGCGCTCTCAAAAGGAGTGTTCAACTCCGTGAGTTGAATGCAGTCATCACAGAGAAGCTTCTGAGGATGCTTCTATCTAGTATTTAGGTGAAGATATTTCCTTTTCCACCACAAACCACAAAGCCCTCCAAACGTCCACTTGCAGATTCTAGAAAAACAGTGTTTCATAGCTGCTCTTTCCAAAGGAAAGTTCAACTCTGGGAGTTGAATACAAACATCACCAAAAAGTTCCTGAGAATGCATCTGTCTAGTTTTTCTATGAAGCTATTCCCTTTACTACCATAGACCTCAAAGCGCTCCAAATCTCCACTTGCACATTCCACAACAAGAGTGTTTCCAAACTGCTCTATCAATAGGAATGTTCAACTCTGTGAGGTGAATGCAATCATCACAAAGCAGTTTCTGAGAATGCTTCCGTTTAGTTAGGTGCAGTTATCCCGTTTCCAACGAAATCCTCAGAGAGGTCCAAATATCCACTTGTAGATTCTACAAAAGGTGAGTCTCAAACCTGCTCCATCCAAAGGAATGTTCAGCTCTGTGAGTTAAACTCAATCATCACAAAGTATTTTCTGAGAATGCTTCTGTCTAGATTTTATGCGAAGATATACCCGTTTCGAACGAAGGCCACAGAGTGGTCCAAATATCCACTTGCAGATCCTACAAAAAGAGTGTTTCAAACCTGAACTATCAAAGGAAGGTTCAACTCTGGGATTTGAATGCAAACATCACCAAGAAGTTTCTGAGAATGCTTCTGTTTAGTTTTTATGTGAAGATATTCCCGTTTCCAAAGACATCTTCGGAGAGGTCCACATATCCACTTGCAGATTCCACAAAAAGAGAGTTTCAACACTGCTCTATCCATAGGAGGGTTCAACTCTGTGAGTTGAATGCAATCATCACAGAGAAGTTTCTGAGAAGGCTTCTCTCCAGTTTTTATGTGACCATAATTCGTTTTCCACCACAGGCCTGAAAGCGCTCCAAATGTCCACTTGTAGACACTACGAAAAGCATGTTTCAGAACTACTCTATGAAAAGCAATGTGAAACTCTGGGAGTTGAACACAAACATCACAGAGAAGTTTCTGAGAATGCTTCTGTTTAGCTTTCCTGTGAAGATTCTCCCGTTTCCAACGAAATCTTCAAAATAGGTCCAAATATCCACTTGCAGATTCCACAGAAAGAGTGATTGGAAACTGCTCTTTGAAAAGGAACCTTCAACTCTGTGAGTTGAATGCAATCATCACAAAGAAGTTTCTGACAATGCTTCTATCTAGCTTTTACGGGAAGATAATTCCTTTTCCACCACAGGCCTCAAAGCCCTCCAAATGTCCACTTGCAGATTCTGGAAAAAGAGTGTTTCAAAGCTTCTCTCTCGAAAGGAAAGTTCAACTCTGTGAGTTGAATGCAAGCATCACAAAGAAGTTTCTGAGAATGCTACTGTCTAGCTTTTATATGAAGCTATTTCCTTTACTACCATAGGCCTCAAAGCGGTCCATATCTCCACTTGCAGATTCTACACAAAGAGAGTTTCCAAACTGCTCTGTCAAAGGGAATGTTCAACTCTGTGACTTGAATGCAATCATCACAAAGTAGTTTCTGAGAATGCTTCTGTTTAGTTCTGTGCGGTTTATCCCATTTCCAACGAAATCCTCAGAGAGGCCTAAATATCCACTTGCACATTCTACAAATAGTGTGTTTCGAAACTGCTCCATCCAAAGGAATGTTCAGCTCCTGTGAGTTAAACTCAGTCGTCACCAAGAGTTTTCTGTGAATGCTTCTGTTTTAGTTCTGTGCGGGTTATCCCGTTTCCAACGAAATCCTCAGAGAGGTCCAAATATCTACTTGCAGTTTCTACAGAAAGACCGTTTCAAACCTGAACTATCAAAGAAAGGTTCAACACTGTGAGTTGAATGCAAACATCACGAAGAAGGTTCTGAGAATGCTTCTGTTTAGTTCTGTGCAGTTTATCCCGTTTCCAACGAAATGCTCAGAGAGGACCAAATATCCACTTGCAGTTTCTACAAAAAGAGTGTTTCAAAGCTGAACTATCAAAGAAAGGTTCAGCACTGTGAGTTGAATGCAAACATCACGAAGAGGGTTCTGAGAATGCTTCTGTCTTCTTTTTATAGGAAGTTATTTCCTTTACTACGGTACTCCTCAAAGAGTGCAATTATCCCCTTGCAGTTTCTACAAAAAGAGTGTTTCAAACCTGAACTATCAAAGAAAGGTTCCACACTGTGAGTTGAATGCAGACATCACGAAGAAGGTTCTGAGAATGCTTCTGTTTAGTCAGCTGAAATTATCCCGTTTCCAACGAATTCCTCACAGAGGTCCAAATATGCACTTGCAGATTCTGCAGAAAGTGTGTTTCTAAACTGCTACATCGCAAGGAATGCTCAGCTCTGTGAGTTCAACTCAATCATCCCAAAGAATTTTCTGAGAAAGCTTCTGTCTAGATGTCATGTGAAGATATACCCGTTTCGAACGAAGGACACAGAGTGGTCCAAATATCCACTTGTAGATCCCGCAAAAAGAGTGTTTCAAACGTGAACTTTGAAAGGAAAGTTCAACTCGGGGATTTGAATGCAAACATCACAAAGAAGATTCTGAGACTGCTTCTGTATAGTTTTTATGTGAAGATGATTCCGTTTCCAACGAAATCTTCAAAGAGGTCTACATGTCCCCTTGCAGATGCCACAGAAAGAGAGTTTCAAAACTGCGCTCTCAAAAGGAGTGTTCAACTCCGTGAGTTGAATGCAGTCATCACAGAGAAGCTTCTGAGAATGCTTCTATCTAGTATTTAGGTGAAGATATTTCCTTTTCCACCACAAACCACAAAGCCCTCCAAACGTCCACTTGCAGATTCTAGAAAAAGAGTGTTTCATAGCTGCTCTTTCCAAAGGAAAGTTCAACTCTGGGAGTTGAATACAAACATCACCAAAAAGTTCCTGAGAATGCATCTGTCTAGTTTTTCTATGAAGCTATTCCCTTTACTACCATAGGCCTCAAAGCGCTCCAAATCTCCACTTGCACATTCCACAACAAGAGTGTTTCCAAACTGCTCTATCAATAGGAATGTTCAACTCTGTGAGGTGAATGCAATCATCACAAAGCAGTTTCTGAGAATGCTTCCGTTTAGTTAGGTGCAGTTATCCCGTTACCAACGAAATCCTCAGAGAGGTCCAAATATCCACTTGTAGATTCTACAAAAAGTGTGTCTCAAACCTGCTCCATCCAAAGGAATGTTCAGCTCTGTGAGATCAACTCAATCATCACAAAGTATTTTCTGAGAATGCTTCTGTCTAGATTTTATGCGAAGATGTACCCGTTTCGAACGAAGGCCACAGAGTGGTCCAAATATCCACTTGCAGATCCTACAAAAAGAGTGTTTCAAACCTGAACTATCAAAGGAAGGTTCAACTCTGGGATTTGAATGCAAACATCACCCAGAATTTTCTGACAATGCTTCTGTTTAGTTTTTATGTGAAGATATTCCCGTTTCCAAAGACATCTTCGGAGAGGTCCACATATCCACTTGCAGATTCCACAAAAAGAGAGTTTCAACACTGCTCTATCCATAGGAGGGTTCAACTCTGTGAGTTGAATGCAATCATCACAGAGAAGTTTCTGAGAAGGCATCTCTCCAGTTTTTATGTGACCATAATTCGTTTTCCACCACAGGCCTGAAAGCGCTCCAAATGTCCACTTGCAGACACTAAGAAAAGCATGTTTCAGAACTACTCTATGAAAAGCAACGTGAAACTCTGGGAGTTGAACACAAACATCACAGAGAAGTTTCTGAGAATGCTTCTGTTTAGCTTTTCTGTGAAGATTCTCCCGTTTCCAAAGAAATCTTCAAAGAGGTCGAAATATCCACTTGCAGATTCCACAGAAAGAGTGATTGGAAACTGCTGTTTGAAAAGGAATCTTCAACTCTGTGAGTTGAATGCAATCATCACAAAGAAGTTTCTGACAATGCTTCTATCTAGCTTTTACGGGAAGATAATTCCTTTTCCACCACAGGCCTCAAAGCTCCCCAAATGTCCACTTGCACATTCTGGAAAAAGAGTGTTTCAAAGCTTCTCTCTCGAAAGGAAAGTTCAACTCTGTGAGTTGAATGCAAGCATCACAAAGAAGTTTCTGAGAATGCTACTGTCTAGCTTTTATATGAAGCTATTTCCTTTACTACCATAGGCCTCAAAGCGGTCCATATCTCCACTTGCAGATTCTACACAAAGAGAGTTTCCAAACTGCTCTGTCAAAGGGAATGTTCAACTCTGTGACTTGAATGCAATCATCACAAAGTAGTTTCTGAGAATGCTTCTGTTTTAGTTCTGTGTGTTTTATCCCGTTTCCAACGAAATCCTCAGAGAGGCCCAAATATCCACTTGCAGATTCTACAAATAGTGTGTTTCGAAACTGCTCCATCCAAAGGAATGTTCAGCTCTGTGAGTTAAACTCAGTCGTCACCAAGAGTTTTCTGTGAATGCTTCTGTTTAGTTCTGTGCGGTTTATCCCTTTTCCAACGAAATCCTCAGAGAGGACCAAGTATCCACTTGCAGTTTCTACAAAAAGAGTGTTTCAAAGCTGAACTATCAAAGAAAGTTTCAGCACTGTGAGTTGAATGCAAACATCTCGAAGAGGGTTCTGAGAATGCTTCTGTCTTCTTTTTATAGGAAGTTATTTCCTTTACTACGGTAGGCCTCAAAGAAGTGCAATTATCCCCTTGCAGTCTCTACAAAAAGAGTGTTTCAAACCTGAACTATCAAAGAAAGGTTCCACACTGTGAGTTGAATGCAGACATCACGAAGAAGGTTCTGAGAATGCTTCTGTTTAGTCAGCTGAAATTATCCCGTTTCCAACGAATTCCTCAGAGAGGTCCAAATATGCACTTGCAGATTCTGCAGAAAGTGTGTTTCTAAACTGCTCCATCGCAAGGAATGTTCAGCTCTGTGAGTTCAACTCAATCATCCCAAAGAATTTTCTGAGAAAGCTTCTGTCTAGATGTCATGTGAAGATATACCCGTTTCGAACGAAGGACACAGAGTGGTCCAAATATCCACTTGTAGATCCTGCAAAAAGAGTGTTTCAAACGTGAACTTTGAAAGGAAAGTTCAACTCTGGGATTTGAATGCAAACATCACAAAGAAGATTCTGAGACTGCTTCTGTATAGTTTTTATGTGAAGATGATTCCGTTTCCAACGAAATCTTCAAAGAGGTCCACATGTCCCCTTGCGGATGCCACAGAAAGAGAGTTTCAAAACTGCGCTCTCAAAAGGAGTGTCCAACTCCGTGAGTTGAATGCAGTCATCACAGAGAAGCTTCTGAGAATGCTTCTCTCTAGTATTTAGGTGAAGATATATCCTTTTCCACCACAAACCACAAAGCCCTCCAAACGTCCACTTGCAGATTCTAGAAAAAGAGTGTTTCATAGCTGCTCTTTCCAAAGGAAAGTTCAACTCTGGGAGTTGAATACAAACATCACCAAAAAGTTCCTGAGAATGCATCTGTCTAGTTTTTCTATGAAGCTATTCCCTTTACTACCATAGGCCTCAAAGCGCTCCAAATCTCCATTTGCACATTCCACAACAAGAGTGTTTCCAAACTGCTCTATCAATAGGAATGTTCAACTCTGTGAGGTGAATGCAATCATCACAAAGCAGTTTCTGAGAATGCTTCCGTTCAGTTAGGTGCAGTTATCCCGTTTCCAACGAAATCCTCAGAGAGGTCCAAATATCCACTTGTAGATTCTACAAAAAGTGTGTCTCAAACCTGCTCCATCCAAAGGAATGTTCAGCTCTGTGATTTAAACTCAATCATCACAAAGTATTTTCTGAGAATGTTTCTGTCTAGATTTTATGCGAAGATATAGCCGTTTCGAACGAAGGCCACAGAGTGGTCCAAATATCCACTTGCAGATCCTACAAAAAGAGTGTTTCAAACCTGAACTATCAAAGGAAGGTTCAACTTCTGGGATTTGAATGCAAACATCACCAAGAAGTTTCTGAGAATGCTTCTGTTTAGTTTTTATGTGAAGATATTCCCGTTTCCAAAGACATCTTCGGAGAGGTCCACATATCCACTTGCAGATTCCACAAAAAGAGAGTTTCAACACTGCTCTATCCATAGGAGGGTTCAAATCTGTGAGTTGAATGCAATCATCACAGAGAAGTTTCTGAGAAGGCTTCTCTCCAGTTTTTATGTGACCATAATTCGTTTTCCACCACAGGCCTGAAAGCGCTCCAAATGTCCACTTGCAGACACTACGAAAAGCATGTTTCAGAACTACTCTATGAAAAGCAATGTGAAACTCTGGGAGTTGAACACAAACATCACAGAGAAGTTTCTGAGAAAGCTTCTGTTTAGCTTTTCTGTGAAGATTCTCCCGTTTCCAACGAAATCTTCAAAGAGGTCCAAATATCCACTTGCAGATTCCACAGAAAGAGTGATTGGAAACTGCTCTTTGAAAAGGAACCTTCAACTCTGTGAGTTGAATGCAATCATCACAAAGAAGTTTCTGACAATGCTTCTGTCTAGCTTTTACGGGAAGATAATTCCTTTTCCAACACAGGCCTCAAAGCCCTCCAAATGTCCACTTGCAGATTCTGGAAAAAGAGTGTTTCAAAGCTTCTCTCTCGAAAGGAAAGTTCAACTCTGTGAGTTGAATGCAAGCATCACAAAGAAGTTTCTGAGAATGCTACTGTCTAGCTTTTATATGAAGCTATTTCCTTTACTACCATAGGCCTCAAAGCGGTCCATATCTCCACTTGCAGATTCTACACAAAGAGAGTTTCCAAACTGCTCTGTCAAAGGGAATGTTCAACTCTGTGACTTGAATGCAATCATCACAAAGTAGTTTCTGAGAATGCTTCTGTTTTAGTTCTGTGCGTTTTATCCCGTTTCCAACGAAATCCTCAGAGAGGCCCAAATATCCACTTGCAGATTCTACAAATAGTGTGTTTCGAAACTGCTCCATCCAAAGGAATGTTCAGCTCTGTGAGTTAAACTCAGTCGTCAACAAGAGTTTTCTGTGAATGCTTCTGTTTAGTTCTGTGCGGTTTATCCCGTTTCCAACGAAATCCTCAGAGAGGACCAAATATCCACTTGCAGTTTCTACAAAAAGAGTGTTTCAAAGCTGCACTATCAAAGAAAGGTTCAGCACTGTGAGTTGAATGCAAACATCACGAAGAGGGCTCTGAGAATTCTTCTGTCTTCTTTCTATAGGAAGTTATTCCCTTTACTACGGTAGGCCTCAAAGAAGTGCAATTATCCCCTTGCAGTTTCTACAAAAAGAGTGTTTCAAACCTGAACTATCAAAGAAAGGTTCCACACTGTGAGTTGAATGCAGACATCACGAAGAAGGTTCTGAGAATGCTTCTGTTTAGTCAGCTGAAATTATCCCGTTTCCAACGAATTCCTCAGAGAGGTCCAAATATGCACTTGCAGATTCTGCAGAAAGTGTGTTTCTAAACTGCTACATCGCAAGGAATGTTCAGCTCTGTGAGTTCCACTCAATCATCCCAAAGAATTTTCTGAGAAAGCTTCTGTCTAGATGTCATGTGAAGATATACCCGTTTCGAACGAAGGACACAGAGTGGTCCAAATATCCACTTGTAGACCCTGCAAAAAGAGTGTTTCAAACGTGAACTTTGAAAGGAAAGTTCAACTCTGGGATTTGAATGCAAACATCACAAAGAAGATTCTGAGACTGCTTCTGTATAGTTTTTATGTGAAGATGATTCCGTTTCCAACGAAATCTTCAAAGAGGTCTACATGTCCCCTTGCAGATGCCACAGAAAGAGAGTTTCAAAACTGCGCTCTCAAAAGGAGTGTTCAACTCCGTGAGTTGAATGCAGTCATCACAGAGAAGCTTCTGAGAATGCTTCTATCTAGTATTTAGGTGAAGATATTTCCTTTTCCACCACAAACCACAAAGCCCTCCAAACGTCCACTTGCAGATTCTAGAAAAAGAGTGTTTCATAGCTGCTCTTTCCAAAGGAAAGTTCAACTCTGGGAGTTGAATACAAACATCACCAAAAAGTTCCTGAGAATGCATCTGTCTAGTTTTTCTATGAAGCTATTCCCTTTACTACCATAGGCCTCAAAGCGCTCCAAATCTCCACTTGCACATTCCACAACAAGAGTGTTTCCAAACTGCTCTATCAATAGGAATGTTCAACTCTGTGAGGTGAATGCAATCATCACAAAGCAGTTTCTGAGAATGCTTCCGTTTAGTTAGGTGCAGTTATCCCGTTTCCAACGAAATCCTCAGAGAGGTCGAAATATCCACTTGTAGATTCTACAAAAAGTGTGTCTCAAACCTGCTCCATCCAAAGGAATGTTCAGCTCTGTGAGTTCAACTCAATCATCACAAAGTATTTTCTGAGAATGCTTCTGTCTAGATTTTATGCGAAGATATACCCGTTTCGAACGAAGGCCACAGAGTGGTCCAAATAGCCACTTGCAGATCCTACAGAAAGAGTGTTTCAAACCTGAACTATCAAAGGAAGGTTCAACTCTGGGATTTGAATGCAAACATCACCAAGAAGTTTCTGAGAATGTCTGTTTAGTTTTTATGTGAAGATATTCCCGTTTCCAAAGACATCTTCGGAGAGGTCCACATATCCACTTGCAGATTCCACAAAAAGAGAGTTTCAACACTGCTCTATGCATAGGACGGTTCAACTCTGTGAGTTGAATGCAATCATCACAGAGAAGTTTCTGAGAAGGCTTCTCTCCAGTTTTTATGTGACCATAATTCGTTTTCCACCACAGGCCTGAAAGCGCTCCAAATGTCCACTTGCAGACACTACGAAAAGCATGTTTCAGAACTACTCTATGAAAAGCAACGTGAAACTCTGGGAGTTGAACACAAACATCACAGAGAAGTTTCTGAGAATGCTTCTGTTTTAGTTCTGTGCGTTTTATCCCGTTTCCAACGAAATCCTCAGAGAGGCCCAAATATCCACTTGCAGATTCCACAGAAAGAGTGATTGGAAACTGCTGTTTGAAAAGGAACCTTCAACTCTGTGAGTTGAATGCAATCATCACAAAGAAGTTTCTGACAATGCTTCTGTTTTAGTTCTGTGCGGTTTATCCCGTTTCCAACGAAATCCTCAGAGAGGACCAAACATCCACTTGCAGTTTCTACAAAAAGAGTGTTTCAAAGCTGCACTATCAAAGAAAGGTTCAGCACTGTGAGTTGAATGCAAACATCACGAAGAGGGCTCTGAGAATTCTTCTGTTTAGTTCTGTGCGGTTTATCCCGTTTCCAACGAAATCCTCAGAGAGGACCAAATATCCACTTGCAGTTTCTACAAGAAGAGTGTTTCAAAGCTGAACTATCAAAGAAAGGTTCAGCACTGTGAGTTGAATGCAAACATCACGAAGAGGGTTCTGAGAATGCTTCTGTCTTCTTTCTATAGGAAGTTATTTCCTTTACTACGGTAGGCCTCAAAGAAGTGCAATTATCCCCTTGCAGTTTCTACAAAAAGAGTGTTTCAAACCTGAACTATCAAAGAAAGGTTCCACACTGTGAGTTGAATGCAGACATCACGAAGAAGGTTCTGAGAATGCTTCTGTTTAGTCAGCTGAAATTATCCCGTTTCCAACGAATTCCTCAGAGAGGTCCAAATATGCACTTGCAGATTCTGCAGAAAGTGTGTTTCTAAACTGCTCCATCGCAAGGAATGTTCAGCTCTGTGAGTTCCACTCAATCATCCCAAAGAATTTTCTGAGAAAGCTTCTGTCTAGATGTCGTGTGAAGATATACCCGTTTCGAACGAAGGACACAGAGTGGTCCAAATATCCACTTGTAGATCCTGCAAAAAGAGTGTTTCAAACGTGAACTTTGAAAGGAAAGTTCAACTCTGGGATTTGAATGCAAACATCACAAAGAAGATTCTGAGACTGCTTCTGTATAGTTTTTATGTGAAGATGATTCCGTTTCCAACGAAATCTTCAAAGAGGTCTACATGTCCCCTTGCAGATGCCACAGAAAGAGAGTTTCAAAACTGCGCTCTCAAAAGGAGTGTTCAACTCCGTGAGTTGAATGCAGTCATCACAGAGAAGCTTCTGAGAATGCTTCTATCTAGTATTTAGGTGAAGATATTTCCTTTTCCACCACAAACCACAAAGCCCTCCAAACGTCCACTTGCAGATTCTAGAAAAAGAGTGTTTCATAGCTGCTCTTTCCAAAGGAAAGTTCAACTCTGGGAGTTGAACACAAACATCACCAAAAAATTCCTGAGAATGCATCTGTCTAGTTTTTCTATGAAGCTATTCCCTTTACTACCATAGGCCCCAAAGCGCTCCAAATCTCCACTTGCACATTCCACAAGAAGAGTGTTTCCAAACTGCTCTATCAATACGAATGTTCAACTCTGTGAGGTGAATGCAATCATCACAAAGCAGTTTCTGAGAATGCTTCCGTTTAGTTAGGTGCAGTTATCCCGTTTCCAACGAAATCCTCAGAGAGGTCCAAATATCCACTTGTAGATTCTACAAAAAGTGTGTCTCAAACCTGCTCCATCCAAAGGAATGGTCAGCTCTGTGATTTAAACTCAATCATCACAAAGTATTTTCTGAGAATGCTTCTGTCTAGATTTTATGCGAAGATATACCCGTTTCGAACGAAGGCCACAGAGTGGTCCAAATAGCCACTTGCAGATCCTACAGAAAGAGTGTTTCAAACCTGAACTATCAAAGGAAGGTTCAACTCTGGGATTTGAATGCAAACATCACCAAGAAGTTTCTGAGAATGCTTCTGTTTAGTTTTTATGTGAAGATATTCCCGTTTCCAAAGACATCTTCGGAGAGGTCCACATATCCACTTGCAGATTCCACAAAAAGAGAGTTTCAACACTGCTCTATCCATAGGAGGGTTCAACTCTGTGAGTTGAATGCAATCATCACAGAGAAGTTTCTGAGAAGGCTTCTCTCCAGTTTTTATGTGACCATAATTCGTTTTCCACCACAGGCCTGAAAGCGCTCCAAATGTCCACTTGCAGACACTACGAAAAGCATGTTTCAGAACTACTCTATGAAAAGCAACGTGAAACTCTGGGAGTTGAACACAAACATCACAGAGAAGTTTCTGAGAATGCTTCTGTTTTAGTTCTGTGCGTTTTATCCCGTTTCCAACGAAATCCTCAGAGAGGCCCAAATATCCACTTGCAGATTCCACAGAAAGAGTGATTGGAAACTGCTGTTTGAAAAGGAACCTTCAACTCTGTGAGTTGAATGCAATCATCACAAAGAAGTTTCTGACAATGCTTCTGTTTTAGTTCTGTGCGGTTTATCCCGTTTCCAACGAAATCCTCAGAGAGGACCAAACATCCACTTGCAGTTTCTACAAAAAGAGTGTTTCAAAGCTGCACTATCAAAGAAAGGTTCAGCACTGTGAGTTGAATGCAAACATCACGAAGAGGGCTCTGAGAATTCTTCTGTTTAGTTCTGTGCGGTTTATCCCGTTTCCAACGAAATCCTCAGAGAGGACCAAATATCCACTTGCAGTTTCTACAAGAAGAGTGTTTCAGAGCTGAACTATCAAAGAAAGGTTCAGCACTGTGAGTTGAATGCAAACATCACGAAGAGGGTTCTGAGAATGTTTCTGTCTTCTTTCTATAGGAAGTTATTTCCTTTACTACGGTAGGCCTCAAAGAAGTGCAATTATCCCCTTGCAGTTTCTACAAAAAGAGTGTTTCAAACCTGAACTATCAAAGAAAGGTTCCACACTGTGAGTTGAATGCAGACATCACGAAGAAGGTTCTGAGAATGCTTCTGTTTAGTCAGCTGAAATTATCCCGTTTCCAACGAATTCCTCAGAGAGGTCCACATATGCACTTGCAGATTCTGCAGAAAGTGTGTTTCTAAACTGCTACATCGCAAGGAATGTTCAGCTCTGTGAGTTCCACTCAATCATCCCAAAGGATTTTCTGAGAAAGCTTCTGTCTAGATGTCATGTGAAGATATACCCGTTTCGAACGAAGGACACAGAGTGGTCCAAATATCCACTTGTAGATCCTGCAAAAAGAGTGTTTCAAACGTGAACTTTGAAAGGCAAGTTCAACTCTGGGATTTGAATGCAAACATCACAAAGAAGATTCTGAGACTGCTTCTGTATAGTTTTTATGTGAAGATGATTCCGTTTCCAACGAAATCTTCAAAGAGGTCTACATGTCCCCTTGCAGATGCCACAGAAAGAGAGTTTCAAAACTGCGCTCTCAAAAGGAGTGTTCAACTCCGTGAGTTGAATGCAGTCATCACAGAGAAGCTTCTGAGAATGCTTCTATCTAGTATTTAGGTGAAGATATTTCCTTTTCCACCACAAACCACAAAGCCCTCCAAACGTCCACTTGCAGATTCTAGAAAAAGAGTGTTTCATAGCTGCTCTTTCCAAAGGAAAGTTCAACTCTGGGAGTTGAATACAAACATCACCAAAAAGTTCCTGAGAATGCATCTGTCTAGTTTTTCTATGAAGCTATTCCCTTTACTACCACAGGCCTCAAAGCGCTCCAAATCTCCACTTGCACATTCCACAACAAGAGTGTTTCCAAACTGCTCTATCAATAGGAATGTTCAACTCTGTGAGGTGAATGCAATCATCACAAAGCAGTTTCTGAGAATGCTTCCGTTTAGTTAGGTGCAGTTATCCCGTTTCCAACGAAATCCTCAGAGAGGTCCAAATATCCACTTGTAGATTCTACAAAAAGTGTGTCTCAAACCTGCTCCATCCAAAGGAATGGTCAGCTCTGTGATTTAAACTCAATCATCACAAAGTATTTTCTGAGAATGCTTCTGTCTAGATTTTATGCGAAGATATACCCGTTTCGAACGAAGGCCACAGAGTGGTCCAAATAGCCACTTGCAGATCCTACAGAAAGAGTGTTTCAAACCTGAACTATCAAAGGAAGGTTCAACTCTGGGATTTGAATGCAAACATCACCAAGAAGTTTCTGAGAATGCTTCTGTTTAGTTTTTATGTGAAGATATTCCCGTTTCCAAAGACATCTTCGGAGAGGTCCACATATCCACTTGCAGATTCCACAAAAAGAGAGTTTCAACACTGCTCTATCCATAGGAGGGTTCAACTCTGTGAGTTGAATGCAATCATCACAGAGAAGTTTCTGAGAAGGCTTCTCTCCAGTTTTTATGTGACCATAATTCGTTTTCCACCACAGGCCTGAAAGCGCTCCAAATGTCCACTTGCAGACACTACGAAAAGCATGTTTCAGAACTACTCTATGAAAAGCAACGTGAAACTCTGGGAGTTGAACACAAACATCACAGAGAAGTTTCTGAGAATGCTTCTGTTTAGCTTTTCTGTGAAGATTATCCCGTTTCCAACGAAATCTTCAAAATAGGTCCAAATATCCACTTGCAGATTCCACAGAAAGAGTGATTGGAAACTGCTGTTTGAAAAGGAACCTTCAACTCTGTGAGTTGAATGCAATCATCACAAAGAAGTTTCTGACAATGCTTCCATCTAGCTTTTACGGGAAGATAATTCCTTTTCCACCACAGGCCTCAAAGCCCTCCAAATGTCCACTTGCAGATTCTGGAAAAAGAGTGTTTCAAAGCTTCTCTCTCGAAAGGAAAGTTCAACTCTGTGAGTTGAATGCAAGCATCACAAAGAAGTTTCTGAGAATGCTACTGTCTAGCTTTTATATGAAGCTATTTCCTTTACTACCATAGGCCTCAAAGCGGTCCATATCTCCACTTGCAGATTCTACACAAAGAGAGTTTCCAAACTGCTGTGTCAAAGGGAATGTTCAACTCTGTGACTTGAATGCTATCATCACAAAGTAGTTTCTGAGAATGCTTCTGTTTAGTTCTGTGCGGTTTATCCCGTTTCCAATGAAATCCTCAGAGAGGCCCAAATATCCACTTGCACATTCTACAAATAGTGTGTTTTGAAACTGCTCCATCCAAAGGAATGTTCAGCTCTGTGAGTTAAACTCAGTCGTCACCAAGAGTTTTCTGTGAATGCTTCTGTTTTAGTTCTGTGCGGTTTATCCCGTTTCCAACGAAATCCTCAGAGAGGTCCAAATATCTACTTGCAGTTTCTACAGAAAGACCGTTTCCAACCTGAACTATCAAAGAAAGGTTCAACACTGTGAGTTGAATGCAAACATCACGAAGAAGGTTCTGAGAATGCTTCTGTTTTATTTCTGTGCGGTTTATCCCGTTTCCAACGAAATCCTCAGAGAGGACCAAATATCCACTTGCAGTTTCTACAAAAAGAGTGTTTCAAAGCTGCACTATCAAAGAAAGGTTCAGCACTGTGAGTTGAATGCAAACATCACGAAGAGGGCTCTGAGAATTCTTCTGTTTAGTTCTGTGCGGTTTATCCCGTTTCCAACGAAATCCTCAGAGAGGACCAAATATCCACTTGCAGTTTCTACAAGAAGAGTGTTTCAAAGCTGAACTATCAAAGAAAGGTTCAGCACTGTGAGTTGAATGCAAACATCACGAAGAGGGTTCTGAGAATGCTTCTGTCTTCTTTCTATAGGAAGTTATTTCCTTTACTACGGTAGGCCTCAAAGAAGTGCAATTATCCCCTTGCAGTTTCTACAAAAAGAGTGTTTCAAACCTGAACTATCAAAGAAAGGTTCCACACTGTGAGTTGAATGCAGACATCACGAAGAAGGTTCTGAGAATGCTTCTGTTTAGTCAGCTGAAATTATCCCGTTTCCAACGAATTCCTCAGAGAGGTCCAAATATGCACTTGCAGATTCTGCAGAAAGTGTGTTTCTAAACTGCTCCATCGCAAGGAATGTTCAGCTCTGTGAGTTCCACTCAATCATCCCAAAGAATTTTCTGAGAAAGCTTCTGTCTAGATGTCGTGTGAAGATATACCCGTTTCGAACGAAGGACACAGAGTGGTCCAAATATCCACTTGTAGATCCTGCAAAAAGAGTGTTTCAAACGTGAACTTTGAAAGGAAAGTTCAACTCTGGGATTTGAATGCAAACATCACAAAGAAGATTCTGAGACTGCTTCTGTATAGTTTTTATGTGAAGATGATTCCGTTTCCAACGAAATCTTCAAAGAGGTCTACATGTCCCCTTGCAGATGCCACAGAAAGAGAGTTTCAAAACTGCGCTCTCAAAAGGAGTGTTCAACTCCGTGAGTTGAATGCAGTCATCACAGAGAAGCTTCTGAGAATGCTTCTATCTAGTATTTAGGTGAAGATATTTCCTTTTCCACCACAAACCACAAAGCCCTCCAAACGTCCACTTGCAGATTCTAGAAAAAGAGTGTTTCATAGCTGCTCTTTCCAAAGGAAAGTTCAACTCTGGGAGTTGAATACAAACATCACCAAAAAGTTCCTGAGAATGCATCTGTCTAGTTTTTCTATGAAGCTATTCCCTTTACTACCATAGGCCTCAAAGCGCTCCAAATCTCCACTTGCACATTCCACAACAAGAGTGTTTCCAAACTGCTCTATCAATAGGAATGTTCAACTCTGTGAGGTGAATGCAATCATCACAAAGCAGTTTCTGAGAATGCTTCCGTTTAGATAGGTGCAGTTATCCCGTTTCCAACGAAATCCTCAGAGAGGTCCAAATATCCACTTGTAGATTCTACAAAAAGTGTGTCTCAAACCTGCTCCATCCAAAGGAATGTTCAGCTCTGTGAGTTAAACTCAATCATCACAAAGTATTTTCTGAGAATGCTTCTGTCTAGATTTTATGCGAAGATATACCCGTTTCGAACGAAGGCCACAGAGTGGTCCAAATATCCACTTGCAGATCCTACAAAAAGAGTGTTTCAAACCTGAACTATCAAAGGAAGGTTCGACTCTGGGATTTGAATGCAAACATCACCAAGAAGTTCCTGAGAATGCTTCTGTTTAGTTTTTATGTGAAGATATTCCCGTTTCCAAAGACATCTTCGGAGAGGTCCACATATCCACTTGCAGATTCCACAAAAAGAGAGTTTCAACACTGCTCTATCCATAGGAGGGTTCAACTCTGTGAGTTGAATGCAATCATCACAGAGAAGTTTCTGAGAAGGCTTCTCTCCAGTTTTTATGTGACCATAATTCGTTTTCCACCACAGGCCTGAAAGCGCTCCAAATGTCCACTTGTAGACACTACGAAAAGCATGTTTCAGAACTACTCTATGAAAAGCAATGTGAAACTCTGGGAGTTGAACACAAACATCACAGAGAAGTTTCTGAGAATGCTTCTGTTTAGCTTTTCTGTGAAGATTCTCCCGTTTCCAACGAAATCTTCAAAGAGGTCGAAATATCCACTTGCAGATTCCACAGAAAGAGTGATTGGAAACTGCTGTTTGAAAAGGAACCTTCAACTCTGTGAGTTGAATGCAATCATCTCAAAGAAGTTTCTGACAATGCTTCTATCTAGCTTTTACGGGAAGATAATTCCTTTTCCACCACAGGCCTCAAAGCTCCCCAAATGTCCACTTGCACATTCTGGAAAAAGAGTGTTTCAAAGCTTCTCTCTCGAAAGGAAAGTTCAACTCTGTGAGTTGAATGCAAGCATCACAAAGACGTTTCTTAGAATGCTACTGTCTAGCTTTTATATGAAGCTATTTCCTTTACTACCATAGGCCTCAAAGCGGTCCATATCTCCACTTGCAGATTCTACACAAAGAGAGTTTCCAAACTGTTCTGTCAAAGGGAATGTTCAACTCTGTGACTTGAATGCAATCATCACAAAGTAGTTTCTGAGAATGCTTCTGTTTTAGTTCTATGCGTTTTATCCCGTTTCCAACGAAATCCTCAGAGAGGCCCAAATATCCACTTGCAGATTCTACAAATAGTGTGTTTCGAAACTGCTCCATCCAAAGGAATGTTCAGCTCTGTGAGTTAAACTCAGTCGTCACCAAGAGTTTTCTGTGAATGCTTCTGTTTTAGTTCTGTGCGGTTTATCCCGTTTCCAACGAAATCCTCAGAGAGGACCAAATATCCACTTGCAGTTTCTACAAAAAGAGTGTTTCAAAGCTGCACTATCAAAGAAAGGTTCAGCACTGTGAGTTGAATGCAAACATCACGAAGAGGGCTCTGAGAATTCTTCTGTTTAGTTCTGTGCGGTTTATCCCGTTTCCAACGAAATCCTCAGAGAGGACCAAATATCCACTTGCAGTTTCTAAAAGAAGAGTGTTTCAAAGCTGAACTATCAAAGAAAGGTTCAGCACTGTGAGTTGAATGCAAACATCACGAAGAGGGTTCTGAGAATGCTTCTGTCTTCTTTCTATAGGAAGTTATTTCCTTTACTACGGTAGGCCTCAAAGAAGTGCAATTATCCCCTTGCAGTTTCTACAAAAAGAGTGTTTCAAACCTGAACTATCAAAGAAAGGTTCCACACTGTGAGTTGAATGCAGACATCACGAAGAAGGTTCTGAGAATGCTTCTGTTTAGTCAGCTGAAATTATCCCGTTTCCAACGAATTCCTCAGAGAGGTCCAAATATGCACTTGCAGATTCTGCAGAAAGTGTGTTTCTAAACTGCTACATCGCAAGGAATGTTCAGCTCTGTGAGTTCCACTCAATCATCCCAAAGAATTTTCTGAGAAAGCTTCTGTCTAGATGTCGTGTGAAGATATACCCGTTTCGAACGAAGGACACAGAGTGGTCCAAATATCCACTTGTAGATCCTGCAAAAAGAGTGTTTCAAACGTGAACTTTGAAAGGAAAGTTCAACTCTGGGATTTGAATGCAAACATCACAAAGAAGATTCTGAGACTGCTTCTGTATAGTTTTTATGTGAAGATGATTCCGTTTCCAACGAAATCTTCAAAGAGGTCTACATGTCCCCTTGCAGATGCCACAGAAAGAGAGTTTCAAAACTGCGCTCTCAAAAGGAGTGTTCAACTCCGTGAGTTGAATGCAGTCATCACAGAGAAGCTTCTGAGAATGCTTCTATCTAGTATTTAGGTGAAGATATTTCCTTTTCCACCACAAACCACAAAGCCCTCCAAACGTCCACTTGCAGATTCTAGAAAAAGAGTGTTTCATAGCTGCTCTTTCCAAAGGAAAGTTCAACTCTGGGAGTTGAATACAAACATCACCAAAAAGTTCCTGAGAATGCATCTGTCTAGTTTTTCTATGAAGCTATTCCCTTTACTACCATAGGCCTCAAAGCGCTCCAAATCTCCACTTGCACATTCCACAACAAGAGTGTTTCCAAACTGCTCTATCAATAGGAATGTTCAACTCTGTGAGGTGAATGCAATCATCACAAAGCAGTTTCTGAGAATGCTTCCGTTTAGTTAGGTGCAGTTATCCCGTTTCCAACGAAATCCTCAGAGAGGTCCAAATATCCACTTGTAGATTCTACAAAAAGTGTGTCTCAAACCTGCTCCATCCAAAGGAATGGTCAGCTCTGTGATTTAAACTCAATCATCACAAAGTATTTTCTGAGAATGCTTCTGTCTAGATTTTATGCGAAGATATACCCGTTTCGAACGAAGGCCACAGAGTGGTCCAAATAGCCACTTGCAGATCCTACAGAAAGAGTGTTTCAAACCTGAACTATCAAAGGAAGGTTCAACTCTGGGATTTGAATGCAAACATCACCAAGAAGTTTCTGAGAATGCTTCTGTTTAGTTTTTATGTGAAGATATTCCCGTTTCCAAAGACATCTTCGGAGAGGTCCACATATCCACTTGCAGATTCCACAAAAAGAGAGTTTCAACACTGCTCTATCCATAGGAGGGTTCAACTCTGTGAGTTGAATGCAATCATCACAGAGAAGTTTCTGAGAAGGCTTCTCTCCAGTTTTTATGTGACCATAATTCGTTTTCCACCACAGGCCTGAAAGCGCTCCAAATGTCCACTTGCAGACACTACGAAAAGCATGTTTCAGAACTACTCTATGAAAAGCAACGTGAAACTCTGGGAGTTGAACACAAACATCACAGAGAAGTTTCTGAGAATGCTTCTGTTTTAGTTCTGTGCGTTTTATCCCGTTTCCAACGAAATCCTCAGAGAGGCCCAAATATCCACTTGCAGATTCCACAGAAAGAGTGATTGGAAACTGCTGTTTGAAAAGGAACCTTCAACTCTGTGAGTTGAATGCAATCATCACAAAGAAGTTTCTGACAATGCTTCTGTTTTAGTTCTGTGCGGTTTATCCCGTTTCCAACGAAATCCTCAGAGAGGACCAAACATCCACTTGCAGTTTCTACAAAAAGAGTGTTTCAAAGCTGCACTATCAAAGAAAGGTTCAGCACTGTGAGTTGAATGCAAACATCACGAAGAGGGCTCTGAGAATTCTTCTGTCTTCTTTCTATAGGAAGTTATTTCCTTTACTACGGTAGGCCTCAAAGAAGTGCAATTATCCCCTTGCAGTTTCTACAAAAAGAGTGTTTCAAACCTGAACTATCAAAGAAAGGTTCAGCACTGTGAGTTGAATGCAAACATCACGAAGAGGGTTCTGAGAATGCTTCTGTTTAGTCAGCTGAAATTATCCCGTTTCCAACGAATTCCTCAGAGAGGTCCAAATATGCACTTGCAGATTCTGCAGAAAGTGTGTTTCTAAACTGCTCCATCGCAAGGAATGTTCAGCTCTGTGAGTTCCACTCAATCATCCCAAAGAATTTTCTGAGAAAGCTTCTGTCTAGATGTCATGTGAAGATATACCCGTTTCGAACGAAGGACACAGAGTGGTCCAAATATCCACTTGTAGATCCTGCAAAAAGAGTGTTTCAAACGTGAACTTTGAAAGGAAATTCAACTCTGGGATTTGAATGCAAACATCACAAAGAAGATTCTGAGACTGCTTCTGTATAGTTTTTATGTGAAGATGATTC
Source organism: Homo sapiens (assembly GCF_000001405.40). NCBI lineage: Eukaryota > Metazoa > Chordata > Mammalia > Primates > Hominidae > Homo > Homo sapiens. The sequence continues at coordinate 23,728,229 of NC_000017.11, read as the reverse complement.
CGTTTCCAACGAAATCTTCAGAGAGGTCTACATGTCCCCTTGCAGATGCCACAGAAAGAGAGTTTCAAAACTGCACTCTCAAAAGGAGTGTTCAACTCCGTGAGTTGAATGCAGTCATCACAGAGAAGCTTCTGAGAATGCTTCTATCTAGTATTTAGGTGAAGATATTTCCTTTTCCACCACAAACCACAAAGCCCTCCAAACGTCCACTTGCAGATTCTACAAAAAGTGTTTCATAGCTGCTCTTTCCAAAGGAAAGTTCAACTCTGGGAGTTGAATACAAACATCACCAAAAAGTTCCTGAGAATGCATCTGTCTAGTTTTTCTATGAAGCTATTCCCTTTACTACCATAGGCCTCAAAGCGCTCCAAATCTCCACTTGCACATTCCACAACAAGAGTGTTTCCAAACTGCTCTATCAATAGGAATGTTCAACTCTGTGAGGTGAATGCAATCATCACAAAGCAGTTTCTGAGAATGCTTCCGTTTAGTTAGGTGCAGTTATCGCGTTTCCAACGAAATCCTCAGAGAGGTCCAAATATCCACTTGTAGATTCTACAAAAAGTGTGTCTCAAACCTGCTCCATCCAAAGGAATGTTCAGCTCTGTGAGTTAAACTCAATCATCACAAAGTATTTTCTGAGAATGCTTCTGTCTAGATTTTATGCGAAGATGTACCCGTTTCGAACAAAGGCCACAGAGTGGTCCAAATATCCACTTGCAGATCCTACAAAAAGAGTGTTTCAAACCTGAACTATCAAAGGAAGGTTCAACTCTGGGATTTGAATGCAAACATCACCAAGAAGTTTCTGAGAATGCTCTGTTTAGTTTTTATGTGAAGATATTCCCGTTTCCAAAGACATCTTCGGAGAGGTCCACATATCCACTTGCAGATTCCACAAAAAGAGAGTTTCAACACTGCTCTATCCATAGGAGGGTTCAACTCTGTGAGTTGAATGCAATCATCACAGAGAAGTTTCTGAGAAGGCTTTCTCTCCAGTTTTTATGTGACCATAATTCGTTTTCCACCACAGGCCTGAAAGCGCTCCAAATGTCCACTTGCAGACACTACGAAAAGCATGTTTCAGAACTACTCTATGAAAAGCAACGTGAAACTCTGGGAGTTGAACACAAACATCACAGAGAAGTTTCTGAGAATGCTTCTGTTTTAGTTCTGTGCGTTTTATCCCGTTTCCAACGAAATCCTCAGAGAGGCCCAAATATCCACTTGCAGATTCCACAGAAAGAGTGATTGGAAACTGCTGTTTGAAAAGGAACCTTCAACTCTGTGAGTTGAATGCAATCATCACAAAGAAGTTTCTGACAATGCTTCTGTTTTAGTTCTGTGCGGTTTATCCCGTTTCCAACGAAATCCTCAGAGAGGACCAAACATCCACTTGCAGTTTCTACAAAAAGAGTGTTTCAAAGCTGCACTATCAAAGAAAGGTTCAGCACTGTGAGTTGAATGCAAACATCACGAAGAGGGCTCTGAGAATTCTTCTGTTTAGTTCTGTGCGGTTTATCCCGTTTCCAACGAAATCCTCAGAGAGGACCAAATATCCACTTGCAGTTTCTACAAGAAGAGTGTTTCAAAGCTGAACTATCAAAGAAAGGTTCAGCACTGTGAGTTGAATGCAAACATCACGAAGAGGGTTCTGAGAATGCTTCTGTCTTCTTTCTATAGGAAGTTATTTCCTTTACTACGGTAGGCCTCAAAGAAGTGCAATTATCCCCTTGCAGTTTCTACAAAAAGAGTGTTTCAAACCTGAACTATCAAAGAAAGGTTCCACACTGTGAGTTGAATGCAGACATCACGAAGAAGGTTCTGAGAATGCTTCTGTTTAGTCAGCTGAAATTATCCCGTTTCCAACGAATTCCTCAGAGAGGTCCAAATATGCACTTGCAGATTCTGCAGAAAGTGTGTTTCTAAACTGCTCCATCGCAAGGAATGTTCAGCTCTGTGAGTTCCACTCAATCATCCCAAAGAATTTTCTGAGAAAGCTTCTGTCTAGATGTCGTGTGAAGATATACCCGTTTCGAACGAAGGACACAGAGTGGTCCAAATATCCACTTGTAGATCCTGCAAAAAGAGTGTTTCAAACGTGAACTTTGAAAGGAAAGTTCAACTCTGGGATTTGAATGCAAACATCACAAAGAAGATTCTGAGACTGCTTCTGTATAGTTTTTATGTGAAGATGATTCCGTTTCCAACGAAATCTTCAAAGAGGTCTACATGTCCCCTTGCAGATGCCACAGAAAGAGAGTTTCAAAACTGCGCTCTCAAAAGGAGTGTTCAACTCCGTGAGTTGAATGCAGTCATCACAGAGAAGCTTCTGAGAATGCTTCTATCTAGTATTTAGGTGAAGATATTTCCTTTTCCACCACAAACCACAAAGCCCTCCAAACGTCCACTTGCAGATTCTAGAAAAAGAGTGTTTCATAGCTGCTCTTTCCAAAGGAAAGTTCAACTCTGGGAGTTGAATACAAACATCACCAAAAAGTTCCTGAGAATGCATCTGTCTAGTTTTTCTATGAAGCTATTCCCTTTACTACCATAGGCCTCAAAGCGCTCCAAATCTCCACTTGCACATTCCACAACAAGAGTGTTTCCAAACTGCTCTATCAATAGGAATGTTCAACTCTGTGAGGTGAATGCAATCATCACAAAGCAGTTTCTGAGAATGCTTCCGTTTAGTTAGGTGCAGTTATCCCGTTTCCAACGAAATCCTCAGAGAGGTCCAAATATCCACTTGTAGATTCTACAAAAAGTGTGTCTCAAACCTGCTCCATCCAAAGGAATGGTCAGCTCTGTGATTTAAACTCAATCATCACAAAGTATTTTCTGAGAATGCTTCTGTCTAGATTTTATGCGAAGATATACCCGTTTCGAACGAAGGCCACAGAGTGGTCCAAATAGCCACTTGCAGATCCTACAGAAAGAGTGTTTCAAACCTGAACTATCAAAGGAAGGTTCAACTCTGGGATTTGAATGCAAACATCACCAAGAAGTTTCTGAGAATGCTTCTGTTTAGTTTTTATGTGAAGATATTCCCGTTTCCAAAGACATCTTCGGAGAGGTCCACATATCCACTTGCAGATTCCACAAAAAGAGAGTTTCAACACTGCTCTATCCATAGGAGGGTTCAACTCTGTGAGTTGAATGCAATCATCACAGAGAAGTTTCTGAGAAGGCTTCTCTCCAGTTTTTATGTGACCATAATTCGTTTTCCACCACAGGCCTGAAAGCGCTCCAAATGTCCACTTGCAGACACTACGAAAAGCATGTTTCAGAACTACTCTATGAAAAGCAACGTGAAACTCTGGGAGTTGAACACAAACATCACAGAGAAGTTTCTGAGAATGCTTCTGTTTTAGTTCTGTGCGTTTTATCCCGTTTCCAACGAAATCCTCAGAGAGGCCCAAATATCCACTTGCAGATTCCACAGAAAGAGTGATTGGAAACTGCTGTTTGAAAAGGAACCTTCAACTCTGTGAGTTGAATGCAATCATCACAAAGAAGTTTCTGACAATGCTTCTGTTTTAGTTCTGTGCGGTTTATCCCGTTTCCAACGAAATCCTCAGAGAGGACCAAACATCCACTTGCAGTTTCTACAAAAAGAGTGTTTCAAAGCTGCACTATCAAAGAAAGGTTCAGCACTGTGAGTTGAATGCAAACATCACGAAGAGGGCTCTGAGAATTCTTCTGTTTAGTTCTGTGCGGTTTATCCCGTTTCCAACGAAATCCTCAGAGAGGACCAAATATCCACTTGCAGTTTCTACAAGAAGAGTGTTTCAAAGCTGAACTATCAAAGAAAGGTTCAGCACTGTGAGTTGAATGCAAACATCACGAAGAGGGTTCTGAGAATGCTTCTGTCTTCTTTCTATAGGAAGTTATTTCCTTTACTACGGTAGGCCTCAAAGAAGTGCAATTATCCCCTTGCAGTTTCTACAAAAAGAGTGTTTCAAACCTGAACTATCAAAGAAAGGTTCCACACTGTGAGTTGAATGCAGACATCACGAAGAAGGTTCTGAGAATGCTTCTGTTTAGTCAGCTGAAATTATCCCGTTTCCAACGAATTCCTCAGAGAGGTCCAAATATGCACTTGCAGATTCTGCAGAAAGTGTGTTTCTAAACTGCTACATCGCAAGGGAATGTTCAGCTCTGTGAGTTCCACTCAATCATCCCAAAGAATTTTCTGAGAAAGCTTCTGTCTAGATGTCGTGTGAAGATATACCCGTTTCGAACGAAGGACACAGAGTGGTCCAAATATCCACTTGTAGATCCTGCAAAAAGAGTGTTTCAAACGTGAACTTTGAAAGGAAAGTTCAACTCTGGGATTTGAATGCAAACATCACAAAGAAGATTCTGAGACTGCTTCTGTATAGTTTTTATGTGAAGATGATTCCGTTTCCAACGAAATCTTCAAAGAGGTCTACATGTCCCCTTGCAGATGCCACAGAAAGAGAGTTTCAAAACTGCGCTCTCAAAAGGAGTGTTCAACTCCGTGAGTTGAATGCAGTCATCACAGAGAAGCTTCTGAGAATGCTTCTATCTAGTATTTAGGTGAAGATATTTCCTTTTCCACCACAAACCACAAAGCCCTCCAAACGTCCACTTGCAGATTCTAGAAAAAGAGTGTTTCATAGCTGCTCTTTCCAAAGGAAAGTTCAACTCTGGGAGTTGAATACAAACATCACCAAAAAGTTCCTGAGAATGCATCTGTCTAGTTTTTCTATGAAGCTATTCCCTTTACTACCATAGGCCTCAAAGCGCTCCAAATCTCCACTTGCACATTCCACAACAAGAGTGTTTCCAAACTGCTCTATCAATAGGAATGTTCAACTCTGTGAGGTGAATGCAATCATCACAAAGCAGTTTCTGAGAATGCTGCTTCCGTTTAGTTAGGTGCAGTTATCCCGTTTCCAACGAAATCCTCAGAGAGGTCCAAATATCCACTTGTAGATTCTACAAAAAGTGTGTCTCAAACCTGCTCCATCCAAAGGAATGGTCAGCTCTGTGATTTAAACTCAATCATCACAAAGTATTTTCTGAGAATGCTTCTGTCTAGATTTTATGCGAAGATATACCCGTTTCGAACGAAGGCCACAGAGTGGTCCAAATAGCCACTTGCAGATCCTACAGAAAGAGTGTTTCAAACCTGAACTATCAAAGGAAGGTTCAACTGCTGGGATTTGAATGCAAACATCACCAAGAAGTTTCTGAGAATGCTTCTGTTTAGTTTTTATGTGAAGATATTCCCGTTTCCAAAGACATCTTCGGAGAGGTCCACATATCCACTTGCAGGTTCCACAAAAAGAGAGTTTCAACACTGCTCTATCCATAGGAGGGTTCAACTCTGTGAGTTGAATGCAATCATCACAGAGAAGTTTCTGAGAAGGCTTCTCTCCAGTTTTTATGTGACCATAATTCGTTTTCCACCACAGGCCTGAAAGCGCTCCAAATGTCCACTTGCAGACACTACGAAAAGCATGTTTCAGAACTACTCTATGAAAAGCAACGTGAAACTCTGGGAGTTGAACACAAACATCACAGAGAAGTTTCTGAGAATGCTTCTGTTTTAGTTCTGTGCGTTTTATCCCGTTTCCAACGAAATCCTCAGAGAGGCCCAAATATCCACTTGCAGATTCCACAGAAAGAGTGATTGGAAACTGCTGTTTGAAAAGGAACCTTCAACTCTGTGAGTTGAATGCAATCATCACAAAGAAGTTTCTGACAATGCTTCTGTTTTAGTTCTGTGCGGTTTATCCCGTTTCCAACGAAATCCTCAGAGAGGACCAAACATCCACTTGCAGTTTCTACAAAAAGAGTGTTTCAAAGCTGCACTATCAAAGAAAGGTTCAGCACTGTGAGTTGAATGCAAACATCACGAAGAGGGCTCTGAGAATTCTTCTGTTTAGTTCTGTGCGGTTTATCCCGTTTCCAACGAAATCCTCAGAGAGGACCAAATATCCACTTGCAGTTTCTACAAGAAGAGTGTTTCAAAGCTGAACTATCAAAGAAAGGTTCAGCACTGTGAGTTGAATGCAAACATCACGAAGAGGGTTCTGAGAATGCTTCTGTCTTCTTTCTATAGGAAGTTATTTCCTTTACTACGGTAGGCCTCAAAGAAGTGCAATTATCCCCTTGCAGTTTCTACAAAAAGAGTGTTTCAAACCTGAACTATCAAAGAAAGGTTCCACACTGTGAGTTGAATGCAGACATCACGAAGAAGGTTCTGAGAATGCTTCTGTTTAGTCAGCTGAAATTATCCCGTTTCCAACGAATTCCTCGGAGAGGTCCAAATATGCACTTGCAGATTCTGCAGAAAGTGTGTTTCTAAACTGCTACATCGCAAGGAATGTTCAGCTCTGTGAGTTCCACTCAATCATCCCAAAGAATTTTCTGAGAAAGCTTCTGTCTAGATGTCATGTGAAGATATACCCGTTTCGAACGAAGGACACAGAGTGGTCCAAATATCCACTTGTAGATCCTGCAAAAAGAGTGTTTCAAACGTGAACTTTGAAAGGAAAGTTCAACTCGGGGATTTGAATGCAAACATCACAAAGAAGATTCTGAGACTGCTTCTGTATAGTTTTTATGTGAAGATGATTCCGTTTCCAACGAAATCTTCAAAGAGGTCTACATGTCCCCTTGCAGATGCCACAGAAAGAGAGTTTCAAAACTGCGCTCTCAAAAGGAGTGTTCAACTCCGTGAGTTGAATGCAGTCATCACAGAGAAGCTTCTGAGAATGCTTCTATCTAGTATTTAGGTGAAGATATTTCCTTTTCCACCACAAACCACAAAGCCCTCCAAACGTCCACTTGCAGATTCTAGAAAAACAGTGTTTCATAGCTGCTCTTTCCAAAGGAAAGTTCAACTCTGGGAGTTGAATACAAACATCACCAAAAAGTTCCTGAGAATGCATCTGTCTAGTTTTTCTATGAAGCTATTCCCTTTACTACCATAGGCCTCAAAGCGCTCCAAATCTCCACTTGCACATTCCACAACAAGAGTGTTTCCAAACTGCTCTATCAATAGGAATGTTCAACTCTGTGAGGTGAATGCAATCATCACAAAGCAGTTTCTGAGAATGCTTCCGTTTAGTTAGGTGCAGTTATCCCGTTTCCAACGAAATCCTCAGAGAGGTCCAAATATCCACTTGTAGATTGTACAAAAGGTGTGTCTCAAACCTGCTCCATCCAAAGGAATGTTCAGCTCTGTGAGTTAAACTCAATCATCACAAAGTATTTTCTGAGAATGCTTCTGTCTAGATTTTATGCGAAGATATACCCGTTTCGAACGAAGGCCACAGAGTGGTCCAAATATCCACTTGCAGATCCTACAAAAAGAGTGTTTCAAACCTGAACTATCAAAGGAAGGTTCAACTCTGGGATTTGAATGCAAACATCACCAAGAAGTTTCTGAGAATGCTTCTGTTTAGTTTTTATGTGAAGATATTCCCGTTTCCAAAGACATCTTCGGAGAGGTCCACATATCCACTTGCAGATTCCACAAAAAGAGAGTTTCAACACTGCTCTATCCATAGGAGGGTTCAACTCTGTGAGTTGAATGCAATCATCACAGAGAAGTTTCTGAGAAGGCTTCTCTCCAGTTTTTATGTGACCATAATTCGTTTTCCACCACAGGCCTGAAAGCGCTCCAAATGTCCACTTGTAGACACTACGAAAAGCATGTTTCAGAACTACTCTATGAAAAGCAATGTGAAACTCTGGGAGTTGAACACAAACATCACAGAGAAGTTTCTGAGAATGCTTCTGTTTAGCTTTCCTGTGAAGATTCTCCCGTTTCCAACGAAATCTTCAAAATAGGTCCAAATATCCACTTGCAGATTCCACACAAAGAGTGATTGGAAACTGCTCTTTGAAAAGGAACCTTCAACTCTGTGAGTTGAATGCAATCATCACAAAGAAGTTTCTGACAATGCTTCTATCTAGCTTTTACGGGAAGATAATTCCTTTTCCACCACAGGCCTCAAAGCCCTCCAAATGTCCACTTGCAGATTCTGGAAAAAGAGTGTTTCAAAGCTTCTCTCTCGAAAGGAAAGTTCAACTCTGTGAGTTGAATGCAAGCATCACAAAGAAGTTTCTGAGAATGCTACTGTCTAGCTTTTATATGAAGCTATTTCCTTTACTACCATAGGCCTCAAAGCGGTCCATATCTCCACTTGCAGATTCTACACAAAGAGAGTTTCCAAACTGCTCTGTCAAAGGGAATGTTCAACTCTGTGACTTGAATGCAATCATCACAAAGTAGTTTCTGAGAATGCTTCTCTTTATTTCTGTGCGGTTTATCGCGTTTCCAACGAAATCCTCAGAGAGGCCCAAATATCCACTTGCACATTCTACAAATAGTGTGTTTCGAAACTGCTCCATCCAAAGGAATGTTCAGCTCTGTGAGTTAAACTCAGTCGTCACCAAGAGTTTTCTGTGAATGCTTCTGTTTTAGTTCTGTGCGGTTTATCCCGTTTCGAACGAAATCCTCAGAGAGGCCCACATATCCACTTGCAGATTCTACAAATAGTGTGTTTCGAAACTGTTCCATCCAAAGGAATGTTCAGCTCTGTGAGTTAAACTCAGTCGTCACCAAGAGTTTTCTGTGAATGCTTCTGTTTAGTTCTGTGCGGTTTATCCCGTTTCCAACGAAATCCTCAGAGAGGACCAAATATCCACTTGCAGTTTCTACAAAAAGAGTGTTTCAAAGCTGAACTATCAAAGAAAGGTTCAGCACTGTGAGTTGAATGCAAACATCACGAAGAGGGTCCTGAGAATGCTTCTGTCTTCTTTTTATAGGAAGTTATTTCCTTTACTACGGTAGGCCTCAAAGAAGTGCAATTATCCCCTTGCAGTTTCTACAAAAAGAGTGTTTCAAACCTGAACTATCAAAGAAAGGTTCCACACTGTGAGTTGAATGCAGACATCACGAAGAAGGTTCTGAGAATGCTTCTGTTTAGTCAGCTGAAATTATCCCGTTTCCAACGAATTCCTCAGAGAGGTCCAAATATGCACTTGCAGATTCTGCAGAAAGTGTGTTTCTAAACTGCTCCATCGCAAGGAATGTTCAGCTCTGTGAGTTCAACTCAATCATCCCAAAGGATTTTCTGAGAAAGTTTCTGTCTAGATGTCGTGTGAAGATATACCCGTTTCAAACGAAGGACACAGAGTGGTCCAAATATCCACTTGTAGATCCTGCAAAAAGAGTGTTTCAAACGTGAACTTTGAAAGGAAAGTTCAACTCTGGGATTTGAATGCTAACATCACAAAGAAGATTCTGAGACTGCTTCTGTATAGTTTTTATGTGAAGATGATTCCGTTTCCAACGAAATCTTCAAAGAGGTCTACATGTCCCCTTGCAGATGCCACAGAAAGAGAGTTTCAAAACTGCGCTCTCAAAAGGAGTGTTCAACTCCGTGAGTTGAATGCAGTCATCACAGAGAAGCTTCTGAGAATGCTTCTATCTAGTATTTAGGTGAAGATATTTCCTTTTCCACCACAAACCACAAAGCCCTCCAAACGTCCACTTGCAGATTCTAGAAAAAGAGTGTTTCATAGCTGCTCTTTCCAAAGGAAAGTTCAACTCTGGGAGTTGAATACAAACATCACCAAAAAGTTCCTGAGAATGCATCTGTCTAGTTTTTCTATGAAGCTATTCCCTTTACTACCATAGGCCTCAAAGCGCTCCAAATCTCCACTTGCACATTCCACAACAAGAGTGTTTCCAAACTGCTCTATCAATAGGAATGTTCAACTCTGTGAGGTGAATGCAATCATCACAAAGCAGTTTCTGAGAATGCTTCCGTTTAGTTAGGTGCAGTTATCCCGTTTCCAACGAAATCCTCAGAGAGGTCCAAATATCCACTTGTAGATTCTACAAAAAGTGTGTCTCAAACCTGCTCCATCCAAAGGAATGGTCAGCTCTGTGATTTAAACTCAATCATCACAAAGTATTTTCTGAGAATGCTTCTGTCTAGATTTTATGCGAAGATATACCCGTTTCGAACGAAGGCCACAGAGTGGTCCAAATAGCCACTTGCAGATCCTACAGAAAGAGTGTTTCAAACCTGAACTATCAAAGGAAGGTTCAACTCTGGGATTTGAATGCAAACATCACCAAGAAGTTTCTGAGAATGCTTCTGTTTAGTTTTTATGTGAAGATATTCCCGTTTCCAAAGACATCTTCGGAGAGGTCCACATATCCACTTGCAGATTCCACAAAAAGAGAGTTTCAACACTGCTCTATCCATAGGAGGGTTCAACTCTGTGAGTTGAATGCAATCATCACAGAGAAGTTTCTGAGAAGGCTTCTCTCCAGTTTTTATGTGACCATAATTCGTTTTCCACCACAGGCCTGAAAGCGCTCCAAATGTCCACTTGCAGACACTACGAAAAGCATGTTTCAGAACTACTCTATGAAAAGCAACGTGAAACTCTGGGAGTTGAACACAAACATCACAGAGAAGTTTCTGAGAATGCTTCTGTTTTAGTTCTGTGCGTTTTATCCCGTTTCCAACGAAATCCTCAGAGAGGCCCAAATATCCACTTGCAGATTCCACAGAAAGAGTGATTGGAAACTGCTGTTTGAAAAGGAACCTTCAACTCTGTGAGTTGAATGCAATCATCACAAAGAAGTTTCTGACAATGCTTCTGTTTTAGTTCTGTGCGGTTTATCCCGTTTCCAACGAAATCCTCAGAGAGGACCAAACATCCACTTGCAGTTTCTACAAAAAGAGTGTTTCAAAGCTGCACTATCAAAGAAAGGTTCAGCACTGTGAGTTGAATGCAAACATCACGAAGAGGGCTCTGAGAATGCTTCTGTTTAGTTCTGTGCGGTTTATCCCGTTTCCAACGAAATCCTCAGAGAGGACCAAATATCCACTTGCAGTTTCTACAAGAAGAGTGTTTCAAAGCTGAACTATCAAAGAAAGGTTCAGCACTGTGAGTTGAATGCAAACATCACGAAGAGGGTTCTGAGAATGCTTCTGTCTTCTTTCTATAGGAAGTTATTTCCTTTACTACGGTAGGCCTCAAAGAAGTGCAATTATCCCCTTGCAGTTTCTACAAAAAGAGTGTTTCAAACCTGAACTATCAAAGAAAGGTTCCACACTGTGAGTTGAATGCAGACATCACGAAGAAGGTTCTGAGAATGCTTCTGTTTAGTCAGCTGAAATTATCCCGTTTCCAACGAATTCCTCAGAGAGGTCCAAATATGCACTTGCAGATTCTGCAGAAAGTGTGTTTCTAAACTGCTACATCGCAAGGAATGTTCAGCTCTGTGAGTTCCACTCAATCATCCCAAAGAATTTTCTGAGAAAGCTTCTGTCTAGATGTCGTGTGAAGATATACCCGTTTCGAACGAAGGACACAGAGTGGTCCAAATATCCACTTGTAGATCCTGCAAAAAGAGTGTTTCAAACGTGAACTTTGAAAGGAAAGTTCAACTCTGGGATTTGAATGCAAACATCAAAAAGAAGATTCTGAGACTGCTTCTGTATAGTTTTTATGTGAAGATGATTCCGTTTCCAACGAAATCTTCAAAGAGGTCTACATGTCCCCTTGCAGATGCCACAGAAAGAGAGTTTCAAAACTGCGCTCTCAAAAGGAGTGTTCAACTCCGTGAGTTGAATGCAGTCATCACAGAGAAGCTTCTGAGAATGCTTCTATCTAGTATTTAGGTGAAGATATTTCCTTTTCCACCACAAACCACAAAGCCCTCCAAACGTCCACTTGCAGATTCTAGAAAAAGAGTGTTTCATAGCTGCTCTTTCCAAAGGAAAGTTCAACTCTGGGAGTTGAATACAAACATCACCAAAAAGTTCCTGAGAATGCATCTGTCTAGTTTTTCTATGAAGCTATTCCCTTTACTACCATAGGCCTCAAAGCGCTCCAAATCTCCACTTGCACATTCCACAACAAGAGTGTTTCCAAACTGCTCTATCAATAGGAATGTTCAACTCTGTGAGGTGAATGCAATCATCACAAAGCAGTTTCTGAGAATGCTTCCGTTTAGTTAGGTGCAGTTATCCCGTTTCCAACGAAATCCTCAGAGAGGTCCAAATATCCACTTGTAGATTCTACAAAAAGTGTGTCTCAAACCTGCTCCATCCAAAGGAATGGTCAGCTCTGTGATTTAAACTCAATCATCACAAAGTATTTTCTGAGAATGCTTCTGTCTAGATTTTATGCGAAGATATACCCGTTTCGAACGAAGGCCACAGAGTGGTCCAAATAGCCACTTGCAGATCCTACAGAAAGAGTGTTTCAAACCTGAACTATCAAAGGAAGGTTCAACTCTGGGATTTGAATGCAAACATCACCAAGAAGTTTCTGAGAATGCTTCTGTTTAGTTTTTATGTGAAGATATTCCCGTTTCCAAAGACATCTTCGGAGAGGTCCACATATCCACTTGCAGATTCCACAAAAAGAGAGTTTCAACACTGCTCTATCCATAGGAGGGTTCAACTCTGTGAGTTGAATGCAATCATCACAGAGAAGTTTCTGAGAAGGCTTCTCTCCAGTTTTTATGTGACCATAATTCGTTTTCCACCACAGGCCTGAAAGCGCTCCAAATGTCCACTTGCAGACACTACGAAAAGCATGTTTCAGAACTACTCTATGAAAAGCAACGTGAAACTCTGGGAGTTGAACACAAACATCACAGAGAAGTTTCTGAGAATGCTTCTGTTTTAGTTCTGTGCGTTTTATCCCGTTTCCAACGAAATCCTCAGAGAGGCCCAAATATCCACTTGCAGATTCCACAGAAAGAGTGATTGGAAACTGCTGTTTGAAAAGGAACCTTCAACTCTGTGAGTTGAATGCAATCATCACAAAGAAGTTTCTGACAATGCTTCTGTTTTAGTTCTGTGCGGTTTATCCCGTTTCCAACGAAATCCTCAGAGAGGACCAAACATCCACTTGCAGTTTCTACAAAAAGAGTGTTTCAAAGCTGCACTATCAAAGAAAGGTTCAGCACTGTGAGTTGAATGCAAACATCACGAAGAGGGCTCTGAGAATTCTTCTGTTTAGTTCTGTGCGGTTTATCCCGTTTCCAACGAAATCCTCAGAGAGGACCAAATATCCACTTGCAGTTTCTACAAGAAGAGTGTTTCAAAGCTGAACTATCAAAGAAAGGTTCAGCACTGTGAGTTGAATGCAAACATCACGAAGAGGGTTCTGAGAATGCTTCTGTCTTCTTTCTATAGGAAGTTATTTCCTTTACTACGGTAGGCCTCAAAGAAGTGCAATTATCCCCTTGCAGTTTCTACAAAAAGAGTGTTTCAAACCTGAACTATCAAAGAAAGGTTCCACACTGTGAGTTGAATGCAGACATCACGAAGAAGGTTCTGAGAATGCTTCTGTTTAGTCAGCTGAAATTATCCCGTTTCCAACGAATTCCTCAGAGAGGTCCAAATATGCACTTGCAGATTCTGCAGAAAGTGTGTTTCTAAACTGCTACATCGCAAGGAATGTTCAGCTCTGTGAGTTCCACTCAATCATCCCAAAGAATTTTCTGAGAAAGCTTCTGTCTAGATGTCGTGTGAAGATATACCCGTTTCGAACGAAGGACACAGAGTGGTCCAAATATCCACTTGTAGATCCTGCAAAAAGAGTGTTTCAAACGTGAACTTTGAAAGGAAAGTTCAACTCTGGGATTTGAATGCAAACATCACAAAGAAGATTCTGAGACTGCTTCTGTATAGTTTTTATGTGAAGATGATTCCGTTTCCAACGAAATCTTCAAAGAGGTCTACATGTCCCCTTGCAGATGCCACAGAAAGAGAGTTTCAAAACTGCGCTCTCAAAAGGAGTGTTCAACTCCGTGAGTTGAATGCAGTCATCACAGAGAAGCTTCTGAGAATGCTTCTATCTAGTATTTAGGTGAAGATATTTCCTTTTCCACCACAAACCACAAAGCCCTCCAAACGTCCACTTGCAGATTCTAGAAAAAGAGTGTTTCATAGCTGCTCTTTCCAAAGGAAAGTTCAACTCTGGGAGTTGAATACAAACATCACCAAAAGGTTCCTGAGAATGCATCTGTCTAGTTTTTCTATGAAGCTATTCCCTTTACTACCACAGGCCTCAAAGCGCTCCAAATCTCCACTTGCACATTCCACAACAAGAGTGTTTCCAAACTGCTCTATCAATAGGAATGTTCAACTCTGTGAGGTGAATGCAATCATCACAAAGCAGTTTCTGAGAATGCTTCCGTTTAGTTAGGTGCAGTTATCCCGTTTCCAACGAAATCCTCAGAGAGGTCCAAATATCCACTTGTAGATTCTACAAAAAGTGTGTCTCAAACCTGCTCCATCCAAAGGAATGGTCAGCTCTGTGATTTAAACTCAATCATCACAAAGTATTTTCTGAGAATGCTTCTGTCTAGATTTTATGCGAAGATATACCCGTTTCGAACGAAGGCCACAGAGTGGTCCAAATAGCCACTTGCAGATCCTACAGAAAGAGTGTTTCAAACCTGAACTATCAAAGGAAGGTTCAACTCTGGGATTTGAATGCAAACATCACCAAGAAGTTTCTGAGAATGCTTCTGTTTAGTTTTTATGTGAAGATATTCCCGTTTCCAAAGACATCTTCGGAGAGGTCCACATATCCACTTGCAGATTCCACAAAAAGAGAGTTTCAACACTGCTCTATCCATAGGAGGGTTCAACTCTGTGAGTTGAATGCAATCATCACAGAGAAGTTTCTGAGAAGGCTTCTCTCCAGTTTTTATGTGACCATAATTCGTTTTCCACCACAGGCCTGAAAGCGCTCCAAATGTCCACTTGCAGACACTACGAAAAGCATGTTTCAGAACTACTCTATGAAAAGCAACGTGAAACTCTGGGAGTTGAACACAAACATCACAGAGAAGTTTCTGAGAATGCTTCTGTTTTAGTTCTGTGCGTTTTATCCCGTTTCCAACGAAATCCTCAGAGAGGCCCAAATATCCACTTGCAGATTCCACAGAAAGAGTGATTGGAAACTGCTGTTTGAAAAGGAACCTTCAACTCTGTGAGTTGAATGCAATCATCACAAAGAAGTTTCTGACAATGCTTCTGTTTTAGTTCTGTGCGGTTTATCCCGTTTCCAACGAAATCCTCAGAGAGGACCAAACATCCACTTGCAGTTTCTACAAAAAGAGTGTTTCAAAGCTGCACTATCAAAGAAAGGTTCAGCACTGTGAGTTGAATGCAAACATCACGAAGAGGGCTCTGAGAATTCTTCTGTTTAGTTCTGTGCGGTTTATCCCGTTTCCAACGAAATCCTCAGAGAGGACCAAATATCCACTTGCAGTTTCTACAAGAAGAGTGTTTCAAAGCTGAACTATCAAAGAAAGGTTCAGCACTGTGAGTTGAATGCAAACATCACGAAGAGGGTTCTGAGAATGCTTCTGTCTTCTTTCTACAGGAAGTTATTTCCTTTACTACGGTAGGCCTCAAAGAAGTGCAATTATCCCCTTGCAGTTTCTACAAAAAGAGTGTTTCAAACCTGAACTATCAAAGAAAGGTTCCACACTGTGAGTTGAATGCAGACATCACGAAGAAGGTTCTGAGAATGCTTCTGTTTAGTCAGCTGAAATTATCCCGTTTCCAACGAATTCCTCAGAGAGGTCCAAATATGCACTTGCAGATTCTGCAGAAAGTGTGTTTCTAAACTGCTACATCGCAAGGAATGTTCAGCTCTGTGAGTTCCACTCAATCATCCCAAAGAATTTTCTGAGAAAGCTTCTGTCTAGATGTCGTGTGAAGATATACCCGTTTCGAACGAAGGACACAGAGTGGTCCAAATATCCACTTGTAGATCCTGCAAAAAGAGTGTTTCAAACGTGAACTTTGAAAGGAAAGTTCAACTCTGGGATTTGAATGCAAACATCACAAAGAAGATTCTGAGACTGCTTCTGTATAGTTTTTATGTGAAGATGATTCCGTTTCCAACGAAATCTTCAAAGAGGTCTACATGTCCCCTTGCAGATGCCACAGAAAGAGAGTTTCAAAACTGCGCTCTCAAAAGGAGTGTTCAACTCCGTGAGTTGAATGCAGTCATCACAGAGAAGCTTCTGAGAATGCTTCTATCTAGTATTTAGGTGAAGATATTTCCTTTTCCACCACAAAACCACAAAGCCCTCCAAACGTCCACTTGCAGATTCTAGAAAAAGAGTGTTTCATAGCTGCTCTTTCCAAAGGAAAGTTCAACTCTGGGAGTTGAATACAAACATCACCAAAAAGTTCCTGAGAATGCATCTGTCTAGTTTTTCTATGAAGCTATTCCCTTTACTACCATAGGCCTCAAAGCGCTCCAAATCTCCACTTGCACATTCCACAACAAGAGTGTTTCCAAACTGCCTCTATCAATAGGAATGTTCAACTCTGTGAGGTGAATGCAATCATCACAAAGCAGTTTCTGAGAATGCTTCCGTTTAGTTAGGTGCAGTTATCCCGTTTCCAACGAAATCCTCAGAGAGGTCCAAATATCCACTTGTAGATTCTACAAAAAGTGTGTCTCAAACCTGCTCCATCCAAAGGAATGTTCAGCTCTGTGAGTTCAACTCAATCATCACAAAGTATTTTCTGAGAATGCTTCTGTCTAGATTTTATGCGAAGATGTACCCGTTTCGAACGAAGGCCACAGAGTGGTCCAAATATCCACTTGCAGATCCTACAAAAAGAGTGTTTCAAACCTGAACTCTCAAAGGAAGGTTCAACTCTGGGATTTGAATGCAAACGTCACCAAGAAGTTTCTGAGAATGCTTCTGTTTAGTTTTTATGTGAAGATATTCCCGTTTCCAAAGACATCTTCGGAGAGGTCCACATATCCACTTGCAGATTCCACAAAAAGAGAGTTTCAACACTGCTCTATCCATAGGAGGGTTCAACTCTGTGAGTTGAATGCAATCATCACAGAGAAGTTTCTGAGAAGGCTTCTCTCCAGTTTTTATGTGACCATAATTCGTTTTCCACCACAGGCCTGAAAGCGCTCCAAATGTCCACTTGCAGACACTACAAAAAACATGTTTCAGAACTACTCTATGAAAAGCAATGTGAAACTCTGGGAGTTGAACACAAACATCACAGAGAAGTTTCTGAGAATGCTTCTGTTTTAGTTCTGTGCGTTTTATCCCGTTTCCAACGAAATCCTCAGAGAGGCCCAAATATCCACTTGCAGATTCCACAGAAAGAGTGATTGGAAACTGCTGTTTGAAAAGGAACCTTCAACTCTGTGAGTTGAATGCAATCATCACAAAGAAGTTCTGACAATGCTTCTGTTTTAGTTCTGTGCGGTTTATCCCGTTTCCAACGAAATCCTCAGAGAGGACCAAACATCCACTTGCAGTTTCTACAAAAAGAGTGTTTCAAAGCTGCACTATCAAAGAAAGGTTCAGCACTGTGAGTTGAATGCAAACATCACGAAGAGGGCTCTGAGAATGCTTCTGTTTAGTTCTGTGCGGTTTATCCCGTTTCCAACGAAATCCTCAGAGAGGACCAAATATCCACTTGCAGTTTCTACAAGAAGAGTGTTTCAAAGCTGAACTATCAAAGAAAGGTTCAGCACTGTGAGTTGAATGCAAACATCACGAAGAGGGTTCTGAGAATGCTTCTGTCTTCTTTCTATAGGAAGTTATTTCCTTTACTACGGTAGGCCTCAAAGAAGTGCAATTATCCCCTTGCAGTTTCTACAAAAAGAGTGTTTCAAACCTGAACTATCAAAGAAAGGTTCCACACTGTGAGTTGAATGCAGACATCACGAAGAAGGTTCTGAGAATGCTTCTGTTTAGTCAGCTGAAATTATCCCGTTTCCAACGAATTCCTCAGAGAGGTCCAAATATGCACTTGCAGATTCTGCAGAAAGTGTGTTTCTAAACTGCTACATCGCAAGGAATGTTCAGCTCTGTGAGTTCCACTCAATCATCCCAAAGAATTTTCTGAGAAAGCTTCTGTCTAGATGTCGTGTGAAGATATACCCGTTTCGTACGAAGGACACAGAGTGGTCCAAATATCCACTTGTAGATCCTGCAAAAAGAGTGTTTCAAACGTGAACTTTGAAAGGAAAGTTCAACTCTGGGATTTGAATGCAAACATCACAAAGAAGATTCTGAGACTGCTTCTGTATAGTTTTTATGTGAAGATGATTCGGTTTCCAACGAAATCTTCAAAGAGGTCTACATGTCCCCTTGCAGATGCCACAGAAAGAGAGTTTCAAAACTGCGCTCTCAAAAGGAGTGTTCAACTCCGTGAGTTGAATGCAGTCATCACAGAGAAGCTTCTGAGAATGCTTCTCTCTAGTATTTAGGTGAAGATATTTCCTTTTCCACCACAAACCACAAAGCCCTCCAAACGTCCACTTGCAGATTCTAGAAAAAGAGTGTTTCATAGCTGCTCTTTCCAAAGGAAAGTTCAACTCTGGGAGTTGAATACAAACATCACCAAAAAGTTCCTGAGAATTCATCTGTCTAGTTTTTCTATGAAGCTATTCCCTTTACTACCATAGGCCTCAAAGCGCTCCAAATCTCCACTTGCACATTCCACAACAAGAGTGTTTCCAAACTGCTCTATCAATAGGAATGTTCAACTCTGTGAGGTGAATGCAATCATCACAAAGCAGTTTCTGAGAATGCTTCCGTTTAGTTAGGTGCAGTTATCCCGTTTCCAACGAAATCCTCAGAGAGGTCCAAATATCCACTTGTAGATTCTACAAAAAGTGTGTCTCAAACCTGCTCCATCCAAAGGAATGTTCAGCTCTGTGATTTTAACTCAATCATCACAAAGTATTTTCTGAGAATGCTTCTGTCTAGATTTTATGCGAAGATATACCCGTTTCGAACGAAGGCCACAGAGTGGTCCAAATAGCCACTTGCAGATCCTACAAAAAGAGTGTTTCAAACCTGAACTATCAAAGGAAGGTTCAACTCTGGGATTTGAATGCAAACATCACCAAGAAGTTTCTGAGAATGCTTCTGTTTAGTTTTTATGTGAAGATATTCCCGTTTCCAAAGACATCTTCGGAGAGGTCCACATATCCACTTGCAGATTCCACAAAAAGAGAGTTTCAACACTGCTCTATCCATAGGAGGGTTCAACTCTGTGAGTTGAATGCAATCATCACAGAGAAGTTTCTGAGAAGGCTTCTCTCCAGTTTTTATGTGACCATAATTCGTTTTCCACCACAGGCCTGAAAGCGCTCCAAATGTCCACTTGCAGACACTACGAAAAGCATGTTTCAGAACTACTCTATGAAAAGCAACGTGAAACTCTGGGAGTTGAACACAAACATCACAGAGAAGTTTCTGAGAATGCTTCTGTTTTAGTTCTGTGCGTTTTATCCCGTTTCCAACGAAATCCTCAGAGAGGCCCAAATATCCACTTGCAGATTCCACAGAAAGAGTGATTGGAAACTGCTGTTTGAAAAGGAACCTTCAACTCTGTGAGTTGAATGCAATCATCACAAAGAAGTTTCTGACAATGCTTCTGTTTTAGTTCTGTGCGGTTTATCCCGTTTCCAACGAAATCCTCAGAGAGGACCAAACATCCACTTGCAGTTTCTACAAAAAGAGTGTTTCAAAGCTGCACTATCAAAGAAAGGTTCAGCACTGTGAGTTGAATGCAAACATCACGAAGAGGGCTCTGAGAATTCTTCTGTTTAGTTCTGTGCGGTTTATCCCGTTTCCAACGAAATCCTCAGAGAGGACCAAATATCCACTTGCAGTTTCTACAAGAAGAGTGTTTCAAAGCTGAACTATCAAAGAAAGGTTCAGCACTGTGAGTTGAATGCAAACATCACGAAGAGGGTTCTGAGAATGCTTCTGTCTTCTTTCTATAGGAAGTTATTTCCTTTACTACGGTAGGCCTCAAAGAAGTGCAATTATCCCCTTGCAGTTTCTACAAAAAGAGTGTTTCAAACCTGAACTATCAAAGAAAGGTTCCACACTGTGAGTTGAATGCAGACATCACGAAGAAGGTTCTGAGAATGCTTCTGTTTAGTCAGCTGAAATTATCCCGTTTCCAACGAATTCCTCAGAGAGGTCCAAATATGCACTTGCAGATTCTGCAGAAAGTGTGTTTCTAAACTGCTACATCGCAAGGAATGTTCAGCTCTGTGAGTTCCACTCAATCATCCCAAAGAATTTTCTGAGAAAGCTTCTGTCTAGATGTCGTGTGAAGATATACCCGTTTCGAACGAAGGACACAGAGTGGTCCAAATATCCACTTGTAGATCCTGCAAAAAGAGTGTTTCAAACGTGAACTTTGAAAGGAAAGTTCAACTCTGGGATTTGAATGCAAACATCACAAAGAAGATTCTGAGACTGCTTCTGTATAGTTTTTATGTGAAGATGATTCCGTTTCCAACGAAATCTTCAAAGAGGTCTACATGTCCCCTTGCAGATGCCACAGAAAGAGAGTTTCAAAACTGCGCTCTCAAAAGGAGTGTTCAACTCCGTGAGTTGAATGCAGTCATCACAGAGAAGCTTCTGAGAATGCTTCTATCTAGTATTTAGGTGAAGATATTTCCTTTTCCACCACAAACCACAAAGCCCTCCAAACGTCCACTTGCAGATTCTAGAAAAAGAGTGTTTCATAGCTGCTCTTTCCAAAGGAAAGTTCAACTCTGGGAGTTGAATACAAACATCACCAAAAAGTTCCTGAGAATGCATCTGTCTAGTTTTTCTATGAAGCTATTCCCTTTACTACCACAGGCCTCAAAGCGCTCCAAATCTCCACTTGCACATTCCACAACAAGAGTGTTTCCAAACTGCTCTATCAATAGGAATGTTCAACTCTGTGAGGTGAATGCAATCATCACAAAGCAGTTTCTGAGAATGCTTCCGTTTAGTTAGGTGCAGTTATCCCGTTTCCAACGAAATCCTCAGAGAGGTCCAAATATCCACTTGTAGATTCTACAAAAAGTGTGTCTCAAACCTGCTCCATCCAAAGGAATGGTCAGCTCTGTGATTTAAACTCAATCATCACAAAGTATTTTCTGAGAATGCTTCTGTCTAGATTTTATGCGAAGATATACCCGTTTCGAACGAAGGCCACAGAGTGGTCCAAATAGCCACTTGCAGATCCTACAGAAAGAGTGTTTCAAACCTGAACTATCAAAGGAAGGTTCAACTCTGGGATTTGAATGCAAACATCACCAAGAAGTTTCTGAGAATGCTTCTGTTTAGTTTTTATGTGAAGATATTCCCGTTTCCAAAGACATCTTCGGAGAGGTCCACATATCCACTTGCAGATTCCACAAAAAGAGAGTTTCAACACTGCTCTATCCATAGGAGGGTTCAACTCTGTGAGTTGAATGCAATCATCACAGAGAAGTTTCTGAGAAGGCTTCTCTCCAGTTTTTATGTGACCATAATTCGTTTTCCACCACAGGCCTGAAAGCGCTCCAAATGTCCACTTGCAGACACTACGAAAAGCATGTTTCAGAACTACTCTATGAAAAGCAACGTGAAACTCTGGGAGTTGAACACAAACATCACAGAGAAGTTTCTGAGAATGCTTCTGTTTTAGTTCTGTGCGTTTTATCCCGTTTCCAACGAAATCCTCAGAGAGGCCCAAATATCCACTTGCAGATTCCACAGAAAGAGTGATTGGAAACTGCTGTTTGAAAAGGAACCTTCAACTCTGTGAGTTGAATGCAATCATCACAAAGAAGTTTCTGACAATGCTTCTGTTTTAGTTCTGTGCGGTTTATCCCGTTTCCAACGAAATCCTCAGAGAGGACCAAACATCCACTTGCAGTTTCTACAAAAAGAGTGTTTCAAAGCTGCACTATCAAAGAAAGGTTCAGCACTGTGAGTTGAATGCAAACATCACGAAGAGGGCTCTGAGAATTCTTCTGTTTAGTTCTGTGCGGTTTATCCCGTTTCCAACGAAATCCTCAGAGAGGACCAAATATCCACTTGCAGTTTCTACAAGAAGAGTGTTTCAAAGCTGAACTATCAAAGAAAGGTTCAGCACTGTGAGTTGAATGCAAACATCACGAAGAGGGTTCTGAGAATGCTTCTGTCTTCTTTCTATAGGAAGTTATTTCCTTTACTACGGTAGGCCTCAAAGAAGTGCAATTATCCCCTTGCAGTTTCTACAAAAAGAGTGTTTCAAACCTGAACTATCAAAGAAAGGTTCCACACTGTGAGTTGAATGCAGACATCACGAAGAAGGTTCTGAGAATGCTTCTGTTTAGTCAGCTGAAATTATCCCGTTTCCAACGAATTCCTCAGAGAGGTCCAAATATGCACTTGCAGATTCTGCAGAAAGTGTGTTTCTAAACTGCTCCATCGCAAGGAATGTTCAGCTCTGTGAGTTCCACTCAATCATCCCAAAGAATTTTCTGAGAAAGCTTCTGTCTAGATGTCGTGTGAAGATATACCCGTTTCGAACGAAGGACACAGAGTGGTCCAAATATCCACTTGTAGATCCTGCAAAAAGAGTGTTTCAAACGTGAACTTTGAAAGGAAAGTTCAACTCTGGGATTTGAATGCAAACATCACAAAGAAGATTCTGAGACTGCTTCTGTATAGTTTTTATGTGAAGATGATTCCGTTTCCAACGAAATCTTCAAAGAGGTCTACATGTCCCCTTGCAGATGCCACAGAAAGAGAGTTTCAAAACTGCGCTCTCAAAAGGAGTGTTCAACTCCGTGAGTTGAATGCAGTCATCACAGAGAAGCTTCTGAGAATGCTTCTATCTAGTATTTAGGTGAAGATATTTCCTTTTCCACCACAAACCACAAAGCCCTCCAAACGTCCACTTGCAGATTCTAGAAAAAGAGTGTTTCATAGCTGCTCTTTCCAAAGGAAAGTTCAACTCTGGGAGTTGAATACAAACATCACCAAAAAGTTCCTGAGAATGCATCTGTCTAGTTTTTCTATGAAGCTATTCCCTTTACTACCATAGGCCTCAAAGCGCTCCAAATCTCCACTTGCACATTCCACAACAAGAGTGTTTCCAAACTGCTCTATCAATAGGAATGTTCAACTCTGTGAGGTGAATGCAATCATCACAAAGCAGTTTCTGAGAATGCTTCCGTTTAGTTAGGTGCAGTTATCCCGTTTCCAACGAAATCCTCAGAGAGGTCCAAATATCCACTTGTAGATTCTACAAAAAGTGTGTCTCAAACCTGCTCCATCCAAAGGAATGGTCAGCTCTGTGATTTAAACTCAATCATCACAAAGTATTTTCTGAGAATGCTTCTGTCTAGATTTTATGCGAAGATATACCCGTTTCGAACGAAGGCCACAGAGTGGTCCAAATAGCCACTTGCAGATCCTACAGAAAGAGTGTTTCAAACCTGAACTATCAAAGGAAGGTTCAACTCTGGGATTTGAATGCAAACATCACCAAGAAGTTTCTGAGAATGCTTCTGTTTAGTTTTTATGTGAAGATATTCCCGTTTCCAAAGACATCTTCGGAGAGGTCCACATATCCACTTGCAGATTCCACAAAAAGAGAGTTTCAACACTGCTCTATCCATAGGAGGGTTCAACTCTGTGAGTTGAATGCAATCATCACAGAGAAGTTTCTGAGAAGGCTTCTCTCCAGTTTTTATGTGACCATAATTCGTTTTCCACCACAGGCCTGAAAGCGCTCCAAATGTCCACTTGCAGACACTACGAAAAGCATGTTTCAGAACTACTCTATGAAAAGCAACGTGAAACTCTGGGAGTTGAACACAAACATCACAGAGAAGTTTCTGAGAATGCTTCTGTTTTAGTTCTGTGCGTTTTATCCCGTTTCCAACGAAATCCTCAGAGAGGCCCAAATATCCACTTGCAGATTCCACAGAAAGAGTGATTGGAAACTGCTGTTTGAAAAGGAACCTTCAACTCTGTGAGTTGAATGCAATCATCACAAAGAAGTTTCTGACAATGCTTCTGTTTTAGTTCTGTGCGGTTTATCCCGTTTCCAACGAAATCCTCAGAGAGGACCAAACATCCACTTGCAGTTTCTACAAAAAGAGTGTTTCAAAGCTGCACTATCAAAGAAAGGTTCAGCACTGTGAGTTGAATGCAAACATCACGAAGAGGGCTCTGAGAATTCTTCTGTTTAGTTCTGTGCGGTTTATCCCGTTTCCAACGAAATCCTCAGAGAGGACCAAATATCCACTTGCAGTTTCTACAAGAAGAGTGTTTCAAAGCTGAACTATCAAAGAAAGGTTCAGCACTGTGAGTTGAATGCAAACATCACGAAGAGGGTTCTGAGAATGCTTCTGTCTTCTTTCTATAGGAAGTTATTTCCTTTACTACGGTAGGCCTCAAAGAAGTGCAATTATCCCCTTGCAGTTTCTACAAAAAGAGTGTTTCAAACCTGAACTATCAAAGAAAGGTTCCACACTGTGAGTTGAATGCAGACATCACGAAGAAGGTTCTGAGAATGCTTCTGTTTAGTCAGCTGAAATTATCCCGTTTCCAACGAATTCCTCAGAGAGGTCCAAATATGCACTTGCAGATTCTGCAGAAAGTGTGTTTCTAAACTGCTACATCGCAAGGAATGTTCAGCTCTGTGAGTTCCACTCAGTCATCCCAAAGAATTTTCTGAGAAAGCTTCTGTCTAGATGTCATGTGAAGATATACCCGTTTCGCACGAAGGACACAGAGTGGTCCAAATATCCACTTGTAGATCCTGCAAAAAGAGTGTTTCAAACGTGAACTTTGAAAGGAAAGTTCAACTCTGGGATTTGAATGCAAACATCACAAAGAAGATTCTGAGACTGCTTCTGTATAGTTTTTATGTGAAGATGATTCCGTTTCCAACGAAATCTTCAAAGAGGTCTACATGTCCCCTTGCAGATGCCACAGAAAGAGAGTTTCAAAACTGCGCTCTCAAAAGGAGTGTTCAACTCCGTGAGTTGAATGCAGTCATCACAGAGAAGCTTCTGAGAATGCTTCTATCTAGTATTTAGGTGAAGATATTTCCTTTTCCACCACAAACCACAAAGCCCTCCAAACGTCCACTTGCAGATTCTAGAAAAAGAGTGTTTCATAGCTGCTCTTTCCAAAGGAAAGTTCAACTCTGGGAGTTGAATACAAACATCACCAAAAAGTTCCTGAGAATGCATCTGTCTAGTTTTTCTATGAAGCTATTCCCTTTACTACCATAGGCCTCAAAGCGCTCCAAATCTCCACTTGCACATTCCACAACAAGAGTGTTTCCAAACTGCTCTATCAATAGGAATGTTCAACTACTGTGAGGTGAATGCAATCATCACAAAGCAGTTTCTGAGAATGCTTTCCGTTTAGTTAGGTGCAGTTATCCCGTTTCCAACGAAATCCTCAGAGAGGTCCAAATATCCACTTGTAGATTCTACAAAAAGTGTGTCTCAAACCTGCTCCATCCAAAGGAATGGTCAGCTCTGTGATTTAAACTCAATCATCACAAAGTATTTTCTGAGAATGCTTCTGTCTAGATTTTATGCGAAGATATACCCGTTTCGAACGAAGGCCACAGAGTGGTCCAAATAGCCACTTGCAGATCCTACAGAAAGAGTGTTTCAAACCTGAACTATCAAAGGAAGGTTCAACTCTGGGATTTGAATGCAAACATCACCAAGAAGTTTCTGAGAATGCTTCTGTTTAGTTTTTATGTGAAGATATTCCCGTTTCCAAAGACATCTTCGGAGAGGTCCACATATCCACTTGCAGGTTCCACAAAAAGAGAGTTTCAACACTGCTCTATCCATAGGAGGGTTCAACTCTGTGAGTTGAATGCAATCATCACAGAGAAGTTTCTGAGAAGGCTTCTCTCCAGTTTTTATGTGACCATAATTCGTTTTCCACCACAGGCCTGAAAGCGCTCCAAATGTCCACTTGCAGACACTACGAAAAGCATGTTTCAGAACTACTCTATGAAAAGCAACGTGAAACTCTGGGAGTTGAACACAAACATCACAGAGAAGTTTCTGAGAATGCTTCTGTTTTAGTTCTGTGCGTTTTATCCCGTTTCCAACGAAATCCTCAGAGAGGCCCAAATATCCACTTGCAGATTCCACAGAAAGAGTGATTGGAAACTGCTGTCTGAAAAGGAACCTTCAACTCTGTGAGTTGAATGCAATCATCACAAAGAAGTTTCTGACAATGCTTCTGTTTTAGTTCTGTGCGGTTTATCCCGTTTCCAACGAAATCCTCAGAGAGGACCAAACATCCACTTGCAGTTTCTACAAAAAGAGTGTTTCAAAGCTGCACTATCAAAGAAAGGTTCAGCACTGTGAGTTGAATGCAAACATCACGAAGAGGGCTCTGAGAATTCTTCTGTTTAGTTCTGTGCGGTTTATCCCGTTTCCAACGAAATCCTCAGAGAGGACCAAATATCCACTTGCAGTTTCTACAAGAAGAGTGTTTCAAAGCTGAACTATCAAAGAAAGGTTCAGCACTGTGAGTTGAATGCAAACATCACGAAGAGGGTTCTGAGAATGCTTCTGTCTTCTTTCTATAGGAAGTTATTTCCTTTACTACGGTAGGCCTCAAAGAAGTGCAATTATCCCCTTGCAGTTTCTACAAAAAGAGTGTTTCAAACCTGAACTATCAAAGAAAGGTTCCACACTGTGAGTTGAATGCAGACATCACGAAGAAGGTTCTGAGAATGCTTCTGTTTAGTCAGCTGAAATTATCCCGTTTCCAACGAATTCCTCAGAGAGGTCCAAATATGCACTTGCAGATTCTGCAGAAAGTGTGTTTCTAAACTGCTACATCGCAAGGAATGTTCAGCTCTGTGAGTTCCACTCAATCATCCCAAAGAATTTTCTGAGAAAGCTTCTGTCTAGATGTCGTGTGAAGATATACCCGTTTCGAACGAAGGACACAGAGTGGTCCAAATATCCACTTGTAGATCCTGCAAAAAGAGTGTTTCAAACGTGAACTTTGAAAGGAAAGTTCAACTCTGGGATTTGAATGCAAACATCACAAAGAAGATTCTGAGACTGCTTCTGTATAGTTTTTATGTGAAGATGATTCCGTTTCCAACGAAATCTTCAAAGAGGTCTACATGTCCCCTTGCAGATGCCACAGAAAGAGAGTTTCAAAACTGCGCTCTCAAAAGGAGTGTTCAACTCCGTGAGTTGAATGCAGTCATCACAGAGAAGCTTCTGAGAATGCTTCTATCTAGTATTTAGGTGAAGATATTTCCTTTTCCACCACAAACCACAAAGCCCTCCAAACGTCCACTTGCAGATTCTAGAAAAAGAGTGTTTCATAGCTGCTCTTTCCAAAGGAAAGTTCAACTCTGGGAGTTGAATACAAACATCACCAAAAAGTTCCTGAGAATGCATCTGTCTAGTTTTTCTATGAAGCTATTCCCTTTACTACCACAGGCCTCAAAGCGCTCCAAATCTCCACTTGCACATTCCACAACAAGAGTGTTTCCAAACTGCTCTATCAATAGGAATGTTCAACTCTGTGAGGTGAATGCAATCATCACAAAGCAGTTTCTGAGAATGCTTCCGTTTAGTTAGGTGCAGTTATCCCGTTTCCAACGAAATCCTCAGAGAGGTCCAAATATCCACTTGTAGATTCTACAAAAAGTGTGTCTCAAACCTGCTCCATCCAAAGGAATGGTCAGCTCTGTGATTTAAACTCAATCATCACAAAGTATTTTCTGAGAATGCTTCTGTCTAGATTTTATGCGAAGATATACCCGTTTCGAACGAAGGCCACAGAGTGGTCCAAATAGCCACTTGCAGATCCTACAGAAAGAGTGTTTCAAACCTGAACTATCAAAGGAAGGTTCAACTCTGGGATTTGAATGCAAACATCACCAAGAAGTTTCTGAGAATGCTTCTGTTTAGTTTTTATGTGAAGATATTCCCGTTTCCAAAGACATCTTCGGAGAGGTCCACATATCCACTTGCAGATTCCACAAAAAGAGAGTTTCAACACTGCTCTATCCATAGGAGGGTTCAACTCTGTGAGTTGAATGCAATCATCACAGAGAAGTTTCTGAGAAGGCTTCTCTCCAGTTTTTATGTGACCATAATTCGTTTTCCACCACAGGCCTGAAAGCGCTCCAAATGTCCACTTGCAGACACTACGAAAAGCATGTTTCAGAACTACTCTATGAAAAGCAATGTGAAACTCTGGGAGTTGAACACAAACATCACAGAGAAGTTTCTGAGAATGCTTCTGTTTAGCTTTTCTGTGAAGATTCTCCCGTTTCCAACGAAATCTTCAAAGAGGTCCAAATATCCACTTGCAGATTCCACAGAAAGAGTGATTGGAAACTGCTCTTTGAAAAGGAACCTTCAACTCTGTGACTTGAATGCAATCATCACAAAGAAGTTTCTGACAATGCTTCTATCTAGGCTTTTACGGGAAGATAATTCCTTTTCCACCACAGGCCTCAAAGCCCTTCAAATGTCCACTTGCAGATTCTGGAAAAAGAGTGTTTCAAAGCTTCTCTCTCGAAAGGAAAGTTCAACTCTGTGAGTTGAATGCAAGCATCACAAAAAAGTTTCTGAGAATGCTACTGTCTAGCTTTTATATGAAGCTATTTCCTTTACTACCATAGGCCTCAACGCGGTCCATATCTCCACTTGCAGATTCTACACAAAGAGAGTTTCCAAACTGCTCTCTCAAAGGGAATGTTCAACTCTGTGACTTGAATGCAATCATCACAAAGTAGTTTCTGAGAATGCTTCTGTTTTAGTTCTGTGCGGTTTATCCCGTTTCCAACGAAATCCTCAGAGAGGCCCACATATCCACTTGCAGATTCTACAAATAGTGTGTTTTGAAACTGCTCCATCCAAAGGAATGTTCAGCTCTGTGAGTTAAACTCAGTCGTCACCAAGAGTTTTCTGTGAATGCTTCTGTTTAGTTCTGTGCGTTTTATCCCTTTTCCAACGAAATCCTCAGAGAGGACCAAATATCCATTTGCAGTTTCTACAAAAAGAGTGTTTCAAAGCTGAACTATCAAAGAAAGGTTCAGCACTGTGAGTTGAATGCAAACATCACGAAGAGGGTTCTGAGAATGCTTCTGTCTTCTTTTTAGAGGAAGTTATTTCCTTTACTACGGTACTCCTCAAAGAGTGCAATTATCCCCTTGCAGTTTCTACAAAAAGAGTGTTTCAAACCTGAACTATCAAGGAAAGGTTCCACACTGTGAGTTGAATGCAGACATCACGAAGAAGGTTCTGAGAATGCTTCTGTTTAGTCAGCTGAAATTATCCCGTTTCCAACGAATTCCTCAGAGAGGTCCAAATATGCACTTGCAGATTCTGCAGAAAGTGTGTTTCTAAACTGCTACATCGCAAGGAATGCTCAGCTCTGTGAGTTCAAGTCAATCATCCCAAACAATTTTCTGAGAAAGCTTCTGTCTAGATGTCATGTGAAGATATACCCGTTTCGAACGAAGGACACAGAGTGGTCCAAATATCCACTTGTAGATCCTGCAAAAAGAGTGTTTCAAACGTGAACTTTGAAAGGAAAGTTCAATTCTGGGATTGGAATGCAAACATCACAAAGAAGATTCTGAGACTGCTTCTGTATAGTTTTTATGTGAAGATGATTCCGTTTCCAACGAAATCTTCAAAGAGGTCCACATGTCCCCTTGCGGATGCCACAGAAAGAGAGTTTCAAAACTGCGCTCTCAAAAGGAGTGTTCAACTCCGTGAGTTGAATGCAGTCATCACAGAGAAGCTTCTGAGAATGCTTCTATCTAGTATTTAGGTGAAGATATTTCCTTTTCCACCACAAACCACAAAGCCCTCCAAACGTCCACTTGCAGATTCTAGAAAAAGAGTGTTTCATAGCTGCTCTTTCCAAAGGAAAGTTCAACTCTGGGAGTTGAATACAAACATCACCAAAAAGTTCCTGAGAATGCACTGTCTAGTTTTTCTATGAAGCTATTCCCTTTACTACCATAGGCCTCAAAGCGCTCCAAATCTCCACTTGCACATTCCACAACAAGAGTGTTTCCAAACTGCTCTATCAATAGGAATGTTCAACTCTGTGAGGTGAATGCAATCATCACAAAGCAGTTTCTGAGAATGCTTTCCGTTTAGTTAGGTGCAGTTATCCCGTTTCCAACGAAATCCTCAGAGAGGTCCAAATATCCACTTGTAGATTCTACAAAAAGTGTGTCTCAAACCTGCTCCATCCAAAGGAATGTTCAGCTCTGTGATTTTAACTCAATCATCACAAAGTATTTTCTGAGAATGCTTCTGTCTAGATTTTATGCGAAGATATACCCGTTTCGAACGAAGGCCACAGAGTGGTCCAAATAGCCACTTGCAGATCCTACAGAAAGAGTGTTTCAAACCTGAACTATCAAAGGAAGGTTCAACTCTGGGATTTGAATGCAAACATCACCAAGAAGTTTCTGAGAATGCTTCTGTTTAGTTTTTATGTGAAGATATTCCCGTTTCCAAAGACATCTTCGGAGAGGTCCACATATCCACTTGCAGATTCCACAAAAAGAGAGTTTCAACACTGCTCTATCCATAGGAGGGTTCAACTCTGTGAGTTGAATGCAATCATCACAGAGAAGTTTCTGAGAAGGCTTCTCTCCAGTTTTTATGTGACCATAATTCGTTTTCCACCACAGGCCTGAAAGCGCTCCAAATGTCCACTTGCAGACACTACGAAAAGCATGTTTCAGAACTACTCTATGAAAAGCAACGTGAAACTCTGGGAGTTGAACACAAACATCACAGAGAAGTTTCTGAGAATGCTTCTGTTTTAGTTCTGTGCGTTTTATCCCGTTTCCAACGAAATCCTCAGAGAGGCCCAAATATCCACTTGCAGATTCCACAGAAAGAGTGATTGGAAACTGCTGTTTGAAAAGGAACCTTCAACTCTGTGAGTTGAATGCAATCATCACAAAGAAGTTTCTGACAATGCTTCTGTTTTAGTTCTGTGCGGTTTATCCCGTTTCCAACGAAATCCTCAGAGAGGACCAAACATCCACTTGCAGTTTCTACAAAAAGAGTGTTTCAAAGCTGCACTATCAAAGAAAGGTTCAGCACTGTGAGTTGAATGCAAACATCACGAAGAGGGCTCTGAGAATTCTTCTGTTTAGTTCTGTGCGGTTTATCCCGTTTCCAACGAAATCCTCAGAGAGGACCAAATATCCACTTGCAGTTTCTACAAGAAGAGTGTTTCAAAGCTGAACTATCAAAGAAAGGTTCAGCACTGTGAGTTGAATGCAAACATCACGAAGAGGGTTCTGAGAATGCTTCTGTCTTCTTTCTATAGGAAGTTATTTCCTTTACTACGGTAGGCCTCAAAGAAGTGCAATTATCCCCTTGCAGTTTCTACAAAAAGAGTGTTTCAAACCTGAACTATCAAAGAAAGGTTCCACACTGTGAGTTGAATGCAGACATCACGAAGAAGGTTCTGAGAATGCTTCTGTTTAGTCAGCTGAAATTATCCCGTTTCCAACGAATTCCTCAGAGAGGTCCAAATATGCACTTGCAGATTCTGCAGAAAGTGTGTTTCTAAACTGCTACATCGCAAGGAATGTTCAGCTCTCTGAGTTCCACTCAATCATCCCAAAGAATTTTCTGAGAAAGCTTCTGTCTAGATGTCGTGTGAAGATATACCCGTTTCGAACGAAGGACACAGAGTGGTCCAAATATCCACTTGTAGATCCTGCAAAAAGAGTGTTTCAAACGTGAACTTTGAAAGGAAAGTTCAACTCTGGGATTTGAATGCAAACATCACAAAGAAGATTCTGAGACTGCTTCTGTATAGTTTTTATGTGAAGATGATTCCGTTTCCAACGAAATCTTCAAAGAGGTCTACATGTCCCCTTGCAGATGCCACAGAAAGAGAGTTTCAAAACTGCGCTCTCAAAAGGAGTGTTCAACTCCGTGAGTTGAATGCAGTCATCACAGAGAAGCTTCTGAGAATGCTTCTATCTAGTATTTAGGTGAAGATATTTCCTTTTCCACCACAAACCACAAAGCCCTCCAAACGTCCACTTGCAGATTCTAGAAAAAGAGTGTTTCATAGCTGCTCTTTCCAAAGGAAAGTTCAACTCTGGGAGTTGAATACAAACATCACCAAAAGGTTCCTGAGAATGCATCTGTCTAGTTTTTCTATGAAGCTATTCCCTTTACTACCATAGGCCTCAAAGCGCTCCAAATCTCCACTTGCACATTCCACAACAAGACTGTTTCCAAACTGCTCTATCAATAGGAATGTTCAACTCTGTGAGGTGAATGCAATCATCACAAAGCAGTTTCTGAGAATGCTTCCGTTTAGTTAGGTGCAGTTATCCCGTTTCCAACGAAATCCTCAGAGAGGTCCAAATATCCACTTGTAGATTCTACAAAAAGTGTGTCTCAAACCTGCTCCATCCAAAGGAATGGTCAGCTCTGTGATTTAAACTCAATCATCACAAAGTATTTTCTGAGAATGCTTCTGTCTAGATTTTATGCGAAGATATACCCGTTTCGAACGAAGGCCACAGAGTGGTCCAAATAGCCACTTGCAGATCCTACAGAAAGAGTGTTTCAAACCTGAACTATCAAAGGAAGGCTCAACTCTGGGATTTGAATGCAAACATCACCAAGAAGTTTCTGAGAATGCTTCTGTTTAGTTTTTATGTGAAGATATTCCCGTTTCCAAAGACATCTTCGGAGAGGTCCACATATCCACTTGCAGATTCCACAAAAAGAGAGTTTCAACACTGCTCTATCCATAGGAGGGTTCAACTCTGTGAGTTGAATGCAATCATCACAGAGAAGTTTCTGAGAAGGCTTCTCTCCAGTTTTTATGTGACCATAATTCGTTTTCCACCACAGGCCTGAAAGCGCTCCAAATGTCCACTTGCAGACACTACGAAAAGCATGTTTCAGAACTACTCTATGAAAAGCAACGTGAAACTCTGGGAGTTGAACACAAACATCACAGAGAAGTTTCTGAGAATGCTTCTGTTTTAGTTCTGTGCGTTTTATCCCGTTTCCAACGAAATCCTCAGAGAGGCCCAAATATCCACTTGCAGATTCCACAGAAAGAGTGATTGGAAACTGCTGTTTGAAAAGGAACCTTCAACTCTGTGAGTTGAATGCAATCATCACAAAGAAGTTTCTGACAATGCTTCTGTTTTAGTTCTGTGCGGTTTATCCCGTTTCCAACGAAATCCTCAGAGAGGACCAAACATCCACTTGCAGTTTCTACAAAAAGAGTGTTTCAAAGCTGCACTATCAAAGAAAGGTTCAGCACTGTGAGTTGAATGCAAACATCACGAAGAGGGCTCTGAGAATTCTTCTGTTTAGTTCTGTGCGGTTTATCCCGTTTCCAACGAAATCCTCAGAGAGGACCAAATATCCACTTGCAGTTTCTACAAGAAGAGTGTTTCAAAGCTGAACTATCAAAGAAAGGTTCAGCACTGTGAGTTGAATGCAAACATCACGAAGAGGGTTCTGAGAATGCTTCTGTCTTCTTTCTATAGGAAGTTATTTCCTTTACTACGGTAGGCCTCAAAGAAGTGCAATTATCCCCTTGCAGTTTCTACAAAAAGAGTGTTTCAAACCTGAACTATCAAAGAAAGGTTCCACACTGTGAGTTGAATGCAGACATCACGAAGAAGGTTCTGAGAATGCTTCTGTTTAGTCAGCTGAAATTATCCCGTTTCCAACGAATTCCTCAGAGAGGTCCAAATATGCACTTGCAGATTCTGCAGAAAGTGTGTTTCTAAACTGCTACATCGCAAGGAATGTTCATCTCTGTGAGTTCCACTCAATCATCCCAAAGAATTTTCTGAGAAAGCTTCTGTCTAGATGTCATGTGAAGATATACCCGTTTCGAACGAAGGACACAGAGTGGTCCAAATATCCACTTGTAGATCCTGCAAAAAGAGTGTTTCAAATGTGAACTTTGAAAGGAAAGTTCAACTCTGGGATTTGAATGCAAACATCACAAAGAAGATTCTGAGACTGCTTCTGTATAGTTTTTATGTGAAGATGATTCCGTTTCCAACGAAATCTTCAAAGAGGTCTACATGTCCCCTTGCAGATGCCACAGAAAGAGAGTTTCAAAACTGCGCTCTCAAAAGGAGTGTTCAACTCCGTGAGTTGAATGCACTCATCACAGAGAAGCTTCTGAGAATGCTTCTCTCTAGTATTTAGGTGAAGATATTTCCTTTTCCACCACAAACCACAAAGCCCTCCAAACGTCCACTTGCAGATTCTAGAAAAAGAGTGTTTCATAGCTGCTCTTTCCAAAGGAAAGTTCAACTCTGGGAGTTGAATACAAACATCACCAAAAAGTTCCTGAGAATGCATCTGTCTAGTTTTTCTATGAAGCTATTCCCTTTACTACCATAGGCCTCAAAGCGCTCCAAATCTCCACTTGCACATTCCACAACAAGAGTGTTTCCAAACTGCTCTATCAATAGGAATGTTCAACTCTGTGAGGTGAATGCAATCATCACAAAGCAGTTTCTGAGAATGCTTCCGTTTAGTTAGGTGCAGTTATCCCGTTTCCAACGAAATCCTCAGAGAGGTCCAAATATCCACTTGTAGATTCTACAAAAAGTGTGTCTCAAACCTGCTCCATCCAAAGGAATGTTCAGCTCTGTGAGTTCAACTCAATCATCACAAAGTATTTTCTGAGAATGCTTCTGTCTAGATTTTATGTGAAGATGTACCCGTTTCGAACGAAGGCCACAGAGTGGTCCAAATATCCACTTGCAGATCCTACAAAAAGAGTGTTTCAAACCTGAACTATCAAAGGAAGGTTCAACTCTGGGATTTGAATGCAAACATCACCAAGAAGTTTCTGAGAATGCTTCTGTTTAGTTTTTATGTGAAGATATTCCCGTTTCCAAAGACATCTTCGGAGAGGTCCACATATCCACTTGCAGATTCCACAAAAAGAGAGTTTCAACACTGCTCTATCCATAGGAGGGTTCAACTCTGTGAGTTGAATGCAATCATCACAGAGAAGTTTCTGAGAAGGCTTCTCTCCAGTTTTTATGTGACCATAATTCGTTTTCCACCACAGGCCTGAAAGCGCTCCAAATGTCCACTTGTAGACACTACGAAAAGCATGTTTCAGAACTACTCTATGAAAAGCAATGTGAAACTCTGGGAGTTGAACACAAACATCACAGAGAAGTTTCTGAGAATGCTTCTGTTTAGCTTTTCTGTGAAGATTCTCCCGTTTCCAACGAAATCTTCAAAGAGGTCGAAATATCCACTTGCAGATTCCACAGAAAGAGTGATTGGAAACTGCTGTTTGAAAAGGAACCTTCAACTCTGTGAGTTGAATGCAATCATCTCAAAGAAGTTTCTGACAATGCTTCTATCTAGCTTTTACGGGAAGATAATTCCTTTTCCACCACAGGCCTCAAAGCTCCCCAAATGTCCACTTGCACATTCTGGAAAAAGAGTGTTTCAAAGCTTCTCTCTCGAAAGGAAAGTTCAACTCTGTGAGTTGAATGCAAGCATCACAAAGAAGTTTCTGAGAATGCTACTGTCTAGCTTTTATATGAAGCTATTTCCTTTACTACCATAGGCCTCAAAGCGGTCCATATCTCCACTTGCAGATTCTACACAAAGAGAGTTTCCAAACTGCTCTGTCAAAGGGAATGTTCAACTCTGTGACTTGAATGCAATCATCACAAAGTAGTTTCTGAGAATGCTTCTGTTTTAGTTCTGTGCGTTTTATCCCGTTTCCAACGAAATCCTCAGAGAGGCCCAAATATCCACTTGCAGATTCTACAAATAGTGTGTTTCGAAACTGCTCCATCCAAAGGAATGTTCAGCTCTGTGAGTTAAACTCAGTCGTCACCAAGAGTTTTCTGTGAATGCTTCTGTTTTAGTTCTGTGCGGTTTATCCCGTTTCCAACGAAATCCTCAGAGAGGACCAAATATCCACTTGCAGTTTCTACAAAAAGAGTGTTTCAAAGCTGCACTATCAAAGAAAGGTTCAGCACTGTGAGTTGAATGCAAACATCACGAAGAGGGCTCTGAGAATTCTTCTGTTTAGTTCTGTGCGGTTTATCCCGTTTCCAACGAAATCCTCAGAGAGGACCAAATATCCACTTGCAGTTTCTACAAGAAGAGTGTTTCAAAGCTGAACTATCAAAGAAAGGTTCAGCACTGTGAGTTGAATGCAAACATCACGAAGAGGGTTCTGAGAATGCTTCTCTCTTCTTTCTATAGGAAGTTATTTCCTTTACTATGGTAGGCCTCAAAGAAGTGCAATTATCCCCTTGCAGTTTCTACAAAAAGAGTGTTTCAAACCTGAACTATCAAAGAAAGGTTCCACACTGTGAGTTGAATGCAGACATCACGAAGAAGGTTCTGAGAATGCTTCTGTTTAGTCAGCTGAAATTATCCCGTTTCCAACGAATTCCTCAGAGAGGTCCAAATATGCACTTGCAGATTCTGCAGAAAGTGTGTTTCTAAACTGCTACATCGCAAGGAATGTTCAGCTCTGTGAGTTCCACTCAATCATCCCAAAGAATTTTCTGAGAAAGCTTCTGTCTAGATGTCGTGTGAAGATATACCCGTTTCGAACGAAGGACACAGAGTGGTCCAAATATCCACTTGTAGATCCTGCAAAAAGAGTGTTTCAAACGTGAACTTTGAAAGGAAAGTTCAACTCTGGGATTTGAATGCAAACATCACAAAGAAGATTCTGAGACTGCTTCTGTATAGTTTTTATGTGAAGATGATTCCGTTTCCAACGAAATCTTCAAAGAGGTCTACATGTCCCCTTGCAGATGCCACAGAAAGAGAGTTTCAAAACTGCGCTCTCAAAAGGAGTGTTCAACTCCGTGAGTTGAATGCAGTCATCACAGAGAAGCTTCTGAGAATGCTTCTGTCTAGTATTTAGGTGAAGATATTTCCTTTTCCACCACAAACCACAAAGCCCTCCAAACGTCCACTTGCAGATTCTAGAAAAAGAGTGTTTCATAGCTGCTCTTTCCAAAGGAAAGTTCAACTCTGGGAGTTGAATACAAACATCACCAAAAAGTTCCTGAGAATGCATCTGTCTAGTTTTTCTATGAAGCTATTCCCTTTACTACCACAGGCCTCAAAGCGCTCCAAATCTCCACTTGCACATTCCACAACAAGAGTGTTTCCAAACTGCTCTATCAATAGGAATGTTCAACTCTGTGAGGTGAATGCAATCATCACAAAGCAGTTTCTGAGAATGCTTCCGTTTAGTTAGGTGCAGTTATCCCGTTTCCAACGAAATCCTCAGAGAGGTCCAAATATCCACTTGTAGATTCTACAAAAAGTGTGTCTCAAACCTGCTCCATCCAAAGGAATGGTCAGCTCTGTGATTTAAACTCAATCATCACAAAGTATTTTCTGAGAATGCTTCTGTCTAGATTTTATGCGAAGATATACCCGTTTCGAACGAAGGCCACAGAGTGGTCCAAATAGCCACTTGCAGATCCTACAGAAAGAGTGTTTCAAACCTGAACTATCAAAGGAAGGTTCAACTCTGGGATTTGAATGCAAACATCACCAAGAAGTTTCTGAGAATGCTTCTGTTTAGTTTTTATGTGAAGATATTCCCGTTTCCAAAGACATCTTCGGAGAGGTCCACATATCCACTTGCAGATTCCACAAAAAGAGAGTTTCAACACTGCTCTATCCATAGGAGGGTTCAACTCTGTGAGTTGAATGCAATCATCACAGAGAAGTTTCTGAGAAGGCTTCTCTCCAGTTTTTTTGTGACCATAATTCGTTTTCCACCACAGGCCTGAAAGCGCTCCAAATGTCCACTTGCAGACACTACGAAAAGCATGTTTCAGAACTACTCTATGAAAAGCAACGTGAAACTCTGGGAGTTGAACACAAACATCACAGAGAAGTTTCTGAGAATGCTTCTGTTTTAGTTCTGTGCGTTTTATCCCGTTTCCAACGAAATCCTCAGAGAGGCCCAAATATCCACTTGCAGATTCCACAGAAAGAGTGATTGGAAACTGCTGTTTGAAAAGGAACCTTCAACTCTGTGAGTTGAATGCAATCATCACAAAGAAGTTTCTGACAATGCTTCTGTTTTAGTTCTGTGCGGTTTATCCCGTTTCCAACGAAATCCTCAGAGAGGACCAAATATCCACTTGCAGTTTCTACAAAAAGAGTGTTTCAAAGCTGCACTATCAAAGAAAGGTTCAGCACTGTGAGTTGAATGCAAACATCACGAAGAGGGCTCTGAGAATTCTTCTGTTTAGTTCTGTGCGGTTTATCCCGTTTCCAACGAAATCCTCAGAGAGGACCAAATATCCACTTGCAGTTTCTACAAGAAGAGTGTTTCAAAGCTGAACTATCAAAGAAAGGTTCAGCACTGTGAGTTGAATGCAAACATCACGAAGAGGGTTCTGAGAATGCTTCTGTCTTCTTTCTATAGGAAGTTATTTCCTTTACTACGGTAGGCCTCAAAGAAGTGCAATTATCCCCTTGCAGTTTCTACAAAAAGAGTGTTTCAAACCTGAACTATCAAAGAAAGGTTCCACACTGTGAGTTGAATGCAGACATCACGAAGAAGGTTCTGAGAATGCTTCTGTTTAGTCAGCTGAAATTATCCCGTTTCCAACGAATTCCTCAGAGAGGTCCAAATATGCACTTGCAGATTCTGCAGAAAGTGTGTTTCTAAACTGCTACATCGCAAGGAATGTTCAGCTCTGTGAGTTCCACTCAATCATCCCAAAGAATTTTCTGAGAAAGCTTCTGTCTAGATGTCGTGTGAAGATATACCCGTTTCGAACGAAGGACACAGAGTGGTCCAAATATCCACTTGTAGATCCTGCAAAAAGAGTGTTTCAAACGTGAACTTTGAAAGGAAAGTTCAACTCTGGGATTTGAATGCAAACATCACAAAGAAGATTCTGAGACTGCTTCTGTATAGTTTTTATGTGAAGATGATTCCGTTTCCAACGAAATCTTCAAAGAGGTCTACATGTCCCCTTGCAGATGCCACAGAAAGAGAGTTTCAAAACTGCGCTCTCAAAAGGAGTGTTCAACTCCGTGAGTTGAATGCAGTCATCACAGAGAAGCTTCTGAGAATGCTTCTATCTAGTATTTAGGTGAAGATATTTCCTTTTCCACCACAAACCACAAAGCCCTCCAAACGTCCACTTGCAGATTCTAGAAAAAGAGTGTTTCATAGCTGCTCTTTCCAAAGGAAAGTTCAACTCTGGGAGTTGAATACAAACATCACCAAAAAGTTCCTGAGAATGCATCTGTCTAGTTTTTCTATGAAGCTATTCCCTTTACTACCATAGGCCTCAAAGCGCTCCAAATCTCCACTTGCACATTCCACAACAAGAGTGTTTCCAAACTGCTCTATCAATAGGAATGTTCAACTCTGTGAGGTGAATGCAATCATCACAAAGCAGTTTCTGAGAATGCTTCCGTTTAGTTAGGTGCAGTTATCCCGTTTCCAACGAAATCCTCAGAGAGGTCCAAATATCCACTTGTAGATTCTACAAAAAGTGTGTCTCAAACCTGCTCCATCCAAAGGAATGGTCAGCTCTGTGATTTAAACTCAATCATCACAAAGTATTTTCTGAGAATGCTTCTGTCTAGATTTTATGTGAAGATATACCCGTTTCGAACGAAGGCCACAGAGTGGTCCAAATAGCCACTTGCAGATCCTACAAAAAGAGTGTTTCAAACCTGAACTATCAAAGGAAGGTTCAACTCTGGGATTTGAATGCAAACATCACCAAGAAGTTTCTGAGAATGCTTCTGTTTAGTTTTTATGTGAAGATATTCCCGTTTCCAAAGACATCTTCGGAGAGGTCCACATATCCACTTGCAGATTCCACAAAAAGAGAGTTTCAACACTGCTCTATCCATAGGAGGGTTCAACTCTGTGAGTTGAATGCAGTCATCACAGAGAAGTTTCTGAGAAGGCTTCTCTCCAGTTTTTATGTGACCATAATTCGTTTTCCACCACAGGCCTGAAAGCGCTCCAAATGTCCACTTGCAGACACTACGAAAAGCATGTTTCAGAACTACTCTATGAAAAGCAACGTGAAACTCTGGGAGTTGAACACAAACATCACAGAGAAGTTTCTGAGAATGCTTCTGTTTAGCTTTTCTGTGAAGATTCTCCCGTTTCCAACGAAATCTTCAAAGAGGTCGAAATATCCACTTGCAGATTCCACAGAAAGAGTGATTGGAAACTGCTGTTTGAAAAGGAACCTTCAACTCTGTGAGTTGAATGCAATCATCTCAAAGAAGTTTCTGACAATGCTTCTATCTAGCTTTTACGGGAAGATAATTCCTTTTCCACCACAGGCCTCAAAGCCCTGCAAATATCCACTTGAACATTCTGGAAAAAGAGTGTTTCAAAGCTTCTCTCTCGAAAGGAAAGTTCAACTCTGTGAGTTGAATGCAAGCATCACAAAGAAGTTTCTGAGAATGCTACTGTCTAGCTTTTATATGAAGCTATTTCCTTTACTACCATAGGCCTCAAAGCGGTCCATATCTCCACTTGCAGATTCTACACAAAGAGAGTTTCCAAACTGCTCTGTCAAAGGGAATGTTCAACTCTGTGACTTGAATGCAATCATCACAAAGTAGTTTCTGAGAATGCTTCTGTTTTAGTTCTGTGCGGTTTATCCCGTTTCCAACGAAATCCTCAGAGAGGCCCAAATATCCACTTGCAGATTCTACAAATAGTGTGTTTCGAAACTGCTCCATCCAAAGGAATGTTCAGCTCTGTGAGTTAAACTCAGTCGTCACCAAGAGTTTTCTGTGAATGCTTCTGTTTAGTTCTGTGCAGTTTATCCCGTTTCCAACGAAATCCTCATAGAGGAACAATTATCCACTTGCAGTTTCTACAAAAAGAGTGTTTCAAAGCTGAACTATCAAAGAAAGGTTCAGCACTGTGAGTTGAATGCAAACATCACGAAGAAGGTTCTGAGAATGCTTCTGTCTTCTTTTTATAGGAAGTTATTTCCTTTACTACGGTACTCCTCAAAGAGTGCAATTATCCCCTTGCAGTTTCTACAAAAAGAGTGTTTCAAACCTGACCTATCAAAGAAAGGTTCCACACTGTGAGATGAATGCAGACATCACGAAGAAGGTTCTGAGAATGCTTCTGTTTAGTCAGCTGAAATTATCCCGTTTCCAACGAATTCCTCACAGAGGTCCAAATATGCACTTGCAGATTCTGCAGAAAGTGTGTTTCTAAACTGCTACATCGCAAGGAATGCTCAGCTCTGTGAGTTCAACTCAATCATCCCAAAGAATTTTCTGAGAAAGCTTCTGTCTAGATGTCATGTGAAGATATACCCGTTTCGAACGAAGGACACAGAGTGGTCCAAATATCCACTTGTAGATCCTGCAAAAAGAGTGTTTCAAACGTGAACTTTGAAAGGAAAGTTCAACTCGGGGATTTGAATGCAAACATCACAAAGAAGATTCTGAGACTGCTTCTGTATAGTTTTTATGTGAAGATGATTCCGTTTCCAACGAAATCTTCAAAGAGGTCTACATGTCCCCTTGCAGATGCCACAGAAAGAGAGTTTCAAAACTGCGCTCTCAAAAGGAGTGTTCAACTCCGTGAGTTGAATGCAGTCATCACAGAGAAGCTTCTGAGGATGCTTCTATCTAGTATTTAGGTGAAGATATTTCCTTTTCCACCACAAACCACAAAGCCCTCCAAACGTCCACTTGCAGATTCTAGAAAAAGAGTGTTTCATAGCTGCTCTTTCCAAAGGAAAGTTCAACTCTGGGAGTTGAATACAAACATCACCAAAAAGTTCCTGAGAATGCATCTGTCTAGTTTTTCTATGAAGCTATTCCCTTTACTACCATAGGCCTCAAAGCGCTCCAAATCTCCACTTGCACATTCCACAACAAGAGTGTTTCCAAACTGCTCTATCAATAGGAATGTTCAACTCTGTGAGGTGAATGCAATCATCACAAAGCAGTTTCTGAGAATGCTTCCGTTTAGTTAGGTGCAGTTATCCCGTT
This sequence comes from Homo sapiens, assembly GCF_000001405.40. Lineage (NCBI taxonomy): Eukaryota > Metazoa > Chordata > Mammalia > Primates > Hominidae > Homo > Homo sapiens. The sequence continues at coordinate 23,686,340 of NC_000017.11, read as the reverse complement.
TCCAACGAAATCCTCAGAGAGGTCCAAATATCCACTTGTAGATTCTACAAAAAGTGTGTCTCAAACCTGCTCCATCCAAAGGAATGGTCAGCTCTGTGATTTAAACTCAATCATCACAAAGTATTTTCTGAGAATGCTTCTGTCTAGATTTTATGCGAAGATATACCCGTTTCGAACGAAGGCCACAGAGTGGTCCAAATAGCCACTTGCAGATCCTACAGAAAGAGTGTTTCAAACCTGAACTATCAAAGGAAGGTTCAACTCTGGGATTTGAATGCAAACATCACCAAGAAGTTTCTGAGAATGCTTCTGTTTAGTTTTTATGTGAAGATATTCCCGTTTCCAAAGACATCTTCGGAGAGGTCCACATATCCACTTGCAGATTCCACAAAAAGAGAGTTTCAACACTGCTCTATCCATAGGAGGGTTCAACTCTGTGAGTTGAATGCAATCATCACAGAGAAGTTTCTGAGAAGGCTTCTCTCCAGTTTTTATGTGACCATAATTCGTTTTCCACCACAGGCCTGAAAGCGCTCCAAATGTCCACTTGCAGACACTACGAAAAGCATGTTTCAGAACTACTCTATGAAAAGCAACGTGAAACTCTGGGAGTTGAACACAAACATCACAGAGAAGTTTCTGAGAATGCTTCTGTTTTAGTTCTGTGCGTTTTATCCCGTTTCCAACGAAATCCTCAGAGAGGCCCAAATATCCACTTGCAGATTCCACAGAAAGAGTGATTGGAAACTGCTGTTTGAAAAGGAACCTTCAACTCTGTGAGTTGAATGCAATCATCACAAAGAAGTTTCTGACAATGCTTCTGTTTTAGTTCTGTGCGGTTTATCCCGTTTCCAACGAAATCCTCAGAGAGGACCAAACATCCACTTGCAGTTTCTACAAAAAGAGTGTTTCAAAGCTGCACTATCAAAGAAAGGTTCAGCACTGTGAGTTGAATGCAAACATCACGAAGAGGGCTCTGAGAATTCTTCTGTTTAGTTCTGTGCGGTTTATCCCGTTTCCAACGAAATCCTCAGAGAGGACCAAATATCCACTTGCAGTTTCTACAAGAAGAGTGTTTCAAAGCTGAACTATCAAAGAAAGGTTCAGCACTGTGAGTTGAATGCAAACATCACGAAGAGGGTTCTGAGAATGCTTCTGTCTTCTTTCTATAGGAAGTTATTTCCTTTACTACGGTAGGCCTCAAAGAAGTTCAATTATCCCCTTGCAGTTTCTACAAAAAGAGTGTTTCAAACCTGAACTATCAAAGAAAGGTTCCACACTGTGAGTTGAATGCAGACATCACGAAGAAGGTTCTGAGAATGCTTCTGTTTAGTCAGCTGAAATTATCCCGTTTCCAACGAATTCCTCAGAGAGGTCCAAATATGCACTTGCAGATTCTGCAGAAAGTGTGTTTCTAAACTGCTCCATCGCAAGGAATGTTCAGCTCTGTGAGTTCCACTCAATCATCCCAAAGAATTTTCTGAGAAAGCTTCTGTCTAGATGTCGTGTGAAGATATACCCGTTTCGAACGAAGGACACAGAGTGGTCCAAATATCCACTTGTAGATCCTGCAAAAAGAGTGTTTCAAACGTGAACTTTGAAAGGAAAGTTCAACTCTGGGATTTGAATGCAAACATCACAAAGAAGATTCTGAGACTGCTTCTGTATAGTTTTTATGTGAAGATGATTCCGTTTCCAACGAAATCTTCAAAGAGGTCTACATGTCCCCTTGCAGATGCCACAGAAAGAGAGTTTCAAAACTGCGCTCTCAAAAGGAGTGTTCAACTCCGTGAGTTGAATGCAGTCATCACAGAGAAGCTTCTGAGAATGCTTCTATCTAGTATTTAGGTGAAGATATTTCCTTTTCCACCACAAACCACAAAGCCCTCCAAACGTCCACTTGCAGATTCTAGAAAAAGAGTGTTTCATAGCTGCTCTTTCCAAAGGAAAGTTCAACTCTGGGAGTTGAATACAAACATCACCAAAAGGTTCCTGAGAATGCATCTGTCTAGTTTTTCTATGAAGCTATTCCCTTTACTACCATAGGCCTCAAAGCGCTCCAAATCTCCACTTGCACATTCCACAACAAGAGTGTTTCCAAACTGCTCTATCAATAGGAATGTTCAACTCTGTGAGGTGAATGCAATCATCACAAAGCAGTTTCTGAGAATGCTTCCGTTTAGTTAGGTGCAGTTATCCCGTTTCCAACGAAATCCTCAGAGAGGTCCAAATATCCACTTGTAGATTCTACAAAAAGTGTGTCTCAAACCTGCTCCATCCAAAGGAATGGTCAGCTCTGTGATTTAAACTCAATCATCACAAAGTATTTTCTGAGAATGCTTCTGTCTAGATTTTATGCGAAGATATACCCGTTTCGAACGAAGGCCACAGAGTGGTCCAAATAGCCACTTGCAGATCCTACAGAAAGAGTGTTTCAAACCTGAACTATCAAAGGAAGGTTCAACTCTGGGATTTGAATGCAAACATCACCAAGAAGTTTCTGAGAATGCTTCTGTTTAGTTTTTATGTGAAGATATTCCCGTTTCCAAAGACATCTTCGGAGAGGTCCACATATCCACTTGCAGATTCCACAAAAAGAGAGTTTCAACACTGCTCTATCCATAGGAGGGTTCAACTCTGTGAGTTGAATGCAATCATCACAGAGAAGTTTCTGAGAAGGCTTCTCTCCAGTTTTTATGTGACCATAATTCGTTTTCCACCACAGGCCTGAAAGCGCTCCAAATGTCCACTTGCAGACACTACGAAAAGCATGTTTCAGAACTACTCTATGAAAAGCAACGTGAAACTCTGGGAGTTGAACACAAACATCACAGAGAAGTTTCTGAGAATGCTTCTGTTTTAGTTCTGTGCGTTTTATCCCGTTTCCAACGAAATCCTCAGAGAGGCCCAAATATCCACTTGCAGATTCCACAGAAAGAGTGATTGGAAACTGCTGTTTGAAAAGGAACCTTCAACTCTGTGAGTTGAATGCAATCATCACAAAGAAGTTTCTGACAATGCTTCTGTTTTAGTTCTGTGCGGTTTATCCCGTTTCCAACGAAATCCTCAGAGAGGACCAAACATCCACTTGCAGTTTCTACAAAAAGAGTGTTTCAAAGCTGCACTATCAAAGAAAGGTTCAGCACTGTGAGTTGAATGCAAACATCACGAAGAGGGCTCTGAGAATTCTTCTGTTTAGTTCTGTGCGGTTTATCCCGTTTCCAACGAAATCCTCAGAGAGGACCAAATATCCACTTGCAGTTTCTACAAGAAGAGTGTTTCAAAGCTGAACTATCAAAGAAAGGTTCAGCACTGTGAGTTGAATGCAAACATCACGAAGAGGGTTCTGAGAATGCTTCTGTCTTCTTTCTATAGGAAGTTATTTCCTTTACTACGGTAGGCCTCAAAGAAGTGCAATTATCCCCTTGCAGTTTCTACAAAAAGAGTGTTTCAAACCTGAACTATCAAAGAAAGGTTCCACACTGTGAGTTGAATGCAGACATCACGAAGAAGGTTCTGAGAATGCTTCTGTTTAGTCAGCTGAAATTATCCCGTTTCCAACGAATTCCTCAGAGAGGTCCAAATATGCACTTGCAGATTCTGCAGAAAGTGTGTTTCTAAACTGCTACATCGCAAGGAATGTTCAGCTCTGTGAGTTCCACTCAATCATCCCAAAGAATTTTCTGAGAAAGCTTCTGTCTAGATGTCGTGTGAAGATATACCCGTTTCGAACGAAGGACACAGAGTGGTCCAAATATCCACTTGTAGATCCTGCAAAAAGAGTGTTTCAAACGTGAACTTTGAAAGGAAAGTTCAACTCTGGGATTTGAATGCAAACATCACAAAGAAGATTCTGAGACTGCTTCTGTATAGTTTTTATGTGAAGATGATTCCGTTTCCAACGAAATCTTCAAAGAGGTCTACATGTCCCCTTGCAGATGCCACAGAAAGAGAGTTTCAAAACTGCGCTCTCAAAAGGAGTGTTCAACTCCGTGAGTTGAATGCAGTCATCACAGAGAAGCTTCTGAGAATGCTTCTATCTAGTATTTAGGTGAAGATATTTCCTTTTCCACCACAAACCACAAAGCCCTCCAAACGTCCACTTGCAGATTCTAGAAAAAGAGTGTTTCATAGCTGCTCTTTCCAAAGGAAAGTTCAACTCTGGGAGTTGAATACAAACATCACCAAAAAGTTCCTGAGAATGCATCTGTCTAGTTTTTCTATGAAGCTATTCCCTTTACTACCATAGGCCTCAAAGCGCTCCAAATCTCCACTTGCACATTCCACAACAAGAGTGTTTCCAAACTGCTCTATCAATAGGAATGTTCAACTCTGTGAGGTGAATGCAATCATCACAAAGCAGTTTCTGAGAATGCTTCCGTTTAGTTAGGTGCAGTTATCCCGTTTCCAACGAAATCCTCAGAGAGGTCCAAATATCCACTTGTAGATTCTACAAAAAGTGTGTCTCAAACCTGCTCCATCCAAAGGAATGGTCAGCTCTGTGATTTAAACTCAATCATCACAAAGTATTTTCTGAGAATGCTTCTGTCTAGATTTTATGCGAAGATATACCCGTTTCGAACGAAGGCCACAGAGTGGTCCAAATAGCCACTTGCAGATCCTACAGAAAGAGTGTTTCAAACCTGAACTATCAAAGGAAGGTTCAACTCTGGGATTTGAATGCAAACATCACCAAGAAGTTTCTGAGAATGCTTCTGTTTAGTTTTTATGTGAAGATATTCCCGTTTCCAAAGACATCTTCGGAGAGGTCCACATATCCACTTGCAGATTCCACAAAAAGAGAGTTTCAACACTGCTCTATCCATAGGAGGGTTCAACTCTGTGAGTTGAATGCAATCATCACAGAGAAGTTTCTGAGAAGGCTTCTCTCCAGTTTTTATGTGACCATAATTCGTTTTCCACCACAGGCCTGAAAGCGCTCCAAATGTCCACTTGCAGACACTACGAAAAGCATGTTTCAGAACTACTCTATGAAAAGCAACGTGAAACTCTGGGAGTTGAACACAAACATCACAGAGAAGTTTCTGAGAATGCTTCTGTTTTAGTTCTGTGCGTTTTATCCCGTTTCCAACGAAATCCTCAGAGAGGCCCAAATATCCACTTGCAGATTCCACAGAAAGAGTGATTGGAAACTGCTGTTTGAAAAGGAACCTTCAACTCTGTGAGTTGAATGCAATCATCACAAAGAAGTTTCTGACAATGCTTCTGTTTTAGTTCTGTGCGGTTTATCCCGTTTCCAACGAAATCCTCAGAGAGGACCAAACATCCACTTGCAGTTTCTACAAAAAGAGTGTTTCAAAGCTGCACTATCAAAGAAAGGTTCAGCACTGTGAGTTGAATGCAAACATCACGAAGAGGGCTCTGAGAATTCTTCTGTTTAGTTCTGTGCGGTTTATCCCGTTTCCAACGAAATCCTCAGAGAGGACCAAATATCCACTTGCAGTTTCTACAAGAAGAGTGTTTCAAAGCTGAACTATCAAAGAAAGGTTCAGCACTGTGAGTTGAATGCAAACATCACGAAGAGGGTTCTGAGAATGCTTCTGTCTTCTTTCTATAGGAAGTTATTTCCTTTACTACGGTAGGCCTCAAAGAAGTGCAATTATCCCCTTGCAGTTTCTACAAAAAGAGTGTTTCAAACCTGAACTATCAAAGAAAGGTTCCACACTGTGAGTTGAATGCAGACATCACGAAGAAGGTTCTGAGAATGCTTCTGTTTAGTCAGCTGAAATTATCCCGTTTCCAACGAATTCCTCAGAGAGGTCCAAATATGCACTTGCAGATTCTGCAGAAAGTGTGTTTCTAAACTGCTACATCGCAAGGAATGTTCAGCTCTGTGAGTTCCACTCAATCATCCCAAAGAATTTTCTGAGAAAGCTTCTGTCTAGATGTCATGTGAAGATATACCCGTTTCGAACGAAGGACACAGAGTGGTCCAAATATCCACTTGTAGATCCTGCAAAAAGAGTGTTTCAAACGTGAACTTTGAAAGGAAAGTTCAACTCTGGGATTTGAATGCAAACACCACAAAGAAGATTCTGAGACTGCTTCTGTATAGTTTTTAAGTGAAGATGATTCCGTTTCCAACGAAATCTTCAAAGAGGTCTACATGTCCCCTTGCAGATGCCACAGAAAGAGAGTTTCAAAACTGCGCTCTCAAAAGGAGTGTTCAACTCCGTGAGTTGAATGCAGTCATCACAGAGAAGCTTCTGAGAATGCTTCTATCTAGTATTTAGGTGAATATATTTCCTTTTCCACCACAAACCACAAAGCCCTCCAAACGTCCACTTGCAGATTCTAGAAAAAGAGTGTTTCATAGCTGCTCTTTCCAAAGGAAAGTTCAACTCTGGGAGTTGAATACAAACATCACCAAAAAGTTCCTGAGAATGCATCTGTCTAGTTTTTCTATGAAGCTATTCCCTTTACTACCATAGGCCTCAAAGCGCTCCAAATCTCCACTTGCACATTCCACAACAAGAGTGTTTCCAAACTGCTCTATCAATAGGAATGTTCAACTCTGTGAGGTGAATGCAATCATCACAAAGCAGTTTCTGAGAATGCTTCCGTTTAGTTAGGTGCAGTTATCCCGTTTCCAACGAAATCCTCAGAGAGGTCCAAATATCCACTTGTAGATTCTACAAAAAGTGTGTCTCAAACCTGCTCCATCCAAAGGAATGGTCAGCTCTGTGATTTAAACTCAATCATCACAAAGTATTTTCTGAGAATGCTTCTGTCTAGATTTTATGCGAAGATATACCCGTTTCGAACGAAGGCCACAGAGTGGTCCAAATAGCCACTTGCAGATCCTACAAAAAGAGTGTTTCAAACCTGAACTATCAAAGGAAGGTTCAACTCTGGGATTTGAATGGAAACATCACCAAGAAGTTTCTGAGAATGCTTCTGTTTAGTTTTTATGTGAAGATATTCCCGTTTCCAAAGACATCTTCGGAGAGGTCCACATATCCACTTGCAGATTCCACAAAAAGAGAGTTTCAACACTGCTCTATCCATAGGAGGGTTCAACTCTGTGAGTTGAATGCAATCATCACAGAGAAGTTTCTGAGAAGGCTTCTCTCCAGTTTTTATGTGACCATAATTCGTTTTCCACCACAGGCCTGAAAGCGCTCCAAATGTCCACTTGCAGACACTACGAAAAGCATGTTTCAGAACTACTCTATGAAAAGCAACGTGAAACTCTGGGAGTTGAACACAAACATCACAGAGAAGTTTCTGAGAATGCTTCTGTTTTAGTTCTGTGCGTTTTATCCCGTTTCCAACGAAATCCTCAGAGAGGCCCAAATATCCACTTGCAGATTCCACAGAAAGAGTGATTGGAAACTGCTGTTTGAAAAGGAACCTTCAACTCTGTGAGTTGAATGCAATCATCACAAAGAAGTTTCTGACAATGCTTCTGTTTTAGTTCTGTGCGGTTTATCCCGTTTCCAACGAAATCCTCAGAGAGGACCAAACATCCACTTGCAGTTTCTACAAAAAGAGTGTTTCAAAGCTGCACTATCAAAGAAAGGTTCAGCACTGTGAGTTGAATGCAAACATCACGAAGAGGGCTCTGAGAATTCTTCTGTTTAGTTCTGTGCGGTTTATCCCGTTTCCAACGAAATCCTCAGAGAGGACCAAATATCCACTTGCAGTTTCTACAAGAAGAGTGTTTCAAAGCTGAACTATCAAAGAAAGGTTCAGCACTGTGAGTTGAATGCAAACATCACGAAGAGGGTTCTGAGAATGCTTCTGTCTTCTTTCTATAGGAAGTTATTTCCTTTACTACGGTAGGCCTCAAAGAAGTGCAATTATCCCCTTGCAGTTTCTACAAAAAGAGTGTTTCAAACCTGAACTATCAAAGAAAGGTTCCACACTGTGAGTTGAATGCAGACATCACGAAGAAGGTTCTGAGAATGCTTCTGTTTAGTCAGCTGAAATTATCCCGTTTCCAACGAATTCCTCAGAGAGGTCCAAATATGCACTTGCAGATTCTGCAGAAAGTGTGTTTCTAAACTGCTACATCGCAAGGAATGTTCAGCTCTGTGAGTTCCACTCAATCATCCCAAAGAATTTTCTGAGAAAGCTTCTGTCTAGATGTCATGTGAAGATATACCCGTTTCGAACGAAGGACACAGAGTGGTCCAAATATCCACTTGTATGTCCTGCAAAAAGAGTGTTTCAAACGTGAACTTTGAAAGGAAAGTTCAACTCTGGGATTTGAATGCTAACATCACAAAGAAGATTCTGAGACTGCTTCTGTATAGTTTTTATGTGAAGATGATTCCGTTTCCAACGAAATCTTCAAAGAGGTCTACATGTCCCCTTGCAGATGCCACAGAAAGAGAGTTTCAAAACTGCGCTCTCAAAAGGAGTGTTCAACTCCGTGAGTTGAATGCAGTCATCACAGAGAAGCTTCTGAGAATGCTTCTATCTAGTATTTAGGTGAAGATATTTCCTTTTCCACCACAAACCACAAAGCCCTCCAAACGTCCACTTGCAGATTCTAGAAAAAGAGTGTTTCATAGCTGCTCTTTCCAAAGGAAAGTTCAACTCTGGGAGTTGAATACAAACATCACCAAAAAGTTCCTGAGAATGCATCTGTCTAGTTTTTCTATGAAGCTATTCCCTTTACTACCATAGGCCTCAAAGCGCTCCAAATCTCCACTTGCACATTCCACAACAAGAGTGTTTCCAAACTGCTCTATCAATAGGAATGTTCAACTCTGTGAGGTGAATGCAATCATCACAAAGCAGTTTCTGAGAATGCTTCCGTTTAGTTAGGTGCAGTTATCCCGTTTCCAACGAAATCCTCAGAGAGGTCCAAATATCCACTTGTAGATTCTACAAAAAGTGTGTCTCAAACCTGCTCCATCCAAAGGAATGTTCAGCTCTGTGAGTTAAACTCAATCATCACAAAGTATATTCTGAGAATGCTTCTGTCTAGATTTTATGCGAAGATATACCCGTTTCGAACGAAGGCCACAGAGTGGTCCAAATATCCACTTGCAGATCCTACAAAAAGAGTGTTTCAAACCTGAACTATCAAAGGAAGGTTCGACTCTGGGATTTGAATGCAAACATCACCAAGAAGTTTCTGAGAATGCTTCTGTTTAGTTTTTATGTGAAGATATTCCCGTTTCCAAAGACATCTTCGGAGAGGTCCACATATCCACTTGCAGATTCCACAAAAAGAGAGTTTCAACACTGCTCTATCCATAGGAGGGTTCAACTCTGTGAGTTGAATGCAATCATCACAGAGAAGTTTCTGAGAAGGCTTCTCTCCAGTTTTTATTTGACCATAATTCGTTTTCCACCACAGGTCTGAAAGCGCTCCAAACCTCCACTTGCAGACAGTACGAAAAGCATGTTTCAGAACTACTCTATGAAAAGCAATGTGAAACTCTGGGAGTTGAACACAAACGTCACAGAGAAGTTTCTGAGAAAGCTTCTGTTTAGCTTTTCTGTGAAGATTCTCCCGTTTCCAACGAAATCTTCCAAGAGGTCCAAACATCCACTTGCAGATTCCACAGAAAGGGTGTTTGGAAACTGCTGTTTGAAAAGGAACCTTCAACTCTGTGAGTTGAATGCAATCATCACAAAGAAGTTTCTGACAATGCTTCTATCTAGCTTTTACGGGAAGATAATTCCTTTTCCACCACAGGCCTCAAAGCCCTCCAAATGTCCACTTGCAGATTCTGGAAAAAGAGTGTTTCAAAGCTTCTCTCTCGAAAGGAAAGTTCAACTCTGTGAGTTGAATGCAAGCATCACAAAGAAGTTTCTGAGAATGCTACTGTCTAGCTTTTATATGAAGCTATTTCCTTTACTACCATAGTCCTCAAAGCATTCCATATCTCCACTTGCAGATTCTACACAAAGAGAGTTTCCAAACTGCTCTGTCAAAGGGAATGTTCAGCTCTGTGACTTGAATGCAATCATCACAAAGTAGTTTCTGAGAATGCTTCTGTTTTAGTTCTGTGCGGTTTATCCCGTTTCCAACGAAATCCTCAGAGAGGCCCAAATATCCACCTGCAGATTCTACAAAGAGTGTGTTTCGAAACTGCTCCAACCAAGGGAATGTTCAGCGATGTGAGTTAAACTCAGTCGTCACCAAGAGTTTTCTGTGAATGCTTCTGTTTTAGTTCTGTGTGGTTTATCCCGTTTCCAACGAAATCCTCAGAGAGGTCCAAATATCTACTTGGAGTTTCTACAGAAAGACGGTTTCAAACCTGAACTATCAAAGAAAGGTTCAACACTGTGAGTTGAATGCAAACATCACGAAGAAGGTTCTGAGAATGCTTCCGTTTTAGTTCCGTGCGGTTTATCCCGTTTCCAACGAAATCCTCAGAGAGGACCAAATATCCACTTGCAGTTTCTACAAAAAGAGTGTTTCAAAGCTGCACTATCAAAGAAAGGTTCAGCACTGTGAGTTGAATGCAAACATCACGAAGAGGGTTCTGAGAACGCTTCTGTCTTCTTTCTATAGGAAGTTATTTCCTTTACTACGGTAGGCCTCAAAGAAGTGCAATTATCCCCTTGCAGTTTCTACAAAAAGAGTGTTTCAAACCTGAACTATCAAAGAAAGGTTCCACACTGTGAGTTGAATGCAGACATCACGAAGAAGGTTCTGAGAATGCTTCTGTTTAGTCAGCTGAAATTATCCCGTTTCCAACGAATTCCTCAGAGAGGTCCAAATATGCACTTGCAGATTCTGCAGAAAGTGTGTTTCTAAACTGCTACATCGCAAGGAATGTTCAGCTCTGTGAGTTCCACTCAATCATCCCAAAGAATTTTCTGAGAAAGCTTCTGTCTAGATGTCGTGTGAAGATATACCCGTTTCGAACGAAGGACACAGAGTGGTCCAAATATCCACTTGTAGATCCTGCAAAAAGAGTGTTTCAAACGTGAACTTTGAAAGGAAAGTTCAACTCTGGGATTTGAATGCAAACATCACAAAGAAGATTCTGAGACTGCTTCTGTATAGTTTTTATGTGAAGATGATTCCGTTTCCAACGAAATCTTCAAAGAGGTCTACATGTCCCCTTGCAGATGCCACAGAAAGAGAGTTTCAAAACTGCGCTCTCAAAAGGAGTGTTCAACTCCGTGAGTTGAATGCAGTCATCACAGAGAAGCTTCTGAGAATGCTTCTATCTAGTATTTAGGTGAAGATATTTCCTTTTCCACCACAAACCACAAAGCCCTCCAAACGTCCACTTGCAGATTCTAGAAAAAGAGTGTTTCATAGCTGCTCTTTCCAAAGGAAAGTTCAACTCTGGGAGTTGAATACAAACATCACCAAAAGGTTCCTGAGAATGCATCTGTCTAGTTTTTCTATGAAGCTATTCCCTTTACTACCATAGGCCTCAAAGCGCTCCAAATCTCCACTTGCACATTCCACAACAAGAGTGTTTCCAAACTGCTCTATCAATAGGAATGTTCAACTCTGTGAGGTGAATGCAATCATCACAAAGCAGTTTCTGAGAATGCTTCCGTTTAGTTAGGTGCAGTTATCCCGTTTCCAACGAAATCCTCAGAGAGGTCCAAATATCCACTTGTAGATTCTACAAAAAGTGTGTCTCAAACCTGCTCCATCCAAAGGAATGGTCAGCTCTGTGATTTAAACTCAATCATCACAAAGTATTTTCTGAGAATGCTTCTGTCTAGATTTTATGCGAAGATATACCCGTTTCGAACGAAGGCCACAGAGTGGTCCAAATAGCCACTTGCAGATCCTACAGAAAGAGTGTTTCAAACCTGAACTATCAAAGGAAGGTTCAACTCTGGGATTTGAATGCAAACATCACCAAGAAGTTTCTGAGAATGCTTCTGTTTAGTTTTTATGTGAAGATATTCCCGTTTCCAAAGACATCTTCGGAGAGGTCCACATATCCACTTGCAGGTTCCACAAAAAGAGAGTTTCAACACTGCTCTATCCATAGGAGGGTTCAACTCTGTGAGTTGAATGCAATCATCACAGAGAAGTTTCTGAGAAGGCTTCTCTCCAGTTTTTATGTGACCATAATTCGTTTTCCACCACAGGCCTGAAAGCGCTCCAAATGTCCACTTGCAGACACTACGAAAAGCATGTTTCAGAACTACTCTATGAAAAGCAACGTGAAACTCTGGGAGTTGAACACAAACATCACAGAGAAGTTTCTGAGAATGCTTCTGTTTTAGTTCTGTGCGTTTTATCCCGTTTCCAACGAAATCCTCAGAGAGGCCCAAATATCCACTTGCAGATTCCACAGAAAGAGTGATTGGAAACTGCTGTTTGAAAAGGAACCTTCAACTCTGTGAGTTGAATGCAATCATCACAAAGAAGTTTCTGACAATGCTTCTGTTTTAGTTCTGTGCGGTTTATCCCGTTTCCAACGAAATCCTCAGAGAGGACCAAACATCCACTTGCAGTTTCTACAAAAAGAGTGTTTCAAAGCTGCACTATCAAAGAAAGGTTCAGCACTGTGAGTTGAATGCAAACATCACGAAGAGGGCTCTGAGAATTCTTCTGTTTAGTTCTGTGCGGTTTATCCCGTTTCCAACGAAATCCTCAGAGAGGACCAAATATCCACTTGCAGTTTCTACAAGAAGAGTGTTTCAAAGCTGAACTATCAAAGAAAGGTTCAGCACTGTGAGTTGAATGCAAACATCACGAAGAGGGTTCTGAGAATGCTTCTGTCTTCTTTCTATAGGAAGTTATTTCCTTTACTACGGTAGGCCTCAAAGAAGTGCAATTATCCCCTTGCAGTTTCTACAAAAAGAGTGTTTCAAACCTGAACTATCAAAGAAAGGTTCCACACTGTGAGTTGAATGCAGACATCACGAAGAAGGTTCTGAGAATGCTTCTGTTTAGTCAGCTGAAATTATCCCGTTTCCAACGAATTCCTCAGAGAGGTCCAAATATGCACTTGCAGATTCTGCAGAAAGTGTGTTTCTAAACTGCTACATCGCAAGGAATGTTCAGCTCTGTGAGTTCCACTCAATCATCCCAAAGAATTTTCTGAGAAAGCTTCTGTCTAGATGTCGTGTGAAGATATACCCGTTTCGAACGAAGGACACAGAGTGGTCCAAATATCCACTTGTAGATCCTGCAAAAAGAGTGTTTCAAACGTGAACTTTGAAAGGAAAGTTCAACTCTGGGATTTGAATGCAAACATCACAAAGAAGATTCTGAGACTGCTTCTGTATAGTTTTTATGTGAAGATGATTCCGTTTCCAACGAAATCTTCAAAGAGGTCTACATGTCCCCTTGCAGATGCCACAGAAAGAGAGTTTCAAAACTGCGCTCTCAAAAGGAGTGTTCAACTCCGTGAGTTGAATGCAGTCATCACAGAGAAGCTTCTGAGAATGCTTCTATCTAGTATTTAGGTGAAGATATTTCCTTTTCCACCACAAACCACAAAGCCCTCCAAACGTCCACTTGCAGATTCTAGAAAAAGAGTGTTTCATAGCTGCTCTTTCCAAAGGAAAGTTCAACTCTGGGAGTTGAATACAAACATCACCAAAAAGTTCCTGAGAATGCATCTGTCTAGTTTTTCTATGAAGCTATTCCCTTTACTACCATAGGCCTCAAAGCGCTCCAAATCTCCACTTGCACATTCCACAACAAGAGTGTTTCCAAACTGCTCTATCAATAGGAATGTTCAACTCTGTGAGGTGAATGCAATCATCACAAAGCAGTTTCTGAGAATGCTTCCGTTTAGTTAGGTGCAGTTATCCCGTTTCCAACGAAATCCTCAGAGAGGTCCAAATATCCACTTGTAGATTCTACAAAAAGTGTGTCTCAAACCTGCTCCATCCAAAGGAATGGTCAGCTCTGTGATTTAAACTCAATCATCACAAAGTATTTTCCTGAGAATGCTTCTGTCTAGATTTTATGCGAAGATATACCCGTTTCGAACGAAGGCCACAGAGTGGTCCAAATAGCCACTTGCAGATCCTACAGAAAGAGTGTTTCAAACCTGAACTATCAAAGGAAGGTTCAACTCTGGGATTTGAATGCAAACATCACCAAGAAGTTTCTGAGAATGCTTCTGTTTAGTTTTTATGTGAAGATATTCCCGTTTCCAAAGACATCTTCGGAGAGGTCCACATATCCACTTGCAGATTCCACAAAAAGAGAGTTTCAACACTGCTCTATCCATAGGAGGGTTCAACTCTGTGAGTTGAATGCAATCATCACAGAGAAGTTTCTGAGAAGGCTTCTCTCCAGTTTTTATGTGACCATAATTCGTTTTCCACCACAGGCCTGAAAGCGCTCCAAATGTCCACTTGCAGACACTACGAAAAGCATGTTTCAGAACTGCTCTATGAGAAGCAATGTGACACTCTGGGAGTTGAACACAAACATCACTGAGAAGTTTCTGAGAATGCTTCTGTTTTAGTTCTGTGCGTTTTATCCCGTTTCCAACGAAATCCTCAGAGAGGCCCAAATATCCACTTGCAGATTCCACAGAAAGAGTGATTGGAAACTGCTGTTTGAAAAGGAACCTTCAACTCTGTGAGTTGAATGCAATCATCACAAAGAAGTTTCTGACAATGCTTCTGTTTTAGTTCTGTGCGGTTTATCCCGTTTCCAACGAAATCCTCAGAGAGGACCAAACATCCACTTGCAGTTTCTACAAAAAGAGTGTTTCAAAGCTGCACTATCAAAGAAAGGTTCAGCACTGTGAGTTGAATGCAAACATCACGAAGAGGGCTCTGAGAATTCTTCTGTTTAGTTCTGTGCGGTTTATCCCGTTTCCAACGAAATCCTCAGAGAGGACCAAATATCCACTTGCAGTTTCTACAAGAAGAGTGTTTCAAAGCTGAACTATCAAAGAAAGGTTCAGCACTGTGAGTTGAATGCAAACATCACGAAGAGGGTTCTGAGAATGCTTCTGTCTTCTTTTTATAGGAAGTTATTTCCTTTACTACGGTAGGCCTCAAAGAAGTGCAATTATCCCCTTGCAGTTTCTACAAAAAGAGTGTTTCAAACCTGAACTATCAAAGAAAGGTTCCACACTGTGAGTTGAATGCAGACATCACGAAGAAGGTTCTGAGAATGCTTCTGTTTAGTCAGCTGAAATTATCCCGTTTCCAACGAATTCCTCAGAGAGGTCCAAATATGCACTTGCAGATTCTGCAGAAAGTGTGTTTCTAAACTGCTCCATCGCAAGGAATGTTCAGCTCTGTGAGTTCAACTCAATCATCCCAAAGAATTTTCTGAGAAAGCTTCTGTCTAGATGTCATGTGAAGATATACCCTTTTCGAACGAAGGACACAGAGTGGTCCAAATATCCACTTGTAGATCCTGCAAAAAGAGTGTTTCAAACGTGAACTTTGAAAGGAAAGTTCAACTCTGGGATTTGAATGCAAACATCACAAAGAAGATTCTGAGACTGCTTCTGTATAGTTTTGATGTGAAGATGATTCCGTTTCCAACGAAATCCTCAAAGAGGTCTACATGTCCCCTTGCAGATGCCACAGAAACAGAGTTTCAAAACTGCGCTCTCAAAAGGAGTGTTCAACTCCGTGAGTTGAATGCAGTCATCACAGAGAAGCTTCTGAGAATGCTTCTATCTAGTATTTAGGTGAAGATATTTCCTTTTCCACCACAAACCACAAAGCCCTCCAAACGTCCACTTCCAGATTCTAGAAAAAGAGTGTTTCATAGCTGCTCTTTCCAAAGGAAAGTTCAACTGCTGGGAGTTGAATACAAACATCACCAAAAAGTTCCTGAGAATGCATCTGTCTAGTTTTTCTATGAAGCTATTCCCTTTACTACCATAGGCCTCAAAGCGCTCCAAATCTCCACTTGCACATTCCACAACAAGAGTGTTTCCAAACTGCTCTATCAATAGGAATGTTCAACTCTGGTGAGGTGAATGCAATCATCACAAAGCAGTTTCTGAGAATGCTTCCGTTTAGTTAGGTGCAGTTATCCCGTTTCCAACGAAATCCTCAGAGAGGTCCAAATATCCACTTGTAGATTCTACAAAAAGTGTGTCTCAAACCTGCTCCATCCAAAGGAATGGTCAGCTCTGTGATTTAAACTCAATCATCACAAAGTATTTTCTGAGAATGCTTCTGTCTAGATTTTATGCGAAGATATACCCGTTTCGAACGAAGGCCACAGTAGTGGTCCAAATAGCCACTTGCAGATCCTACAGAAAGAGTGTTTCAAACCTGAACTATCAAAGGAAGGTTCAACTCTGGGATTTGAATGCAAACATCACCAAGAAGTTTCTGAGAATGCTTCTGTTTAGTTTTTATGTGAAGATATTCCCGTTTCCAAAGACATCTTCGGAGAGGTCCACATATCCACTTGCAGATTCCACAAAAAGAGAGTTTCAACACTGCTCTATCCATAGGAGGGTTCAACTCCTGTGAGTTGAATGCAATCATCACAGAGAAGTTTCTGAGAAGGCTTCTCTCCAGTTTTTATGTGACCATAATTCGTTTTCCACCACAGGCCTGAAAGCGCTCCAAATGTCCACTTGTAGACACTACGAAAAGCATGTTTCAGAACTACTCTATGAAAAGCAATGTGAAACTCTGGGAGTTGAACACAAACATCACAGAGAAGTTTCTGAGAATGCTTCTGTTTAGCTTTCCTGTGAAGATTCTCCCGTTTCCAACGAAATCTTCAAAATAGGTCCAAATATCCACTTGCAGATTCCACAGAAAGAGTGATTGGAAACTGCTCTTTGAAAAGGAACCTTCAACTCTGTGAGTTGAATGCAATCATCACAAAGAAGTTTCTGACAATGCTTCTATCTAGCTTTTACGGGAAGATAATTCCTTTTCCACCACAGGCCTCAAAGCCCTCCAAATGTCCACTTGCAGATTCTGGAAAAAGAGTGTTTCAAAGCTTCTCTCTCGAAAGGAAAGTTCAACTCTGTGAGTTGAATGCAAGCATCACAAAGAAGTTTCTGAGAATGCTACTGTCTAGCTTTTATATGAAGCTATTTCCTTTACTACCATAGTCCTCAAAGCATTCCATATCTCCACTTGCAGATTCTACACAAAGAGAGTTTCCAAACTGCTCTGTCAAAGGGAATGTTCAGCTCTGTGACTTCAATGCAATCATCACAAAGTAGTTTCTGAGAATGCTTCTGTTTTAGTTCTGGGCGGTTTATCCTGTTTCCAACGAAATCCTCAGAGAGGCCCACATATCCACTTGCAGATTCTACAAATAGTGTGTTTCGAAACTGCTCCATCCAAAGGAATGTTCAGCTCTGTGAGTTAAACTCAGTCATCACCAAGAGTTTTCTGTGAATGCTTCTGTTTAGTTCTGTGCGGTTTATCCCGTTTCCAACGAAATCCTCAGAGAGGACCAAATATCCACTTGCAGTTTCTACAAGAAGAGTGTTTCAAAACTGAACTATCAAAGAAAGTTTCAGCACTGTGAGTTGAATGCAAACATCACGAAGAGGGTTCTGAGAATGCTTCTGTCTTCTTTCTATAGGAAGTTATTTCCTTTACTACGGTAGGCCTCAAAGAAGTGCAATTATCCCCTTGAGGTTTCTACAAAAAGAGTGTTTCAAACCTGAACTATCAAAGAAAGGTTCCACACTGTGAGTTGAATGCAGACATCACGAAGAAGGTTCTGAGAATGCTTCTGTTTAGTCAGCTGAAATTATCCCGTTTCCAACGAATTCCTCAGAGAGGTCCAAATATGCACTTGCAGATTCTGCAGAAAGTGTGTTTCTAAACTGCTACATCGCAAGGAATGTTCAGCTCTGTGAGTTCCACTCAATCATCCCAAAGAATTTTCTGAGAAAGCTTCTGTCTAGATGTCGTGTGAAGATATACCCGTTTCGAACGAAGGACACAGAGTGGTCCAAATATCCACTTGTAGATCCTGCAAAAAGAGTGTTTCAAACGTGAACTTTGAAAGGAAAGTTCAACTCTGGGATTTGAATGCAAACATCACAAAGAAGATTCTGAGACTGCTTCTGTATAGTTTTTATGTGAAGATGATTCCGTTTCCAACGAAATCTTCAAAGAGGTCTACATGTCCCCTTGCAGATGCCACAGAAAGAGAGTTTCAAAACTGCGCTCTCAAAAGGAGTGTTCAACTCCGTGAGTTGAATGCAGTCATCACAGAGAAGCTTCTGAGAATGCTTCTATCTAGTATTTAGGTGAAGATATTTCCTTTTCCACCACAAACCACAAAGCCCTCCAAACGTCCACTTGCAGATTCTAGAAAAAGAGTGTTTCATAGCTGCTCTTTCCAAAGGAAAGTTCAACTCTGGGAGTTGAATACAAACATCACCAAAAGGTTCCTGAGAATGCATCTGTCTAGTTTTTCTATGAAGCTATTCCCTTTACTACCATAGGCCTCAAAGCGCTCCAAATCTCCACTTGCACATTCCACAACAAGAGTGTTTCCAAACTGCTCTATCAATAGGAATGTTCAACTCTGTGAGGTGAATGCAATCATCACAAAGCAGTTTCTGAGAATGCTTCCGTTTAGTTAGGTGCAGTTATCCCGTTTCCAACGAAATCCTCAGAGAGGTCCAAATATCCACTTGTAGATTCTACAAAAAGTGTGTCTCAAACCTGCTCCATCCAAAGGAATGGTCAGCTCTGTGATTTAAACTCAATCATCACAAAGTATTTTCTGAGAATGCTTCTGTCTAGATATTATGCGAAGATGTACCCGTTTCGAACGAAGGGCCACAGAGTGGTCCAAATATCCACTTGCAGATCCTACAAAAAGAGTGTTTCAAACCTGAACTATCAAAGGAAGGTTCAACTCTGGGATTTGAATGCAAACATCACCAAGAAGTTTCTGAGAATGCTTCTGTTTAGTTTTTATGTGAAGATATTCCCGTTTCCAAAGACATCTTCGGAGAGGTCCACGTATCCACTTGCAGATTCCACAAAAAGAGAGTTTCAACACTGCTCTATCCATAGGAGGGTTCAACTCTGTGAGTTGAATGCAATCATCACAGAGAAGTTTCTGAGAAGGCTTCTCTCCAGTTTTTATGTGACCATAATTCGTTTTCCACCACAGGCCTGAAAGCGCTCCAAATGTCCACTTGTAGACACTACGAAAAGCATGTTTCAGAACTACTCTATGAAAAGCAATGTGAAACTCTGGGAGTTGAACACAAACATCACAGAGAAGTTTCTGAGAATGCTTCTGTTTAGCTTTCCTGTGAAGATTCTCCCGTTTCCAACGAAATCTTCAAAATAGGTCCAAATATCCACTTGCAGATTCCACAGAAAGAGTGATTGGAAACTGCTCTTTGAAAAGGAACCTTCAACTCTGTGAGTTGAATGCAATCATCACAGAGAAGTTTCTGACAATGCTTCTATCTAGCTTTTACGGGAAGATAATTCCTTTTCCACCACAGGCCTCAAAGCCCTCCAAATGTCCACTTGCAGATTCTGGAAAAAGAGTGTTTCAAAGCTTCTCTCTCGAAAGGAAAGTTCAACTCTGTGAGTTGAATGCAAGCATCACAAAGAAGTTTCTGAGAATGCTACTGTCTAGCTTTTATATGAAGCTATTTCCTTTACTACCATAGGCCTCAAAGCGGTCCATATCTCCACTTGCAGATTCTACACAAAGAGAGTTTCCAAACTGCTCTGTCAAAGGGAATGTTCAACTCTGTGACTTGAATGCAATCATCACAAAGTAGTTTCTGAGAATGCTTCTGTTTTAGTTCTGTGCGGTTTATCCCGTTTCCAACGAAATCCTCAGAGAGGCCCAAATATCCACTTGCAGATTCTACAAATAGTGTGTTTCGAAACTGCTCCATCCAAAGGAATGTTCAGCTCTGTGAGTTAAACTCAGTCGTCACCAAGAGTTTTCTGTGAATGCTTCTGTTTTAGTTCTGTGCGGTTTATCCCGTTTCCAACGAAATCCTCAGAGAGGACCAAATATCCACTTGCAGTTTCTACAAAAAGAGTGTTTCAAAGCTGCACTATCAAAGAAAGGTTCAGCACTGTGAGTTGAATGCAAACATCACGAAGAGGGCTCTGAGAATGCTTCCGTTTTAGTTCCGTGCGGTTTATCCCGTTTCCAACGAAATCCTCAGAGAGGACCAAATATCCACTTGCAGTTTCTACAAAAAGAGTGTTTCAAAGCTGCACTATCAAAGAAAGGTTCAGCACTGTGAGTTGAATGCAAACATCACGAAGAGGGTTCTGAGAACGCTTCTGTTTAGTTCTCTGCGGTTTATCCCGTTTCCAACGAAATCCTCAGAGAGGACCAAATATCCACTTGCAGTTTCTACAAGAAGAGTGTTTCAAAGCTGAACTATCAAAGAAAGGTTCAGCACTGTGAGTTGAATGCAAACATCACGAAGAGGGTTCTGAGAATGCTTCTGTCTTCTTTCTATAGGAAGTTATTTCCTTTACTACGGTAGGCCTCAAAGAAGTGCAATTATCCCCTTGCAGTTTCTACAAAAAGAGTGTTTCAAACCTGAACTATCAAAGAAAGGTTCCACACTGTGAGTTGAATGCAGACATCACGAAGAAGGTTCTGAGAATGCTTCTGTTTAGTCAGCTGAAATTATCCCGTTTCCAACGAATTCCTCAGAGAGGTCCAAATATGCACTTGCAGATTCTGCAGAAAGTGTGTTTCTAAACTGCTACATCGCAAGGAATGTTCAGCTCTGTGAGTTCCACTCAATCATTCCAAAGAATTTTCTTAGAAAGCTTCTGTCTAGATGTCGTGTGAAGATATACCCGTCTCGAACGAAGGACACAGAGTGGTCCAAATATCCACTTGTAGATCCTGCAAAAAGAGTGTTTCAAACGTGAACTTTGAAAGGAAAGTTCAACTCTGGGATTTGAATGCAAACATCACAAAGAAGATTCTGAGACTGCTTCTGTATAGTTTTTATGTGAAGATGATTCCGTTTCCAACGAAATCTTCAAAGAGGTCTACATGTCCCCTTGCAGATGCCACAGAAAGAGAGTTTCAAAACTGCGCTCTCAAAAGGAGTGTTCAACTCCGTGAGTTGAATGCAGTCATCACAGAGAAGCTTCTGAGAATGCTTCTATCTAGTATTTAGGTGAAGATATTTCCTTTTCCACCACAAACCACAAAGCCCTCCAAACGTCCACTTGCAGATTCTAGAAAAAGAGTGTTTCATAGCTGCTCTTTCCAAAGGAAAGTTCAACTCTGGGAGTTGAATACAAACATCACCAAAAAGTTCCTGAGAATGCATCTGTCTAGTTTTTCTATGAAGCTATTCCCTTTACTACCATAGGCCTCAAAGCGCTCCAAATCTCCACTTGCACATTCCACAACAAGAGTGTTTCCAAACTGCTCTATCAATAGGAATGTTCAACTCTGTGAGGTGAATGCAATCATCACAAAGCAGTTTCTGAGAATGCTTCCGTTTAGTTAGGTGCAGTTATCCCGTTTCCAACGAAATCCTCAGAGAGGTCCAAATATCCACTTGTAGATTCTACAAAAAGTGTGTCTCAAACCTGCTCCATCCAAAGGAATGGTCAGCTCTGTGATTTAAACTCAATCATCACAAAGTATTTTCTGAGAATGCTTCTGTCTAGATTTTATGCGAAGATATACCCGTTTCGAACGAAGGCCACAGAGTGGTCCAAATAGCCACTTGCAGATCCTACAGAAAGAGTGTTTCAAACCTGAACTATCAAAGGAAGGTTCAACTCTGGGATTTGAATGCAAACATCACCAAGAAGTTTCTGAGAATGCTTCTGTTTAGTTTTTATGTGAAGATATTCCCGTTTCCAAAGACATCTTCGGAGAGGTCCACATATCCACTTGCAGGTTCCACAAAAAGAGAGTTTCAACACTGCTCTATCCATAGGAGGGTTCAACTCTGTGAGTTGAATGCAATCATCACAGAGAAGTTTCTGAGAAGGCTTCTCTCCAGTTTTTATGTGACCATAATTCGTTTTCCACCACAGGCCTGAAAGCGCTCCAAATGTCCACTTGCAGACACTACGAAAAGCATGTTTCAGAACTACTCTATGAAAAGCAACGTGAAACTCTGGGAGTTGAACACAAACATCACAGAGAAGTTTCTGAGAATGCTTCTGTTTTAGTTCTGTGCGTTTTATCCCGTTTCCAACGAAATCCTCAGAGAGGCCCAAATATCCACTTGCAGATTCCACAGAAAGAGTGATTGGAAACTGCTGTTTGAAAAGGAACCTTCAACTCTGTGAGTTGAATGCAATCATCACAAAGAAGTTTCTGACAATGCTTCTGTTTTAGTTCTGTGCGGTTTATCCCGTTTCCAACGAAATCCTCAGAGAGGACCAAACATCCACTTGCAGTTTCTACAAAAAGAGTGTTTCAAAGCTGCACTATCAAAGAAAGGTTCAGCACTGTGAGTTGAATGCAAACATCACGAAGAGGGCTCTGAGAATTCTTCTGTTTAGTTCTGTGCGGTTTATCCCGTTTCCAACGAAATCCTCAGAGAGGACCAAATATCCACTTGCAGTTTCTACAAGAAGAGTGTTTCAAAGCTGAACTATCAAAGAAAGGTTCAGCACTGTGAGTTGAATGCAAACATCACGAAGAGGGTTCTGAGAATGCTTCTGTCTTCTTTCTATAGGAAGTTATTTCCTTTACTACGGTAGGCCTCAAAGAAGTGCAATTATCCCCTTGCAGTTTCTACAAAAAGAGTGTTTCAAACCTGAACTATCAAAGAAAGGTTCCACACTGTGAGTTGAATGCAGACATCACGAAGAAGGTTCTGAGAATGCTTCTGTTTAGTCAGCTGAAATTATCCCGTTTCCAACGAATTCCTCAGAGAGGTCCAAATATGCACTTGCAGATTCTGCAGAAAGTGTGTTTCTAAACTGCTACATCGCAAGGAATGTTCAGCTCTGTGAGTTCCACTCAATCATCCCAAAGAATTTTCTGAGAAAGCTTCTGTCTAGATGTCGTGTGAAGATATACCCGTTTCGAACGAAGGACACAGAGTGGTCCAAATATCCACTTGTAGATCCTGCAAAAAGAGTGTTTCAAACGTGAACTTTGAAAGGAAAGTTCAACTCTGGGATTTGAATGCAAACATCACAAAGAAGATTCTGAGACTGCTTCTGTATAGTTTTTATGTGAAGATGATTCCGTTTCCAACGAAATCTTCAAAGAGGTCTACATGTCCCCTTGCAGATGCCACAGAAAGAGAGTTTCAAAACTGCGCTCTCAAAAGGAGTGTTCAACTCCGTGAGTTGAATGCAGTCATCACAGAGAAGCTTCTGAGAATGCTTCTATCTAGTATTTAGGTGAAGATATTTCCTTTTCCACCACAAACCACAAAGCCCTCCAAACGTCCACTTGCAGATTCTAGAAAAAGAGTGTTTCATAGCTGCTCTTTCCAAAGGAAAGTTCAACTCTGGGAGTTGAATACAAACATCACCAAAAAGTTCCTGAGAATGCATCTGTCTAGTTTTTCTATGAAGCTATTCCCTTTACTACCACAGGCCTCAAAGCGCTCCAAATCTCCACTTGCACATTCCGCAACAAGAGTGTTTCCAAACTGCTCTATCAATAGGAATGTTCAACTCTGTGAGGTGAATGCAATCATCACAAAGCAGTTTCTGAGAATGCTTCCGTTTAGTTAGGTGCAGTTATCCCGTTTCCAACGAAATCCTCAGAGAGGTCCAAATATCCACTTGTAGATTCTACAAAAAGTGTGTCTCAAACCTGCTCCATCCAAAGGAATGGTCAGCTCTGTGATTTAAACTCAATCATCACAAAGTATTTTCTGAGAATGCTTCTGTCTAGATTTTATGCGAAGATATACCCGTTTCGAACGAAGGCCACAGAGTGGTCCAAATAGCCACTTGCAGATCCTACAGAAAGAGTGTTTCAAACCTGAACTATCAAAGGAAGGTTCAACTCTGGGATTTGAATGCAAACATCACCAAGAAGTTTCTGAGAATGCTTCTGTTTAGTTTTTATGTGAAGATATTCCCGTTTCCAAAGACATCTTCGGAGAGGTCCACATATCCACTTGCAGGTTCCACAAAAAGAGAGTTTCAACACTGCTCTATCCATAGGAGGGTTCAACTCTGTGAGTTGAATGCAATCATCACAGAGAAGTTTCTGAGAAGGCTTCTCTCCAGTTTTTATGTGACCATAATTCGTTTTCCACCACAGGCCTGAAAGCGCTCCAAATGTCCACTTGCAGACACTACGAAAAGCATGTTTCAGAACTACTCTATGAAAAGCAACGTGAAACTCTGGGAGTTGAACACAAACATCACAGAGAAGTTTCTGAGAATGCTTCTGTTTTAGTTCTGTGCGTTTTATCCCGTTTCCAACGAAATCCTCAGAGAGGCCCAAATATCCACTTGCAGATTCCACAGAAAGAGTGATTGGAAACTGCTGTTTGAAAAGGAACCTTCAACTCTGTGAGTTGAATGCAATCATCACAAAGAAGTTTCTGACAATGCTTCTGTTTTAGTTCTGTGCGGTTTATCCCGTTTCCAACGAAATCCTCAGAGAGGACCAAATATCCACTTGCAGTTTCTACAAAAAGAGTGTTTCAAAGCTGCACTATCAAAGAAAGGTTCAGCACTGTGAGTTGAATGCAAGCATCACGAAGAGGGCTCTGAGAATTCTTCTGTTTAGTTCTGTGCGGTTTATCCCGTTTCCAACGAAATCCTCAGAGAGGACCAAATATCCACTTGCAGTTTCTACAAGAAGAGTGTTTCAAAGCTGAACTATCAAAGAAAGGTTCAGCACTGTGAGTTGAATGCAAACATCACGAAGAGGGTTCTGAGAATGCTTCTGTCTTCTTTCTATAGGAAGTTATTTCCTTTACTACGGTAGGCCTCAAAGAAGTGCAATTATCCCCTTGCAGTTTCTACAAAAAGAGTGTTGCAAACCTGAACTATCAAAGAAAGGTTCCACACTGTGAGTTGAATGCAGACATCACGAAGAAGGTTCTGAGAATGCTTCTGTTTAGTCAGCTGAAATTATCCCGTTTCCAACGAATTCCTCAGAGAGGTCCAAATATGCACTTGCAGATTCTGCAGAAAGTGTGTTTCTAAACTGCTACATCGCAAGGAATGTTCAGCTCTGTGAGTTCCACTCAATCATCCCAAAGAATTTTCTGAGAAAGCTTCTGTCTAGATGTCGTGTGAAGATATACCCGTTTCGAACGAAGGACACAGAGTGGTCCAAATATCCACTTGTAGATCCTGCAAAAAGAGTGTTTCAAACGTGAACTTTGAAAGGAAAGTTCAACTCTGGGATTTGAATGCAAACATCACAAAGAAGATTCTGAGACTGCTTCTGTATAGTTTTTATGTGAAGATGATTCCGTTTCCAACGAAATCTTCAAAGAGGTCTACATGTCCCCTTGCAGATGCCACAGAAAGAGAGTTTCAAAACTGCGCTCTCAAAAGGAGTGTTCAACTCCGTGAGTTGAATGCAGTCATCACAGAGAAGCTTCTGAGAATGCTTCTATCTAGTATTTAGGTGAAGATATTTCCTTTTCCACCACAAACCACAAAGCCCTCCAAACGTCCACTTGCAGATTCTAGAAAAAGAGTGTTTCATAGCTGCTCTTTCCAAAGGAAAGTTCAACTCTGGGAGTTGAATACAAACATCACCAAAAAGTTCCTGAGAATGCATCTGTCTAGTTTTTCTATGAAGCTATTCCCTTTACTACCATAGGCCTCAAAGCGCTCCAAATCTCCACTTGCACATTCCACAACAAGAGTGTTTCCAAACTGCTCTATCAATAGGAATGTTCAACTCTGTGAGGTGAATGCAATCATCACAAAGCAGTTTCTGAGAATGCTTCCGTTTAGTTAGGTGCAGTTATCCCGTTTCCAACGAAATCCTCAGAGAGGTCCAAATATCCACTTGTAGATTCTACAAAAAGTGTGTCTCAAACCTGCTCCATCCAAAGGAATGGTCAGCTCTGTGATTTAAACTCAATCATCACAAAGTATTTTCTGAGAATGCTTCTGTCTAGATTTTATGCGAAGATATACCCGTTTCGAACGAAGGCCACAGAGTGGTCCAAATAGCCACTTGCAGATCCTACAGAAAGAGTGTTTCAAACCTGAACTATCAAAGGAAGGTTCAACTCTGGGATTTGAATGCAAACATCACCAAGAAGTTTTCTGAGAATGCTTCTGTTTAGTTTTTATGTGAAGATATTCCCGTTTCCAAAGACATCTTCGGAGAGGTCCACATATCCACTTGCAGATTCCACAAAAAGAGAGTTTCAACACTGCTCTATCCATAGGAGGGTTCAACTCTGTGAGTTGAATGCAATCATCACAGAGAAGTTTCTGAGAAGGCTTCTCTCCAGTTTTTATGTGACCATAATTCGTTTTCCACCACAGGCCTGAAAGCGCTCCAAATGTCCACTTGCAGACACTACGAAAAGCATGTTTCAGAACTACTCTATGAAAAGCAACGTGAAACTCTGGGAGTTGAACACAAACATCACAGAGAAGTTTCTGAGAATGCTTCTGTTTTAGTTCTGTGCGTTTTATCCCGTTTCCAACGAAATCCTCAGAGAGGCCCAAATATCCACTTGCAGATTCCACAGAAAGAGTGATTGGAAACTGCTGTTTGAAAAGGAACCTTCAACTCTGTGAGTTGAATGCAATCATCACAAAGAAGTTTCTGACAATGCTTCTGTTTTAGTTCTGTGCGGTTTATCCCGTTTCCAACGAAATCCTCAGAGAGGACCAAACATCCACTTGCAGTTTCTACAAAAAGAGTGTTTCAAAGCTGCACTATCAAAGAAAGGTTCAGCACTGTGAGTTGAATGCAAACATCACGAAGAGGGCTCTGAGAATTCTTCTGTTTAGTTCTGTGCGGTTTATCCCGTTTCCAACGAAATCCTCAGAGAGGACCAAATATCCACTTGCAGTTTCTACAAAAAGAGTGTTTCAAAGCTGCACTATCAAAGAAAGGTTCAGCACTGTGCGTTGAATGCAAACATCACGAAGAGGGTTCTGAGAATGCTTCTGTCTTCTTTCTATAGGAAGTTATTTCCTTTACTACGGTAGGCCTCAAAGAAGTGCAATTATCCCCTTGCAGTTTCTACAAAAAGAGTGTTTCAAACCTGAACTATCAAAGAAAGGTTCCACACTGTGAGTTGAATGCAGACATCACGAAGAAGGTTCTGAGAATGCTTCTGTTTAGTCAGCTGAAATTATCCCGTTTCCAACGAATTCCTCAGAGAGGTCCAAATATGCACTTGCAGATTCTGCAGAAAGTGTGTTTCTAAACTGCTACATCGCAAGGAATGTTCAGCTCTGTGAGTTCCACTCAATCATCCCAAAGAATTTTCTGAGAAAGCTTCTGTCTAGATGTCGTGTGAAGATATACCCGTTTCGAACGAAGGACACAGGAGTGGTCCAAATATCCACTTGTAGATCCTGCAAAAAGAGTGTTTCAAACGTGAACTTTGAAAGGAAAGTTCAACTCTGGGATTTGAATGCAAACATCACAAAGAAGATTCTGAGACTGCTCTGTATAGTTTTTATGTGAAGATGATTCCGTTTCCAACGAAATCTTCAAAGAGGTCTACATGTCCCCTTGCAGATGCCACAGAAAGAGAGTTTCAAAACTGCGCTCTCAAAAGGAGTGTTCAACTCCGTGAGTTGAATGCAGTCATCACAGAGAAGCTTCTGAGAATGCTTTCTATCTAGTATTTAGGTGAAGATATTTCCTTTTCCACCACAAACCACAAAGCCCTCCAAACGTCCACTTGCAGATTCTAGAAAAAGAGTGTTTCATAGCTGCTCTTTCCAAAGGAAAGTTCAACTCTGGGAGTTGAATACAAACATCACCAAAAAGTTCCTGAGAATGCATCTGTCTAGTTTTTCTATGAAGCTATTCCCTTTACTACCATAGGCCTCAAAGCGCTCCAAATCTCCACTTGCACATTCCACAACAAGAGTGTTTCCAAACTGCTCTATCAATAGGAATGTTCAACTCTGTGAGGTGAATGCAATCATCACAAAGCAGTTTCTGAGAATGCTTCCGTTTAGTTAGGTGCAGTTATCCCGTTTCCAACGAAATCCTCAGAGAGGTCCAAATATCCACTTGTAGATTCTACAAAAAGTGTGTCTCAAACCTGCTCCATCCAAAGGAATGGTCAGCTCTGTGATTTAAACTCAATCATCACAAAGTATTTTCTGAGAATGCTTCTGTCTAGATTTTATGCGAAGATATACCCGTTTCGAACGAAGGCCACAGAGTGGTCCAAATAGCCACTTGCAGATCCTACAGAAAGAGTGTTTCAAACCTGAACTATCAAAGGAAGGTTCAACTCTGGGATTTGAATGCAAACATCACCAAGAAGTTTCTGAGAATGCTTCTGTTTAGTTTTTATGTGAAGATATTCCCGTTTCCAAAGACATCTTCGGAGAGGTCCACATATCCACTTGCAGATTCCACAAAAAGAGAGTTTCAACACTGCTCTATCCATAGGAGGGTTCAACTCTGTGAGTTGAATGCAATCATCACAGAGAAGTTTCTGAGAAGGCTT
This sequence comes from Homo sapiens, assembly GCF_000001405.40. Classification (NCBI taxonomy): domain Eukaryota; kingdom Metazoa; phylum Chordata; class Mammalia; order Primates; family Hominidae; genus Homo; species Homo sapiens. The sequence goes on along the minus strand of NC_000017.11, from coordinate 23,657,874 downwards.
CTCTCCAGTTTTTATGTGACCATAATTCGTTTTCCACCACAGGCCTGAAAGCGCTCCAAATGTCCACTTGCAGACACTACGAAAAGCATGTTTCAGAACTACTCTATGAAAAGCAACGGTGAAACTCTGGGAGTTGAACACAAACATCACAGAGAAGTTTCTGAGAATGCTTCTGTTTTAGTTCTGTGCGTTTTATCCCGTTTCCAACGAAATCCTCAGAGAGGCCCAAATATCCACTTGCAGATTCCACAGAAAGAGTGATTGGAAACTGCTGTTTGAAAAGGAACCTTCAACTCTGTGAGTTGAATGCAATCATCACAAAGAAGTTTCTGACAATGCTTCTGTTTTAGTTCTGTGCGGTTTATCCCGTTTCCAACGAAATCCTCAGAGAGGACCAAACATCCACTTGCAGTTTCTACAAAAAGAGTGTTTCAAAGCTGCACTATCAAAGAAAGGTTCAGCACTGTGAGTTGAATGCAAACATCACGAAGAGGGCTCTGAGAATTCTTCTGTCTTCTTTTTATAGGAAGTTATTTCCTTTACTACGGTACTCCTCAAAGAGTGCAATGATCCCCTTGCAGTTTCTACGAAAAGAGTGTTTCAAACCTGAACTATCAAAGAAAGGTTCTACACTGTGAGTTGAACGCAGACATCACGAAGAAGGTTCTGAGAATGCTTCTGTTTGGTCAGCTGAAATTATCCCGTTTCCAACGAATTCCTCAGAGAGGTCCAAATATGCACTTGCAGATTCTGCAGAAAGTGTGTTTCTAAACTGCTACATCGCAAGGAATGCTCAGCTCTGTGAGTTCAACTCAATCATCCCAAAGAATTTTCTGAGAAAGCTTCTGTCTAGATGTCATGTGAAGATATACCTGTTTCGAACGAAGGACACAGAGTGGTCCAAATATCCACTTGTAGATCCTGCAAAAAGAGTGTTTCAAACGTGAACTTTGAAAGGAAAGTTCAACTCGGGGATTTGAATGCAAACATCACAAAGAAGATTCTGAGACTGCTTCTGTATAGTTTTTATGTGAAGATGATTCCGTTTCCAACGAAATCTTCAAAGAGTTCTACATGTCCCCTTGCAGATGCCACAGAAAGAGAGTTTCAAAACTGCGCTCTCAAAAGGAGTGTTCAACTCCGTGAGTTGAATGCAGTCATCACAGAGAAGCTTCTGAGGATGCTTCTATCTAGTATTTAGGTGAAGATATTTCCTTTTCCACCACAAACCACAAAGCCCTCCAAACGTCCACTTGCAGATTCTAGAAAAAGAGTGTTTCATAGCTGCTCTTTCCAAAGGAAAGTTCAACTCTGGGAGTTGAATACAAACATCACCAAAAAGTTCCTGAGAATGCATCTGTCTAGTTTTTCTATGAAGCTATTCCCTTTACTACCATAGGCCTCAAAGCGCTCCAAATCTCCACTTGCACATTCCACAACAAGAGTGTTTCCAAACTGCTCTATCAATAGGAATGTTCAACTCTGTGAGGTGAATGCAATCATCACAAAGCAGTTTCTGAGAATGCTTCCGTTTAGTTAGGTGCAGTTATCCCGTTTCCAACGAAATCCTCAGAGAGGTCCAAATATCCACTTGTAGATTCTACAAAAAGTGTGTCTCAAACCTGCTCCATCCAAAGGAATGGTCAGCTCTGTGATTTAAACTCAATCATCACAAAGTATTTTCTGAGAATGCTTCTGTCTAGATTTTATGCGAAGATATACCCGTTTCGAACGAAGGCCACAGTAGTGGTCCAAATAGCCACTTGCAGATCCTACAGAAAGAGTGTTTCAAACCTGAACTATCAAAGGAAGGTTCAACTCTGGGATTTGAATGCAAACATCACCAAGAAGTTTCTGAGAATGCTTCTGTTTAGTTTTTATGTGAAGATATTCCCGTTTCCAAAGACATCTTCGGAGAGGTCCACATATCCACTTGCAGATTCCACAAAAAGAGAGTTTCAACACTGCTCTATCCATAGGAGGGTTCAACTCCTGTGAGTTGAATGCAATCATCACAGAGAAGTTTCTGAGAAGGCTTCTCTCCAGTTTTTATGTGACCATAATTCGTTTTCCACCACAGGCCTGAAAGCGCTCCAAATGTCCACTTGCAGACACTACGAAAAGCATGTTTCAGAACTACTCTATGAAAAGCAACGTGAAACTCTGGGAGTTGAACACAAACATCACAGAGAAGTTTCTGAGAATGCTTCTGTTTTAGTTCTGTGCGTTTTATCCCGTTTCCAACGAAATCCTCAGAGAGGCCCAAATATCCACTTGCAGATTCCACAGAAAGAGTGATTGGAAACTGCTGTTTGAAAAGGAACCTTCAACTCTGTGAGTTGAATGCAATCATCACAAAGAAGTTTCTGACAATGCTTCTGTTTTAGTTCTGTGCGGTTTATCCCGTTTCCAATGAAATCCTCAGAGAGGACCAAACATCCACTTGCAGTTTCTACAAAAAGAGTGTTTCAAAGCTGCACTATCAAAGAAAGGTTCAGCACTGTGAGTTGAATGCAAACATCACGAAGAGGGCTCTGAGAATTCTTCTGTTTAGTTCTGTGCGGTTTATCCCGTTTCCAACGAAATCCTCAGAGAGGACCAAATATCCACTTGCAGTTTCTACAAGAAGAGTGTTTCAAAGCTGAACTATCAAAGAAAGGTTCAGCACTGTGAGTTGAATGCAAACATCACGAAGAGGGTTCTGAGAATGCTTCTGTCTTCTTTCTATAGGAAGTTATTTCCTTTACTACGGTAGGCCTCAAAGAAGTGCAATTATCCCCTTGCAGTTTCTACAAAAAGAGTGTTTCAAACCTGAACTATCAAAGAAAGGTTCCACACTGTGAGTTGAATGCAGACATCACGAAGAAGGTTCTGAGAATGCTTCTGTTTAGTCAGCTGAAATTATCCCGTTTCCAACGAATTCCTCAGAGAGGTCCAAATATGCACTTGCAGATTCTGCAGAAAGTGTGTTTCTAAACTGCTCCATCGCAAGGAATGTTCAGCTCTGTGAGTTCCACTCAATCATCCCAAAGAATTTTCTGAGAAAGCTTCTGTCTAGATGTCGTGTGAAGATATACCCGTTTCGAACGAAGGACACAGAGTGGTCCAAATATCCACTTGTAGATCCTGCAAAAAGAGTGTTTCAAACGTGAACTTTGAAAGGAAAGTTCAACTCTGGGATTTGAATGCAAACATCACAAAGAAGATTCTGAGACTGCTTCTGTATAGTTTTTATGTGAAGATGATTCCGTTTCCAACGAAATCTTCAAAGAGGTCTACATGTCCCCTTGCAGATGCCACAGAAAGAGAGTTTCAAAACTGCGCTCTCAAAAGGAGTGTTCAACTCCGTGAGTTGAATGCAGTCATCACAGAGAAGCTTCTGAGAATGCTTCTATCTAGTATTTAGGTGAAGATATTTCCTTTTCCACCACAAACCACAAAGCCCTCCAAACGTCCACTTGCAGATTCTAGAAAAAGAGTGTTTCATAGCTGCTCTTTCCAAAGGAAAGTTCAACTCTGGGAGTTGAATACAAACATCACCAAAAAGTTCCTGAGAATGCATCTGTCTAGTTTTTCTATGAAGCTATTCCCTTTACTACCACAGGCCTCAAAGCGCTCCAAATCTCCACTTGCACATTCCACAACAAGAGTGTTTCCAAACTGCTCTATCAATAGGAATGTTCAACTCTGTGAGGTGAATGCAATCATCACAAAGCAGTTTCTGAGAATGCTTCCGTTTAGTTAGGTGCAGTTATCCCGTTTCCAACGAAATCCTCAGAGAGGTCCAAATATCCACTTGTAGATTCTACAAAAAGTGTGTCTCAAACCTGCTCCATCCAAAGGAATGGTCAGCTCTGTGATTTAAACTCAATCATCACAAAGTATTTTCTGAGAATGCTTCTGTCTAGATTTTATGCGAAGATATACCCGTTTCGAACGAAGGCCACAGAGTGGTCCAAATAGCCACTTGCAGATCCTACAGAAAGAGTGTTTCAAACCTGAACTATCAAAGGAAGGTTCAACTCTGGGATTTGAATGCAAACATCACCAAGAAGTTTCTGAGAATGCTTCTGTTTAGTTTTTATGTGAAGATATTCCCGTTTCCAAAGACATCTTCGGAGAGGTCCACATATCCACTTGCAGATTCCACAAAAAGAGAGTTTCAACACTGCTCTATCCATAGGAGGGTTCAACTCTGTGAGTTGAATGCAATCATCACAGAGAAGTTTCTGAGAAGGCTTCTCTCCAGTTTTTATGTGACCATAATTCGTTTTCCACCACAGGCCTGAAAGCGCTCCAAATGTCCACTTGCAGACACTACGAAAAGCATGTTTCAGAACTACTCTATGAAAAGCAACGTGAAACTCTGGGAGTTGAACACAAACATCACAGAGAAGTTTCTGAGAATGCTTCTGTTTAGCTTTTCTGTGAAGATTCTCCCGTTTCCAACGAAATCTTCAAAGAGGTCGAAATATCCACTTGCAGATTCCACAGAAAGAGTGATTGTAAACTGCTGTTTGAAAAGGAACCTTCAACTCTGTGAGTTGAATGCAATCATCACAAAGAAGTTTCTGACAATGCTTCTATCTAGCTTTTACGGGAAGATAATTCCTTTTCCACCACAGGCCTCAAAGCTCCCCAAATGTCCACTTGCACATTCTGGAAAAAGAGTGTTTCAAAGCTTCTCTCTCGAAAGGAAAGTTCAACTCTGTGAGTTGAATGCAAGCATCACAAAGAAGTTTCTGAGAATGCTACTGTCTAGCTTTTATATGAAGCTATTTCCTTTACTACCATAGGCCTCAAAGTGGTCCATATCTCCACTTGCAGATTCTACACAAAGAGAGTTTCCAAACTGCTCTGTCAAAGGGAATGTTCAACTCTGTGACTTGAATGCAATCATCACAAAGTAGTTTCTGAGAATGCTTCTGTTTTAGTTCTGTGCGTTTTATCCCGTTTCCAACGAAATCCTCAGAGAGGCCCAAATATCCACTTGCAGATTCTACAAATAGTGTGTTTCGAAACTGCTCCATCCAAAGGAATGTTCAGCTCTGTGAGTTAAACTCAGTCGTCACCAAGAGTTTTCTGTGAATGCTTCTGTTTTAGTTCTGTGCGGTTTATCCCGTTTCCAACGAAATCTTCAGAGAGGACCAAATATCCACTTGCAGTTTCTACAAAAAGAGTGTTTCAAAGCTGCACTATCAAAGAAAGGTTCAGCACTGTGAGTTGAATGCAAACACCACGAAGAGGGCTCTGAGAATTCTTCTGTTTAGTTCTGTGCGGTTTATCCCGTTTCCAACGAAATCCTCAGAGAGGACCAAATATCCACTTGCAGTTTCTACAAGAAGAGTGTTTCAAAGCTGAACTATCAAAGAAAGGTTCAGCACTGTGAGTTGAATGCAAACATCACGAAGAGGGTTCTGAGAATGCTTCTGTCTTCTTTTTATAGGAAGTTATTTCCTTTACTACGGTAGGCCTCAAAGCAGTGCAATTATCCCCTTGCAGTTTCTACAAAAAGAGTGTTTCAAACCTGAACTATCAAAGAAAGGTTCCACACTGTGAGTTGAATGCAGACATCACGAAGAAGGTTCTGAGAATGCTTCTGTTTAGTCAGCTGAAATTATCCCGTTTCCAACGAATTCCTCAGAGAGGTCCAAATATGCACTTGCAGATTCTGCAGAAAGTGTGTTTCTAAACTGCTACATCGCAAGGAATGTTCAGCTCTGTGAGTTCAACTCAATCATCCCAAAGAATTTTCTGAGAAAGCTTCTGCCTAGATGTCGTGTGAAGATATACCCGTTTCGAACGAAGGACACAGAGTGGTCCAAATATCCACTTGTAGATCCTGCAAAAAGAGTGTTTCAAACGTGAACTTTGAAAGGAAAGTTCAACTCTGGGATTTGAATGCAAACATCACAAAGAAGATTCTGAGACTACTTCTGTATAGTTTTTATGTGAAGATGATTCCGTTTCCAACGAAATCTTCAAAGAGGTCTACATGTCCCCTTGCAGATGCCACAGAAAGGGAGTTTCAAAACTGCGCTCTCAAAAGGAGTGTTCAACTCCGTGAGTTGAATGCAGTCATCACAGAGAAGCTTCTGAGAAAGCTTCTATCTAGTATTTAGGTGAAGATATTTCCTTTTCCACCACAAACCACAAAGCCCTCCAAACGTCCACTTGCAGATTCTAGAAAAAGAGTGTTTCATAGCTGCTCTTTCCAAAGGAAAGTTCAACTCTGGGAGTTGAATACAAACATCACCAAAAAGTTCCTGAGAATGCATCTGTCTAGTTTTTCTATGAAGCTATTCCCTTTACTACCATAGGCCTCAAAGCGCTCCAAATCTCCACTTGCACATTCCACAACAAGAGTGTTTCCAAACTGCTCTATCAATAGGAATGTTCAACTCTGTGAGGTGAATGCAATCATCACAAAGCAGTTTCTGAGAATGCTTCCGTTTAGTTAGGTGCAGTTATCCCGTTTCCAACGAAATCCTCAGAGAGGTCCAAATATCCACTTGTAGATTCTACAAAAAGTGTGTCTCAAACCTGCTCCATCCAAAGGAATGGTCAGCTCTGTGATTTAAACTCAATCATCACAAAGTATTTTCTGAGAATGCTTCTGTCTAGATTTTATGCGAAGATATACCCGTTTCGAACGAAGGCCACAGAGTGGTCCAAATAGCCACTTGCAGATCCTACAGAAAGAGTGTTTCAAACCTGAACTATCAAAGGAAGGTTCAACTCTGGGATTTGAATGCAAACATCACCAAGAAGTTTCTGAGAATGCTTCTGTTTAGTTTTTATGTGAAGATATTCCCGTTTCCAAAGACATCTTCGGAGAGGTCCATATATCCGCTTGCAGATTCCACAAAAAGAGAGTTTCAACACTGCTCTATCCATAGGAGGGTTCAACTCTGTGAGTTGAATGCAATCATCACAGAGAAGTTTCTGAGAAGGCTTCTCTCCAGTTTTCATGTGACCATAATTCGTTTTCCACCACAGGCCTGAAAGCGCTCCAAATGTCCACTTGCAGACACTACGAAAAGCATGTTTCAGAACTACTCTATGAGAAGCAATGTGAAACTCTGGGAGTTGAACACAAACATCACAGAGAAGTTTCTGAGAATGCTTCTGTTTAGCTTTTCTGTGAAGATTCTCCCGTTTCCAACGAAATCTTCAAAGAGGTCCAAATATCCACTTGCAGATTCCACAGAAAGAGTGATTGGAAACTGCTCTTTGAAAAGGAACCTTCAACTCTGTGACTTGAATGCAATCATCACAAAGAAGTTTCTGACAATGCTTCTATCTAGCTTTTACGGGAAGATAATTCCTTTTCCACCACAGGCCTCAAAGCCCTCCAAATGTCCACTTGCAGATTCTGGAAAAAGACTGTTTCAAAGCTTCTCTCTCGAAAGGAAAGTTCAACTCTGTGAGTTGAATGCAAGCATCACAAAGAAGTTTCTGAGAATGCTACTGTCTAGCTTTTATATGAAGCTATTTCCTTTACTACCATAGGCCTCAAAGCGGTCCATATCTCCACTTGCAGATTCTACACAAAGAGAGTTTCCAAACTGCTCTGTCAAAGGGAATGTTCAACTCTGTGACTTGAATGAAATCATCACAAAGTAGTTTCTGAGAATGCTTCTGTTTAGTTCTGTGCGGTTTATCCCGTTTCCAACGAAATCCTCAGAGAGGCCCACATATCCACTTGCACATTCTACAAATAGTGTGTTTCGAAACTGCTCCATCCAAAGGAATGTTCAGCTCTGTGAGTTAAACTCAGTCGTCACCAAGAGTTTTCTGTGAATGCTTCTGTTTTAGTTCTGTGCGGGTTATCCCGTTTCCAACGAAATCCTCAGAGAGGTCCAAATATCTACTTGCAGTTTCTACAGAAAGACCGTTTCAAACCTGAACTATCAAAGAAAGGTTCAACACTGTGAGTTGAATGCAAACATCACGAAGAAGGTTCCTGAGAATGCTTCTGTTTAGTTCTGTGCAGTTTATCCCGTTTCCAACGAAATCCTCAGAGAGGACCAAATATCCACTTGCAGTTTCTACAAAAAGAGTGTTTCAAAGCTGAACTATCAAAGAAAGGTTCAGCACTGTGAGTTGAATGCAAACATCACGAAGAGGGTTCTGAGAATGCTTCTGTCTTCTTTTTATAGGAAGTTATTTCCTTTACTACGGTACTCCTCAAAGAGTGCAATTATCCCCTTGCAGTTTCTACAGAAAGAGTGTTTCAAACCTGAACTATCAAAGAAAGGTTCCACACTGTGAGTTGAATGCAGACATCACGAAGAAGGTTCTGAGAATGCTTCTGTTTAGTCAGCTGAAATTATCCCGTTTCCAACGAATTCCTCACAGAGGTCCAAATATGCACTTGCAGATTCTGCAGAAAGTGTGTTTCTAAACTGCTACATCGCAAGGAATGCTCAGCTCTGTGAGTTCAACTCAATCATCCCAAAGAATTTTCTGAGAAAGCTTCTGTCTAGATTTCATGTGAAGATATACCCGTTTCGAACGAAGGACACAGAGTGGTCCAAATATCCACTTGTAGATCCTGCAAAAAGAGTGTTTCAAACGTGAACTTTGAAAGGAAAGTTCAACTCGGGGATTTGAATGCAAACATCACAAAGAAGATTCTGAGACTGCTTCTGTATAGTTTTTATGTGAAGATGATTCCGTTTCCAACGAAATCTTCAAAGAGGTCTACATGTCCCCTTGCAGATGCCACAGAAAGAGAGTTTCAAAACTGCGCTCTCAAAAGGAGTGTTCAACTCCGTGAGTTGAATGCAGTCATCACAGAGAAGCTTCTGAGGATGCTTCTATCTAGTATTTAGGTGAAGATATTTCCTTTTCCACCACAAACCACAAAGCCCTCCAAACGTCCACTTGCAGATTCTAGAAAAAGAGTGTTTCATAGCTGCTCTTTCCAAAGGAAAGTTCAACTCTGGGAGTTGAATACAAACATCACCAAAAAGTTCCTGAGAATGCATCTGTCTAGTTTTTCTATGAAGCTATTCCCTTTACTACCATAGGCCTCAAAGCGCTCCAAATCTCCACTTGCACATTCCACAACAAGAGTGTTTCCAAACTGCTCTATCAATAGGAATGTTCAACTCTGTGAGGTGAATGCAATCATCACAAAGCAGTTTCTGAGAATGCTTCCGTTTAGTTAGGTGCAGTTATCCCGTTTCCAACGAAATCCTCAGAGAGGTCCAAATATCCACTTGTAGATTCTACAAAAAGTGTGTCTCAAACCTGCTCCATCCAAAGGAATGTTCAGCTCTGTGAGTTAAACTCAATCATCACAAAGTATTTTCTGAGAATGCTTTCTGTCTAGATTTTATGCGAAGATATACCCGTTTCGAACGAAGGCCACAGAGTGGTCCAAATATCCACTTGCAGATCCTACAAAAAGAGTGTTTCAAACCTGAACTATCAAAGGAAGGTTCAACTCTGGGATTTGAATGCAAACATCACCAAGAAGTTTCTGAGAATGCTTCTGTTTAGTTTTTATGTGAAGATATTCCCGTTTCCAAAGACATCTTCGGAGAGGTCCACATATCCACTTGCAGATTCCACAAAAAGAGAGTTTCAACACTGCTCTATCCATAGGAGGGTTCAACTCTGTGAGTTGAATGCAATCATCACAGAGAAGTTTCTGAGAAGGCTTCTCTCCAGTTTTTATGTGACCATAATTCGTTTTCCACCACAGGCCTGAAAGCGCTCCAAATGTCCACTTGTAGACACTACGAAAAGCATGTTTCAGAACTACTCTATGAAAAGCAATGTGAAACTCTGGGAGTTGAACACAAACATCACAGAGAAGTTTCTGAGAATGCTTCTGTTTAGCTTTCCTGTGAAGATTCTCCCGTTTCCAACGAAATCTTCAAAATAGGTCCAAATATCCACTTGCAGATTCCACACAAAGAGTGATTGGAAACTGCTCTTTGAAAAGGAACCTTCAACTCTGTGAGTTGAATGCAATCATCACAAAGAAGTTTCTGACAATGCTTCTATCTAGCTTTTACGGGAAGATAATTCCTTTTCCACCACAGGCCTCAAAGCCCTCCAAATGTCCACTTGCAGATTCTGGAAAAAGAGTGTTTCAAAGCTTCTCTCTCGAAAGGAAAGTTCAACTCTGTGAGTTGAATGCAAGCATCACAAAGAAGTTTCTGAGAATGCTACTGTCTAGCTTTTATATGAAGCTATTTCCTTTACTACCATAGGCCTCAAAGCGGTCCATATCTCCACTTGCAGATTCTACACAAAGAGAGTTTCCAAAATGCTCTGTCAAAGGGAATGTTCAACTCTGTGACTTGAATGCAATCATCACAAAGTAGTTTCTGAGAATGCTTCTGTTTAGTTCTGTGCGGTTTATCCCGTTTCCAACGAAATCCTCAGAGAGGCCCAAATATCCACTTGCACATTCTACAAATAGTGTGTTTCGAAACTGCTCCATCCAAAGGAATGTTCAGCTCTGTGAGTTAAACTCAGTCGTCACCAAGAGTTTTCTGTGAATGCTTCTGTTTTAGTTCTGTGCGGTTTATCCCGTTTCCAACGAAATCCTCAGAGAGGTCCAAAGATCTACTTGCAGTTTCTACAGAAAGACCGTTTCAAACCTGAACTATCAAAGAAAGGTTCAACACTGTGAGTTGAATGCAAACATCACGAAGAAGGTTCTGAGAATGCTTCTGTTTAGTTCTGTGCGGTTTATCCCGTTTCCAACGAAATCCTCAGAGAGGACCAAATATCCACTTGCAGTTTCTACAAGAAGAGTGTTTCAAAGCTGAACTATCAAAGAAAGGTTCAGCACTGTGAGTTGAATGCAAACATCACGAAGAGGGTTCTGAGAATGCTTCTGTCTTCTTTCTATAGGAAGTTATTTCCTTTACTACGGTAGGCCTCAAAGAAGTGCAATTATCCCCTTGCAGTTTCTACAAAAAGAGTGTTTCAAACCTGAACTATCAAAGAAAGGTTCCACACTGTGAGTTGAATGCAGACATCACGAAGAAGGTTCTGAGAATGCTTCTGTTTAGTCAGCTGAAATTATCCCGTTTCCAACGAATTCCTCAGAGAGGTCCAAATATGCACTTGCAGATTCTGCAGAAAGTGTGTTTCTAAACTGCTCCATCGCAAGGAATGTTCAGCTCTGTGAGTTCCACTCAATCATCCCAAAGAATTTTCTGAGAAAGCTTCTGTCTAGATGTCCTGTGAAGATATACCCGTTTCGAACGAAGGACACAGAGTGGTCCAAATATCCACTTGTAGATCCTGCAAAAAGAGTGTTTCAAACGTGAACTTTGAAAGGAAAGTTCAACTCTGGGATTTGAATGCAAACATCACAAAGAAGATTCTGAGACTGCTTCTGTATAGTTTTTATGTGAAGATGATTCCGTTTCCAACGAAATCTTCAAAGAGGTCTACATGTCCCCTTGCAGATGCCACAGAAAGAGAGTTTCAAAACTGCGCTCTCAAAAGGAGTGTTCAACTCCGTGAGTTGAATGCAGTCATCACAGAGAAGCTTCTGAGAATGCTTCTGTCTAGTATTTAGGTGAAGATATTTCCTTTTCCACCACAAACCACAAAGCCCTCCAAACGTCCACTTGCAGATTCTAGAAAAAGAGTGTTTCATAGCTGCTCTTTCCAAAGGAAAGTTCAACTCTGGGAGTTGAATACAAACATCACCAAAAAGTTCCTGAGAATGCATCCTGTCTAGTTTTTCTATGAAGCTATTCCCTTTACTACCATAGGCCTCAAAGCGCTCCAAATCTCCACTTGCACATTCCACAACAAGAGTGTTTCCAAACTGCTCTATCAATAGGAATGTTCAACTCTGTGAGGTGAATGCAATCATCACAAAGCAGTTTCTGAGAATGCTTCCGTTTAGTTAAGTGCAGTTATCCCGTTTCCAACGAAATCCTCAGAGAGGTCCAAATATCCACTTGTAGATTCTACAAAAAGTGTGTCTCAAACCTGCTCCATCCAAAGGAATGGTCAGCTCTGTGATTTAAACTCAATCATCACAAAGTATTTTCTGAGAATGCTTCTGTCTAGATTTTATGCGAAGATATACCCGTTTCGAACGAAGGCCACAGAGTGGTCCAAATAGCCACTTGCAGATCCTACAAAAAGAGTGTTTCAAACCTGAACTATCAAAGGAAGGTTCAACTCTGGGATTTGAATGCAAACATCACCAAGAAGTTTCTGAGAATGCTTCTGTTTAGTTTTTATGTGAAGATATTCCCGTTTCCAAAGACATCTTCGGAGAGGTCCACATATCCACTTGCAGATTCCACAAAAAGAGAGTTTCAACACTGCTCTATCCATAGGAGGGTTCAACTCTGTGAGTTGAATGCAATCATCACAGAGAAGTTTCTGAGAAGGCTTCTCTCCAGTTTTTATGTGACCATAATTCGTTTTCCACCACAGGCCTGAAAGCGCTCCAAATGTCCACTTGCAGACACTACGAAAAGCATGTTTCAGAACTACTCTATGAAAAGCAACGTGAAACTCTGGGAGTTGAACACAAACATCACAGAGAAGTTTCTGAGAATGCTTCTGTTTTAGTTCTGTGCGTTTTATCCCGTTTCCAACGAAATCCTCAGAGAGGCCCAAATATCCACTTGCAGATTCCACAGAAAGAGTGATTGGAAACTGCTGTTTGAAAAGGAACCTTCAACTCTGTGAGTTGAATGCAATCATCACAAAGAAGTTTCTGACAATGCTTCTGTTTTAGTTCTGTGCGGTTTATCCCGTTTCCAACGAAATCCTCAGAGAGGACCAAACATCCACTTGCAGTTTCTACAAAAAGAGTGTTTCAAAGCTGCACTATCAAAGAAAGGTTCAGCACTGTGAGTTGAATGCAAACATCACGAAGAGGGCTCTGAGAATTCTTCTGTTTAGTTCTGTGCGGTTTATCCCGTTTCCAACGAAATCCTCAGAGAGGACCAAATATCCACTTGCAGTTTCTACAAGAAGAGTGTTTCAAAGCTGAACTATCAAAGAAAGGTTCAGCACTGTGAGTTGAATGCAAACATCACGAAGAGGGTTCTGAGAATGCTTCTGTCTTCTTTCTATAGGAAGTTATTTCCTTTACTACGGTAGGCCTCAAAGAAGTGCAATTATCCCCTTGCAGTTTCTACAAAAAGAGTGTTTCAAACCTGAACTATCAAAGAAAGGTTCCACACTGTGAGTTGAATGCAGACATCACGAAGAAGGTTCTGAGAATGCTTCTGTTTAGTCAGCTGAAATTATCCCGTTTCCAACGAATTCCTCGGAGAGGTCCAAATATGCACTTGCAGATTCTGCAGAAAGTGTGTTTCTAAACTGCTACATCGCAAGGAATGTTCAGCTCTGTGAGTTCCACTCAATCATCCCAAAGGATTTTCTGAGAAAGCTTCTGTCTAGATGCCATGTGAAGATATACCCGTTTCGAACGAAGGACACAGAGTGGTCCAAATATCCACTTGTAGATCCTGCAAAAAGAGTGTTTCAAACGTGAACTTTGAAAGGAAAGTTCAACTCTGGGATTTGAATGCAAACATCACAAAGAAGATTCTGAGACTGCTTCTGTATAGTTTTTATGTGAAGATGATTCCGTTTCCAACGAAATCTTCAAAGAGGTCTACATGTCCCCTTGCAGATGCCACAGAAAGAGAGTTTCAAAACTGCGCTCTCAAAAGGAGTGTTCAACTCCGTGAGTTGAATGCAGTCATCACAGAGAAGCTTCTGAGAATGCTTCTATCTAGTATTTAGGTGAAGATATTTCCTTTTCCACCACAAACCACAAAGCCCTCCAAACGTCCACTTGCAGATTCTAGAAAAAGAGTGTTTCATAGCTGCTCTTTCCAAAGGAAAGTTCAACTCTGGGAGTTGAATACAAACATCACCAAAAAGTTCCTGAGAATGCATCTGTCTAGTTTTTCTATGAAGCTATTCCCTTTACTACCATAGGCCTCAAAGCGCTCCAAATCTCCACTTGCACATTCCACAACAAGAGTGTTTCCAAACTGCTCTATCAATAGGAATGTTCAACTCTGTGAGGTGAATGCAATCATCACAAAGCAGTTTCTGAGAATGCTTCCGTTTAGTTAGGTGCAGTTATCCCGTTTCCAACGAAATCCTCAGAGAGGTCCAAATATCCACTTGTAGATTCTACAAAAAGTGTGTCTCAAACCTGCTCCATCCAAAGGAATGGTCAGCTCTGTGATTTAAACTCAATCATCACAAAGTATTTTCTGAGAATGCTTCTGTCTAGATTTTATGCGAAGATATACCCGTTTCGAACGAAGGCCACAGAGTGGTCCAAATAGCCACTTGCAGATCCTACAAAAAGAGTGTTTCAAACCTGAACTATCAAAGGAAGGTTCAACTCTGGGATTTGAATGCAAACATCACCAAGAAGTTTCTGAGAATGCTTCTGTTTAGTTTTTATGTGAAGATATTCCCGTTTCCAAAGACATCTTCGGAGAGGTCCACATATCCACTTGCAGATTCCACAAAAAGAGAGTTTCAACACTGCTCTATCCATAGGAGGGTTCAACTCTGTGAGTTGAATGCAATCATCACAGAGAAGTTTCTGAGAAGGCTTCTCTCCAGTTTTTATGTGACCATAATTCGTTTTCCACCACAGGCCTGAAAGCGCTCCAAATGTCCACTTGCAGACACTACGAAAAGCATGTTTCAGAACTACTCTATGAAAAGCAACGTGAAACTCTGGGAGTTGAACACAAACATCACAGAGAAGTTTCTGAGAATGCTTCTGTTTTAGTTCTGTGCGTTTTATCCCGTTTCCAACGAAATCCTCAGAGAGGCCCAAATATCCACTTGCAGATTCCACAGAAAGAGTGATTGGAAACTGCTGTTTGAAAAGGAACCTTCAACTCTGTGAGTTGAATGCAATCATCACAAAGAAGTTTCTGACAATGCTTCTGTTTTAGTTCTGTGCGGTTTATCCCGTTTCCAACGAAATCCTCAGAGAGGACCAAACATCCACTTGCAGTTTCTACAAAAAGAGTGTTTCAAAGCTGCACTATCAAAGAAAGGTTCAGCACTGTGAGTTGAATGCAAACATCACGAAGAGGGCTCTGAGAATGCTTCTGTTTAGTTCTGGGCGGTTTATCCCGTTTCCAACGAAATCCTCAGAGAGGACCAAATATCCACTTGCAGTTTCTACAAGAAGAGTGTTTCAAAGCTGAACTATCAAAGAAAGGTTCAGCACTGTGAGTTGAATGCAAACATCACGAAGAGGGTTCTGAGAATGCTTCTGTCTTCTTTCTATAGGAAGTTATTTCCTTTACTACGGTAGGCCTCAAAGAAGTGCAATTATCCCCTTGCAGTTTCTACAAAAAGAGTGTTTCAAACCTGAACTATCAAAGAAAGGTTCCACACTGTGAGTTGAATGCAGACATCACGAAGAAGGTTCTGAGAATGCTTCTGTTTAGTCAGCTGAAATTATCCCGTTTCCAACGAATTCCTCAGAGAGGTCCAAATATGCACTTGCAGATTCTGCAGAAAGTGTGTTTCTAAACTGCTACATCGCAAGGAATGTTCAGCTCTGTGAGTTCCACTCAATCATCCCAAAGAATTTTCTGAGAAAGCTTCTGTCTAGATGTCGTGTGAAGATATACCCGTTTCGAACGAAGGACACAGAGTGGTCCAAATATCCACTTGTAGATCCTGCAAAAAGAGTGTTTCAAACGTGAACTTTGAAAGGAAAGTTCAACTCTGGGATTTGAATGCAAACATCACAAAGAAGATTCTGAGACTGCTTCTGTATAGTTTTTATGTGAAGATGATTCCGTTTCCAACGAAATCTTCAAAGAGGTCTACATGTCCCCTTGCAGATGCCACAGAAAGAGAGTTTCAAAACTGCGCTCTCAAAAGGAGTGTTCAACTCCGTGAGTTGAATGCAGTCATCACAGAGAAGCTTCTGAGAATGCTTCTATCTAGTATTTAGGTGAAGATATTTCCTTTTCCACCACAAACCACAAAGCCCTCCAAACGTCCACTTGCAGATTCTAGAAAAAGAGTGTTTCATAGCTGCTCTTTCCAAAGGAAAGTTCAACTCTGGGAGTTGAATACAAACATCACCAAAAAGTTCCTGAGAATGCATCTGTCTAGTTTTTCTATGAAGCTATTCCCTTTACTACCATAGGCCTCAAAGCGCTCCAAATCTCCACTTGCACATTCCACAACAAGAGTGTTTCCAAACTGCTCTATCAATAGGAATGTTCAACTCTGTGAGGTGAATGCAATCATCACAAAGCAGTTTCTGAGAATGCTTCCGTTTAGTTAGGTGCAGTTATCCCGTTTCCAACGAAATCCTCAGAGAGGTCCAAATATCCACTTGTAGATTCTACAAAAAGTGTGTCTCAAACCTGCTCCATCCAAAGGAATGTTCAGCTCTGTGAGTTAAACTCAATCATCACAAAGTATTTTCTGAGAATGCTTCTGTCTAGATTTTATGCGAAGATATACCCGTTTCGAACGAAGGCCACAGAGTGGTCCAAATATCCACTTGCAGATCCTACAAAAAGAGTGTTTCAAACCTGAACTATCAAAGGAAGGTTCAACTCTGGGATTTGAATGCAAACATCACCAAGAAGTTTCTGAGAATGCTTCTGTTTAGTTTTTATGTGAAGATATTCCCGTTTCCAAAGACATCTTCGGAGAGGTCCACATATCCACTTGCAGATTCCACAAAAAGAGAGTTTCAACAATGCTCTATCCATAGGGAGGGTTCAAATCTGTGAGTTGAATGCAATCATCACAGAGAAGTTTCTGAGAAGGCTTCTCTCCAGTTTTTATGTGACCATAATTCGTTTTCCACCACAGGCCTGAAAGCGCTCCAAATGTCCACTTGCAGACACTACGAAAAGCATGTTTCAGAACTACTCTATGAGAAGCAATGTGACACTCTGGGAGTTGAACACAAACATCACAGAGAAGTTTCTGAGAATGCTTCTGTTTAGCTTTTCTGTGAAGATTCTCCCGTTTCCAAGGAAATCTTCAAAGAGCTCCAAATATCCACTTGCAGATTCCACAGAAAGAGTGATTGGAAACTGCTGTTTGAAAAGGAACCTTCAACTCTGTGAGTTGAATGCAATCATCACAAAGAAGTTTCTGACAATGCTTCTATCTAGCTTTTGCGGGAAGATAATTCCTTTTCCACCACAGGCCTCAAAGCCCTCCAAATGTCCACTTGCAGATTCTGGAAAAAGAGTGTTTCAAAGCTTCTCTCTCGAAAGGAAATTTCAACTCTGTGAGTTGAATGCAAGCATCACAAAGAAGTTTCTGAGAATTCTACTGTCTAGCTTTTATATGAAGCTATTTCCTTTACTATCATAGTCCTCAAAGCGGTCCATATCTCCACTTGCAGATTCTACACAAAGAGAGTTTCCAAACTGCTCTGTCAAAGGGAATGTTCAACTCTGTGACTTGAATGCAATCATCACAAAGTAGTTTCTGAGAATGCTTCTGTTTATTTCTGTGCGGTTTATCCCGTTTCCAACGAAATCCTCAGAGAGGCCCCAATATCCACTTGCACATTCTACAAATAGTGTGTTTCCAAACTGCTCCATCCAAAGGGATGTTCAGCTCTGTGAGTTAAACTCAGTCGTCACCAAGAGTTTTCTGTGAATGCCTCTGTTTTAGTTCTGTGCGGTTTATCACGTATCCAACGAAATCCTCATAGAGGTCCAAATATCTACTTGCAGTTTCTACAGAAAGACCGTTTCAAACCTGAACTATCAAAGAAAGGTTCAACACTGTGAGTTGAATGCAAACATCACGAAGAAGGTTCTGAGAATGCTTCTGTTTAGTTCTGTGCGGTTTATCCCGTTTCCAACGAAATCCTCAGAGAGGATCAAATATCCACTTGCAGTTTCTACAAAAAGAGTGTTTCAAAGCTGAACTATCAAAGAAAGGTTCAGCACTGTGAGTTGAATGCAAACATCACGAAGAGGGTTCTGAGAATGCTTCTGTCTTCTTTCTATAGGAAGTTATTTCCTTTACTACGGTAGGCCTCAAAGAAGTGCAATTATCCCCTTGCAGTTTCTACAAAAAGAGTGTTTCAAACCTGAACTATCAAAGAAAGGTTCCACACTGTGAGTTGAATGCAGACATCACGAAGAAGGTTCTGAGAATGTCTGTTTAGTCAGCTGAAATTATCCCGTTTCCAACGAATTCCTCAGAGAGGTCCAAATATGCACTTGCAGATTCTGCAGAAAGTGTGTTTCTAAACTGCTACATCGCAAGGAATGTTCAGCTCTGTGAGTTCCACTCAATCATCCCAAAGAATTTTCTGAGAAAGCTTCTGTCTAGATGTCGTGTGAAGATATACCCGTTTCGAACGAAGGACACAGAGTGGTCCAAATATCCACTTGTAGATCCTGCAAAAAGAGTGTTTCAAACGTGAACTTTGAAAGGAAAGTTCAACTCTGGGATTTGAATGCAAACATCACAAAGAAGATTCTGAGACTGCTTCTGTATAGTTTTTATGTGAAGATGATTCCGTTTCCAACGAAATCTTCAAAGAGGTCTACATGTCCCCTTGCAGATGCCACAGAAAGAGAGTTTCAAAACTGCGCTCTCAAAAGGAGTGTTCAACTCCGTGAGTTGAATGCAGTCATCACAGAGAAGCTTCTGAGAATGCTTCTATCTAGTATTTAGGTGAAGATATTTCCTTTTCCACCACAAACCACAAAGCCCTCCAAACGTCCACTTGCAGATTCTAGAAAAAGAGTGTTTCATAGCTGCTCTTTCCAAAGGAAAGTTCAACTCTGGGAGTTGAATACAAACATCACCAAAAAGTTCCTGAGAATGCATCTGTCTAGTTTTTCTATGAAGCTATTCCCTTTACTACCATAGGCCTCAAAGCGCTCCAAATCTCCACTTGCACATTCCACAACAAGAGTGTTTCCAAACTGCTCTATCAATAGGAATGTTCAACTCTGTGAGGTGAATGCAATCATCACAAAGCAGTTTCTGAGAATGCTTCCGTTTAGTTAGGTGCAGTTATCGCGTTTCCAACGAAATCCTCAGAGAGGTCCAAATATCCACTTGTAGATTCTACAAATGTGTGTCTCAAACCTGCTCCATCCAAAGGAATGTTCAGCTCTGTGAGTTAAACTCAATCATCACAAAGTATTTTCTGAGAATGCTTCTGTCTGGATTTTATGCGAAGATATACCCGTTTCGAACGAAGGCCACAGATTGGTCCAAATATCCACTTGCAGATCCTACAAAAAGAGTGTTTCAAACCTGAACTATCAAAGGAAGGTTCAACTCTGGGATTTGAATGCAAACATCACCAAGAAGTTTCTGAGAATGCTTCTGTTTAGTTTTTATGTGAAGATATTCCCGTTTCCAAAGACATCTTCGGAGAGGTCCACATATCCACTTGCAGATTCCACAAAAAGAGAGTTTCAACACTGCTCTATCCATAGGAGGGTTCAACTCTGTGAGTTGAATGCAATCATCACAGAGAAGTTTCTGAGAAGGCTTCTCTCCAGTTTTTATGTGACCATAATTCGTTTTCCACCACAGGCCTGAAAGCGCTCCAAATGTCCACTTGTAGACACTACGAAAAGCATGTTTCAGAACTACTCTATGAAAAGCAATGTGAAACTCTGGGAGTTGAACACAAACATCACAGAGAAGTTTCTGAGAATGCTTCTGTTTAGCTTTCCTGTGAAGATTCTCCCGTTTCCAACGAAATCTTCAAAATAGGTCCAAATATCCACTTGCAGATTCCACAGAAAGAGTGATTGGAAACTGCTCTTTGAAAAGGAACCTTCAACTCTGTGAGTTGAATGCAATCATCACAAAGAAGTTTCTGACAATGCTTCTATCTAGCTTTTACGGGAAGATAATTCCTTTTCCACCACAGGCCTCAAAGCCCTCCAAATGTCCACTTGCAGATTCTGGAAAAAGAGTGTTTCAAAGCTTCTCTCTCGAAAGGAAAGTTCAACTCTGTGAGTTGAATGCGAGCATCACAAAGAAGTTTCTGAGAATGCTACTGTCTAGCTTTTATATGAAGCTATTTCCTTTACTACCATAGGCCTCAAAGTGGTCCATATCTCCACTTGCAGATTCTACACAAAGAGAGTTTCCAAACTGCTCTGTCAAAGGGAATGTTCAACTCTGTGACTTGAATGCAATCATCACAAAGTAGTTTCTGAGAATGCTTCTGTTTAGTTCTGTGCGGTTTATCCCGTTTCCAACGAAATCCTCAGAGAGGCCTAAATATCCACTTGCACATTCTACAAATAGTGTGTTTCGAAACTGCTCCATCCAAAGGAATGTTCAGCTCTGTGTGTTAAACTCAGTCGTCACCAAGAGTTTTCTGTGAATGCTTCTGTTTTAGTTCTGTGCGGGTTATCCCGTTTCCAACGAAATCCTCAGAGAGGTCCAAATATCTACTTGCAGTTTCTACAGAAAGACCGTTTCAAACCTGAACTATCAAAGAAAGGTTCAACACTGTGAGTTGAATGCAAACATCACGAAGAAGGTTCTGAGAATGCTTCTGTTTAGTTCTGTGCGGTTTATCCCGTTACCAACGAAATCCTCAGAGAGGACCAAATATCCACTTGCAGTTTCTACAAAAAGAGTGTTTCAAAGCTGAACTATCAAAGAAAGGTTCAGCACCGTGAGTTGAATGCAAACATCACGAAGAGGGTTCTGAGAATGCTTCTGTCTTCTTTTTATAGGAAGTTATCTCCTTTACTACGGTAGGCCTCAAAGAAGTGCAATGATCCCCTTGCAGTTTCTACAAAAAGAGTGTTTCAAACCTGAACTATCAAAGAAAGGTTCCACACTGTGAGTTGAATGCAGACATCACGAAGAAGGTTCTGAGAATGCTTCTGTTTAGTCAGCTGAAATTATCCCGTTTCCAACGAATTCCTCAGAGAGGTCCACATATGCACTTGCAGATTCTGCAGAAAGTGTGTTTCTAAACTGCTACATCGCAAGGAGTGTTCAGCTCTGTTTGCTCAACTCAATCATCCCAAAGAATTTTCTGAGAAAGCTTCTGTCTAGATGTCATGTGAAGATATACCCGTTTCGAACGAAGGACACAGAGTGGTCCAAATATCCACTTGTAGATCCTGCAAAAAGAGTGTTTCAAACGTGAACTTGGAAAGGAAAGTTCAACTCTGGGATTTGAATGCAAACATCACAAAGAAGATTCTGAGACTGCTTCTGTATAGTTTTGATGTGAAGATGATTCCGTTTCCAACGAAATCTTCAAAGAGGTCTACATGTCCCCTTGCAGATGCCACAGAAAGAGAGTTTCAAAACTGCGCTCTCAAAAGGAGTGTTCAACTCCGTGAGTTGAATGCAGTCATCACAGAGAAGCTTCTGAGAATGCTTCTATCTAGTATTTAGGTGAAGATATTTCCTTTTCCACCACAAACCACAAAGCCCTCCAAACGTCCACTTGCAGATTCTAGAAAAAAGAGTGTTTCATAGCTGCTCTTTCCAAAGGAAAGTTCAACTCTGGGAGTTGAATACAAACATCACCAAAAAGTTCCTGAGAATGCATCTGTCTAGTTTTTCTATGAAGCTATTCCCTTTACTACCATAGGCCTCAAAGCGCTCCAAATCTCCACTTGCACATTCCACAACAAGAGTGTTTCCAAACTGCTCTATCAATAGGAATGTTCAACTCTGTGAGGTGAATGCAATCATCACAAACCAGTTTCTGAGAATGCTTCCGTTTAGTTAGGTGCAGTTATCCCGTTTCCAACGAAATCCTCAGAGAGGTCCAAATATCCACTTGTAGATTCTACAAAAAGTGTGTCTCAAGCCTGCTCCATCCAAAGGAATGTTCAGCTCTGTGAGTTCAACTCAATCATCACAAAGCATTTTCTGAGAATGCTTCTGTCTAGATTTTATGCGAAGATATACCCGTTTCGAACGAAGGCCACAGAGTGGTCCAAATAGCCACTTGCAGATCCTACAAAAAGAGTGTTTCAAACCTGAACTATCAAAGGAAGGTTCAACTCTGGGATTTGAATGCAAACATCACCAAGAAGTTTCTGAGAATGCTTCTGTTTAGTTTTTAGGTGAAGATATTCCCGTTTCCAAAGACATCTTCGGAGAGGTCCACATATCCACTTGCAGATTCCACAAAAAGAGAGTTTCAACACTGCTCTATCCATAGGAGGGTTCAACTCTGTGAGTTGAATGCAATCATCACAGAGAAGTTTCTGAGAAGGCTTCTCTCCAGTTTTTATGTGACCATAATTCGTTTTCCACCACAGGCCTGAAAGCGCTCCAAATGTCCACTTGCAGACACTACGAAAAGCATGTTTCAGAACTACTCTATGAAAAGCAATGTGAAACTCTGGGAGTTGAACACAAACATCACAGAGAAGTTTCTGAGAATGCTTCTGTTTAGCTTTTTTGTGAAGATTCTCCCGTTTCCAACGAAATCTTCAAAGAGGTCCAAATATCCACTTGCAGATTCCACAGAAAGTGTGATTGGAAACTGCTCTTTGAAAAGGAACCTTCAACTCTGTGACTTGTATGCAATCATCACAAAGAAGTTTCTGACAATGCTTCTATCTAGCTTTTACGGGAAGATAATTCCTTTTCCACCACAGGCCTCAAAGCCCTCCAAATGTCCACTTGCAGATTCTGGAAAAAGAGTGTTTCAAAGCTTCTCTCTCGAAAGGAAAGTTCAACATCTGTGAGTTGAATGCAAGCATCACAAAGAAGTTTCTGAGAATGCTACTGTCTAGCTTTTATATGAAGCTATTTCCTTTACTACCATAGGCCTCAAAGAGGTCCATATCTCCACTTGCAGATTCTACACAAAGAGAGTTTCCAAACTGCTCTGTCAAAGGGAATGTTCAACTCTGTGACTTGAATGCAATCATCACAAAGTAGTTTCTGAGAATGCTTCTGTTTAGTTCTGTGCGGTTTATCCCGTTTCCAACGAAATCCTCAGAGAGGCCTAAATATCCACTTGCACATTCTACAAATAGTGTGTTTCGAAACTGCTCCATCCAAAGGAATGTTCAGCTCTGTGAGTTAAACTCAGTCGTCACCAAGAGTTTTCTGTGAATGCTTCTGTTTTAGTTCTGTGCGGGTTATCCCGTTTCCAACGAAATCCTCAGAGAGGTCCAAATATCTACTTGCAGTTTCTACAGAAAGACCGTTTCAAACCTGAACTATCAAAGAAAGGTTCAACACTGTGAGTTGAATGCAAACATCACGAAGAAGGTTCTGAGAATGCTTCTGTTTAGTTCTGTGCGGTTTATCCCGTTTCCAACGAAATCCTCAGAGAGGACCAAATATCCACTTGCAGTTTCCACAAAAAGAGTGTTTCAAAGCTGAACTATCAAAGAAAGTTTCAGCACTGTGTGTGGAATGCAAACATCACGAAGAGGGTTCTGAGAATTCTTCTGTCTTCTTTCTATAGGAAGATACTTCCTTTACTACGGTAGGCCTCAAAGAAGTGCAATTATCCCCTTGCAGTTTCTACAAAAAGAGTGTTTCAAACCTGAACTATCAAAGAAAGGTTCCACACTGTGAGTTGAATGCAGACATCAGGAAGAAGGTTCTGAGAATGCTTCTGTTTAGTCAGCTGAAATTATCCCGTTTCCAACGAATTCCTCAGAGAGGTCCAAATATGCACTTGCAGATTCTGCAGAAAGTGTGTTTCTAAACTGCTACATCGCAAGGAATGTTCAGCTCTGTGAATTCCACTCAATCATCCCAAAGAATTTTCTGAGAAAGCTTCTGTCTAGATGTCATGTGAAGATATACCCGTTTCGAACGAAGGACACAGAGTGGTCCAAATATCCACTTGTAGATCCTGCAAAAAGAGTGTTTCAAACGTGAACTTTGAAAGGAAAGTTCAACTCTGGGATTTGAATGCAAACACCACAAAGAAGATTCTGAGACTGCTTCTGTATAGTTTTTATGTGAAGATGATTCCGTTTCCAACGAAATCTTCAAAGAGGTCTACATGTCCCCTTGCAGATGCCACAGAAAGAGAGTTCCAAAACTGCGCTCTCAAAAGGAGTGTTCAACTCCGTGAGTTGAATGCAGTCATCACAGAGAAGCTTCTGAGAATGCTTCTATCTAGTATTTAGGTGAAGATATTTCCTTTTCCACCACAAACCACAAAGCCCTCCAAACGTCCACTTGCAGATTCTAGAAAAAGAGTGTTTCATAGCTGCTCTTTCCAAAGGAAAGTTCAACTCTGGGAGTTGAATACAAACATCACCAAAAAGTTCCTGAGAATGCATCTGTCTAGTTTTTCTATGAAGCTATTCCCTTTACTACCATAGGCCTCAAAGCGCTCCAAATCTCCACTTGCACATTCCACAAGAAGAGTGTTTCCAAACTGCTCTATCAATAGGAATGTTCAACTCTGTGAGGTGAATGCAATCATCACAAAGCAGTTTCTGAGAATGCTTCCGTTTAGTTAGGTGCAGTTATCCCGTTTCCAACGAAATCCTCAGAGAGGTCCAAATATCCACTTGTAGATTCTACAAAAAGTGTGTCTCAAACCTGCTCCATCCAAAGGAATGTTCAGCTCTGTGAGTTCAACTCAATCATCACAAAGTATTTTCTGAGAATGCTTCTGTCTAGATTTTATGCGAAGATATACCCGTTTTGAACGAAGGCCACAGAGTGGTCCAAATATCCACTTGCAGATCCTACAAAAAGAGTGTTTCAAACCTGAACTATCAAAGGAAGGTTCAACTCTGGGATTTGAATGCAAACATCACCAAGAAGTTTCTGAGAATGCTTCCGTTTAGTTTTTATGTGAAGATATTCCCGTTTCCAAAGACATCTTCAAAGAGGTCCACATATCCACTTGCAGATTCCACAAAAAGAGAGTTTCAACACTGCTCTATCCATAGGAGGGTTCAACTCTGTGAGTTGAATGCAATCATCACAGAGAAGTTTCTGAGAAGGCTTCTCTCCAGTTTTTATGTGACCATAATTCGTTTTCCACCACAGGCCTGGAAGCGCTCCAAATGTCCACTTGTAGACACTACGAAAAGCATGTTTCAGAACTACTCTATGAAAAGCAATGTGAAACTCTGGGAGTTGAACACAAACATCACAGAGAAGTTTCTGAGAATGCTTCTGTTGAACTTTTCTGTGAAGATTCTCCCGTTTCCAACGAAATCTTCAAAGAGGTCGAAATATCCACTTGCAGATTCCACAGAAAGAGTGATTGGAAACTGCTGTTTGAAAAGGAACCTTCAACTCTGTGAGTTGAATGCAATCATCACAAAGAAGTTTCTGACAATGCTTCTATCTAGCTTTTACGGGAAGATAATTCCTTTTCCTCCACAGGCCTCAAAGCTCCCCAAATGTCCACTTGCACATTCTGGAAAAAGAGTGTTTCAAAGCTTCTCTCTCGAAAGGAAAGTTCAACTCTGTGAGTTGAATGCAAGCATCACAAAGAAGTTTCTGAGAATGCTACTGTCTAGCTTTTATATGAAGCTATTTCCTTTACTACCATAGGCCTCAAAGCGGTCCATATCTCCACTTGCAGATTCTACACAAAGAGAGTTTCCAAACTGCTCTGTCAAAGGGAATGTTCAACTCTGTGACTTGAATGCAATAATCACAAAGTAGTTTCTGAGAATGCTTCTGTTTTAGTTCTGTGCGTTTTATCCCGTTTCCAACGAAATCCTCAGAGAGGCCCAAATATCCACTTGCAGATTCTACAAATAGTGTGTTTCGAAACTGCTCCATCCAAAGGAATGTTCAGCTCTGTGAGTTAAACTCAGTCGTCAACAAGAGTTTTCTGTGAATGCTTCTGTTTTAGTTCTGTGCGGTTTATCCCGTTTCCAACGAAATCCTCAGAGAGGACCAAATATCCACTTGCAGTTTCTACAAAAAGAGTGTTTCAAAGCTGCACTATCAAAGAAAGGTTCAGCACTGTGAGTTGAATGCAAACATCACGAAGAGGGCTCTGAGAATGCTTCTGTTTAGTTCTGTGCGGTTTATCCCGTTTCCAACGAAATCCTCAGAGAGGACCAAATATCCACTTGCAGTTTCTACAAGAAGAGTGTTTCAAAGCTGAACTATCAAAGAAAGGTTCAGCACTGTGAGTTGAATGCAAACATCACGAAGAGGGTTCTGAGAATGCTTCTGTCTTCTTTCTATAGGAAGTTATTTCCTTTACTACGGTAGGCCTCAAAGAAGTGCAATTATCCCCTTGCAGTTTCTACAAAAAGAGTGTTTCAAACCTGAACTATCAAAGAAAGGTTCCACACTGTGAGTTGAATGCAGACATCACGAAGAAGGTTCTGAGAATGCTTCTGTTTAGTCAGCTGAAATTATCCCGTTTCCAACGAATTCCTCAGAGAGGTCCAAATATGCACTTGCAGATTCTGCAGAAAGTGTGTTTCTAAACTGCTACATCGCAAGGAATGTTCAGCTCTGTGAGTTCCACTCAATCATCCCAAAGAATTTTCTGAGAAAGCTTCTGTCTAGATGTCGTGTGAAGATATACCCGTTTCGAACGAAGGACACAGAGTGGTCCAAATATCCACTTGTAGATCCTGCAAAAAGAGTGTTTCAAACGTGAACTTTGAAAGGAAAGTTCAACTCTGGGATTTGAATGCAAACATCACAAAGAAGATTCTGAGACTGCTTCTGTATAGTTTTTATGTGAAGATGATTCCGTTTCCAACGAAATCTTCAAAGAGGTCTACATGTCCCCTTGCAGATGCCACAGAAAGAGAGTTTCAAAACTGCGCTCTCAAAAGGAGTGTTCAACTCCGTGAGTTGAATGCAGTCATCACAGAGAAGCTTCTGAGAATGCTTCTATCTAGTATTTAGGTGAAGATATTTCCTTTTCCACCACAAACCACAAAGCCCTCCAAACGTCCACTTGCAGATTCTAGAAAAAGAGTGTTTCATAGCTGCTCTTTCCAAAGGAAAGTTCAACTCTGGGAGTTGAATACAAACATCACCAAAAAGTTCCTGAGAATGCATCTGTCTAGTTTTTCTATGAAGCTATTCCCTTTACTACCATAGACCTCAAAGCGCTCCAAATCTCCACTTGCACATTCCACAACAAGAGTGTTTCCAAACTGCTCTATCAATAGGAATGTTCAACTCTGTGAGGTGAATGCAATCATCACAAAGCAGTTTCTGAGAATGCTTCCGTTTAGTTAGGTGCAGTTATCCCGTTTCCAACGAAATCCTCAGAGAGGTCCAAATATCCACTTGTAGATTCTACAAAAAGTGTGTCTCAAACCTGCTCCATCCAAAGGAATGTTCAGCTCTGTGAGTTCAACTCAATCATCACAAAGTATTTTCTGAGAATGCTTCTGTCTAGATTTTATGCGAAGATATACCCGTTTCGAACGAAGGCCACAGAGTGGTCCAAATAGCCACTTGCAGATCCTACAAAAAGAGTGTTTCAAACCTGAACTATCAAAGGAAGGTTCAACTCTGGGATTTGAATGCAAACATCACCAAGAAGTTTCTGAGAATGCTTCTGTTTAGTTTTTATGTGAAGATATTCCCGTTTCCAAAGACATCTTCGGAGAGGTCCACATATCCACTTGCAGATTCCACAAAAAGAGAGTTTCAACACTGCTCTATCCATAGGAGGGTTCAACTCTGTGAGTTGAATGCAATCATCACAGAGAAGTTTCTGAGAAGGCTTCTCTCCAGTTTTTATGTGACCATAATTCGTTTTCCACCACAGGCCTGAAAGCGCTCCAAATGTCCACTTGCAGACACTACGAAAAGCATGTTTCAGAACTACTCTATGAAAAGCAACGTGAAACTCTGGGAGTTGAACACAAACATCACAGAGAAGTTTCTGAGAATGCTTCTGTTTTAGTTCTGTGCGTTTTATCCCGTTTCCAACGAAATCCTCAGAGAGGCCCAAATATCCACTTGCAGATTCCACAGAAAGAGTGATTGGAAACTGCTGTTTGAAAAGGAACCTTCAACTCTGTGAGTTGAATGCAATCATCACAAAGAAGTTTCTGACAATGCTTCTGTTTTAGTTCTGTGCGGTTTATCCCGTTTCCAACGAAATCCTCAGAGAGGACCAAACATCCACTTGCAGTTTCTACAAAAAGAGTGTTTCAAAGCTGCACTATCAAAGAAAGGTTCAGCACTGTGAGTTGAATGCAAACATCACGAAGAGGGCTCTGAGAATTCTTCTGTTTAGTTCTGTGCGGTTTATCCCGTTTCCAACGAAATCCTCAGAGAGGACCAAATATCCACTTGCAGTTTCTACAAGAAGAGTGTTTCAAAGCTGCACTATCAAAGAAAGGTTCAGCACTGTGAGTTGAATGCAAACATCACGAAGAGGGTTCTGAGAATGCTTCTGTCTTCTTTCTATAGGAAGTTATTTCCTTTACTACGGTAGGCCTCAAAGAAGTGCAATTATCCCCTTGCAGTTTCTACAAAAAGAGTGTTTCAAACCTGAACTATCAAAGAAAGGTTCCACACTGTGAGTTGAATGCAGACATCACGAAGAAGGTTCTGAGAATGCTTCTGTTTAGTCAGCTGAAATTATCCCGTTTCCAACGAATTCCTCAGAGAGGTCCAAATATGCACTTGCAGATTCTGCAGAAAGTGTGTTTCTAAACTGCTACATCGCAAGGAATGTTCAGCTCTGTGAGTTCCACTCAATCATCCCAAAGAATTTTCTGAGAAAGCTTCTGTCTAGATGTCGTGTGAAGATATACCCGTTTCGAACGAAGGACACAGAGTGGTCCAAATATCCACTTGTAGATCCTGCAAAAAGAGTGTTTCAAACGTGAACTTTGAAAGGAAAGTTCAACTCTGGGATTTGAATGCAAACATCACAAAGAAGATTCTGAGACTGCTTCTGTATAGTTTTTATGTGAAGATGATTCCGTTTCCAACGAAATCTTCAAAGAGGTCTACATGTCCCCTTGCAGATGCCACAGAAAGAGAGTTTCAAAACTGCGCTCTCAAAAGGAGTGTTCAACTCCGTGAGTTGAATGCAGTCATCACAGAGAAGCTTCTGAGAATGCTTCTATCTAGTATTTAGGTGAAGATATTTCCTTTTCCACCACAAACCACAAAGCCCTCCAAACGTCCACTTGCAGATTCTAGAAAAAGAGTGTTTCATAGCTGCTCTTTCCAAAGGAAAGTTCAACTCTGGGAGTTGAATACAAACATCACCAAAAAGTTCCTGAGAATGCATCTGTCTAGTTTTTCTATGAAGCTATTCCCTTTACTACCACAGGCCTCAAAGCGCTCCAAATCTCCACTTGCACATTCCACAACAAGAGTGTTTCCAAACTGCTCTATCAATAGGAATGTTCAACTCTGTGAGGTGAATGCAATCATCACAAAGCAGTTTCTGAGAATGCTTCCGTTTAGTTAGGTGCAGTTATCCCGTTTCCAACGAAATCCTCAGAGAGGTCCAAATATCCACTTGTAGATTCTACAAAAAGTGTGTCTCAAACCTGCTCCATCCAAAGGAATGGTCAGCTCTGTGATTTAAACTCAATCATCACAAAGTATTTTCTGAGAATGCTTCTGTCTAGATTTTATGCGAAGATATACCCGTTTCGAACGAAGGCCACAGAGTGGTCCAAATAGCCACTTGCAGATCCTACAGAAAGAGTGTTTCAAACCTGAACTATCAAAGGAAGGTTCAACTCTGGGATTTGAATGCAAACATCACCAAGAAGTTTCTGAGAATGCTTCTGTTTAGTTTTTATGTGAAGATATTCCCGTTTCCAAAGACATCTTCGGAGAGGTCCACATATCCACTTGCAGATTCCACAAAAAGAGAGTTTCAACACTGCTCTATCCATAGGAGGGTTCAACTCTGTGAGTTGAATGCAATCATCACAGAGAAGTTTCTGAGAAGGCTTCTCTCCAGTTTTTATGTGACCATAATTCGTTTTCCACCACAGGCCTGAAAGCGCTCCAAATGTCCACTTGCAGACACTACGAAAAGCATGTTTCAGAACTACTCTATGAAAAGCAACGTGAAACTCTGGGAGTTGAACACAAACATCACAGAGAAGTTTCTGAGAATGCTTCTG
The DNA here is from genome assembly GCF_000001405.40 of Homo sapiens. Lineage (NCBI taxonomy): Eukaryota > Metazoa > Chordata > Mammalia > Primates > Hominidae > Homo > Homo sapiens. The sequence goes on along the minus strand of NC_000017.11, from coordinate 23,627,839 downwards.
TTTAGCTTTTCTGTGAAGATTATCCCGTTTCCAACGAAATCTTCAAAGAGGTCGAAATATCCACTTGCAGATTCCACAGAAAGAGTGATTGGAAACTGCTGTTTGAAATGGAACCTTCAACTCTGTGAGTTGAATGCAATCATCACAAAGAAGTTTCTGACAATGCTTCTATCTAGCTTTTACGAGAAGATAATTCCTTTTCCACCACAGGCCTCAAAGCCCTCCAAATGTCCACTTGCAGATTCTGGAAAAAGAGTGTTTCAAAGCTTCTCTCTCGAAAGGAAAGTTCAACTCTGTGAGTTGAATGCAAGCATCACAAAGAAGTTTCTGAGAATGCTACTGTCTAGCTTTTATATGAAGCTATTTCCTTTACTACCATAGGCCTCAAAGCGGTCCATATCTCCACTTGCAGATTCTACACAAAGAGAGTTTCCAAACTTCTCTGTCAAAGGGAATGTTCAACTCTGTGACTTGAATGCAATCATCACAAAGTAGTTTCTGAGAATGCTTCTGTTTTATTTCTGTGCGTTTTATCCCGTTTCCAACGAAATCCTCAGAGAGGCCCAAATATCCACTTGCAGATTCTACAAATAGTGTGTTTCGAAACTGCTCCATCCAAAGGAATGTTCAGCTCTGTGAGTTAAACTCAGTCGTCACCAAGAGTTTTCTGTGAATGCTTCTGTTTTAGTTCTGTGCGGTTTATCCCGTTTCCAACGAAATCCTCAGAGAGGACAAAACATCCACTTGCAGTTTCTACAAAAAGAGTGTTTCAAAGCTGCACTATCAAAGAAAGGTTCAGCACTGTGAGTTGAATGCAAACATCACGAAGAGGGCTCTGAGAATGCTTCTGTTTAGTTCTGTGCGGTTTATCCCGTTTCCAACGAAATCCTCAGAGAGGACCAAATATCCACTTGCAGTTTCTACAAGAAGAGTGTTTCAAAGCTGAACTATCAAAGAAAGGTTCAGCACTGTGAGTTGAATGCAAACATCACGAAGAGGGTTCTGAGAATGCTTCTGTCTTCTTTCTATAGGAAGTTATTTCCTTTACTACGGTAGGCCTCAAAGAAGTGCAATTATCCCCTTGCAGTTTCTACAAAAAGAGTGTTTCAAACCTGAACTATCAAAGAAAGGTTCCACACTGTGAGTTGAATGCAGACATCACGAAGAAGGTTCTGAGAATGCTTCTGTTTAGTCAGCTGAAATTATCCCGTTTCCAACGAATTCCTCAGAGAGGTCCACATATGCACTTGCAGATTCTGCAGAAAGTGTGTTTCTAAACTGCTACATCGCAAGGAATGTTCAGCTCTGTGAGTTCCACTCAATCATCCCAAAGGATTTTCTGAGAAAGCTTCTGTCTAGATGTCATGTGAAGATATACCCGTTTCGAACGAAGGACACAGAGTGGTCCAAATATCCACTTGTAGATCCTGCAAAAAGAGTGTTTCAAACGTGAACTTTGAAAGGCAAGTTCAACTCTGGGATTTGAATGCAAACATCACAAAGAAGATTCTGAGACTGCTTCTGTATAGTTTTTATGTGAAGATGATTCCGTTTCCAACGAAATCTTCAAAGAGGTCTACATGTCCCCTTGCAGATGCCACAGAAAGAGAGTTTCAAAACTGCGCTCTCAAAAGGAGTGTTCAACTCCGTGAGTTGAATGCAGTCATCACAGAGAAGCTTCTGAGAATGCTTCTATCTAGTATTTAGGTGAAGATATTTCCTTTTCCACCACAAACCACAAAGCCCTCCAAACGTCCACTTGCAGATTCTAGAAAAAGAGTGTTTCATAGCTGCTCTTTCCAAAGGAAAGTTCAACTCTGGGAGTTGAATACAAACATCACCAAAAAGTTCCTGAGAATGCATCCTGTCTAGTTTTTCTATGAAGCTATTCCCTTTACTACCATAGGCCTCAAAGCGCTCCAAATCTCCACTTGCACATTCCACAACAAGAGTGTTTCCAAACTGCTCTATCAATAGGAATGTTCAACTCTGTGAGGTGAATGCAATCATCACAAAGCAGTTTCTGAGAATGCTTCCGTTTAGTTAGGTGCAGTTATCCCGTTTCCAACGAAATCCTCAGAGAGGTCCAAATATCCACTTGTAGATTCTACAAAAATTGTGTCTCAAACCTGCTCCATTCAAAGGAATGTTCAGCTCTGTGAGTTAAACTCAATCATCACTAAGTATTTTCTGAGAATGCTTCTGTCTAGATTTTATGCGAAGATATACCCGTTTCGAACGAAGGCCACAGAGTGGTCCAAATAGCCACTTGCAGATCCTACAGAAAGAGTGTTTCAAACCTGAACTATCAAAGGAAGGTTCAACTCTGGGATTTGAATGCAAACATCACCAAGAAGTTTCTGAGAATGCTTCTGTTTAGTTTTTATGTGAAGATATTCCCGTTTCCAAAGACATCTTCGGAGAGGTCCACATATCCACTTGCAGATTCCACAAAAAGAGAGTTTCAACACTGCTCTATCCATAGGAGGGTTCAACTCTGTGAGTTGAATGCAATCATCACAGAGAAGTTTCTGAGAAGGCTTCTCTCCAGTTTTTATGTGACCATAATTCGTTTTCCACCACAGGCCTGAAAGCGCTCCAAATGTCCACTTGCAGACACTACGAAAAGCATGTTTCAGAACTACTCTATGAAAAGCAACGTGAAACTCTGGGAGTTGAACACAAACATCACAGAGAAGTTTCTGAGAATGCTTCTGTTTAGCTTTTCTGTGAAGATTCTCCCGTTTCCAACGAAATCTTCAAAGAGGTCGAAATATCCACTTGCAGATTCCACAGAAAGAGTGATTGGAAACTGCTGTTTGAAAAGGAACCTTCAACTCCTGTGAGTTGAATGCAATCATCACAAAGAAGTTTCTGACAATGCTTCTATCTAGCTTTTACGGGAAGATAATTCCTTTTCCACCACAGGCCTCAAAGCTCCCCAAATGTCCACTTGCACATTCTGGAAAAAGAGTGTTTCAAAGCTTCTCTCTCGAAAGGAAAGTTCAACTCTGTGAGTTGAATGCAAGCATCACAAAGAAGTTTCTGAGAATGCTACTGTCTAGCTTTTATATGAAGCTATTTCCTTTACTACCATAGGCCTCAAAGCGGTCCATATCTCCACTTGCAGATTCTACACAAAGAGAGTTTCCAAACTGCTCTGTCAAAGGGAATGTTCAACTCTGTGACTTGAATGCAATCATCACAAAGTAGTTTCTGAGAATGCTTCTGTTTTAGTTCTGTGCGGTTTATCCCATTTCCAACGAAATCCTCAGAGAGGCCCAAATATCCACTTGCAGATTCTACAAAGAGTGTGTTTCGAAACTGCTCCATCCAAAGGAATGTTCAGCTCTGTGAGTTAAACTCAGTCGTCACCAAGAGTTTTCTGTGAATGCTTCTGTTTAGTTCTGTGCGGTTTATCACGTTTCCAACGAAATCCTCAGAGAGGACCAAATATCCACTTGCAGTTTCTACAAAAAGAGTGTTTCAAAGCTGAACTATCAAAGAAAGTTTCAGCACTGTGTGTGGAATGCAAACATCACGAAGAGGGTTCTGAGAATTCTTCTGTCTTCTTTTTATAGGAAGTTATTTCCTTTACTACGGTAGGCCTCAGAGAAGTGCAATTATCCCCTTGCAGTTTCTACGAAAGGAGTGTTTCAAACCTGAACTATCAAAGAAAGGTTCCACACTGTGAGTTGAATACAGACATCACGAAGAAGGTTCTGAGAATGCTTCTGTTTAGTCACCTGAAATTATCGCGTTTCCAACGAATTCCTCAGAGAGGTCCAAATATGCACTTGCAGATTCTGCAGAAAGTGTGTTTCTAAACTGCTCCATCGCAAGGAATGTTCAGCTCTGTGAGTTCAACTCAATCATCCCAAAGAATTTTCTGAGAAAGCTTCTGTCTAGATGTCATGTGAAGATATACCCGTTTCGAACGAAGGACACAGAGTGGTCCAAATATCCACTTGTAGATCCTGCAAAAAGAGTGTTTCAAACGTGAACTTTGAAAGGAAAGTTCAACTCTGGGATTTGAATGCAAACATCACAAAGAAGATTCTGAGACTGCTTCTGTATAGTTTTTATGTGAAGATGATTCCGTTTCCAACGAAATCTTCAAAGAGGTCTACATGTCCCCTTGCAGATGCCACAGAAAGAGAGTTTCAAAAGTGCGCTCTCAAAAGGAGTGTTCAACTCCGTGAGTTGAATGCAGTCATCACAGAGAAGCTTCTGAGAATGCTTCTCTCTAGTATTTAGGTGAAGATATTTCCTTTTCCACCACAAACCACAAAGCCCTCCAAACGTCCACTTGCAGATTCTAGAAAAAGAGTGTTTCATAGCTGCTCTTTCCTAAGGAAAGTTCAACTCTGGCAGTTGAATACAAACATCACCAAAAAGTTCCTGAGAATGCATCTGTCTAGTTTTTCTATGAAGCTATTCCCTTTACTACCATAGGCCTCAAAGCGCTCCAAATCTCCACTTGCACATTCCACAACAAGAGTGTTTCCAAACTGCTCTATCAATAGGAATGTTCAACTCTGTGAGGTGAATGCAATCATCACAAAGCAGTTTCTGAGAATGCTTCCGTTTTGTTAGGTGCAGTTATCCCGTTTCCGACGAAATCCTCAGAGAGGTCCAAATATCCACTTGTAGATTCTACAAAAAGTGTGTCTCAAACCTGCTCCATCCAAAGGAATGTTCAGCTCTGTGAGTTCAACTCAATCATCCCAAAGGTTTTTCTGAGAATGCTTCTGTCTAGATTTTATGTGAAGATGTACCCGTTTCGAACGAAGGCCACAGAGTGGTCCAAATATCCACTTGCAGATCCTACAAAAAGAGTGTTTCAAACCTGAACTATCAAAGGAAGGTTCAACTCTGGGATTTGAATGCAAACATCACCAAGAAGTTTCTGAGAATGCTTCTGTTTAGTTTTTATGTGAAGATATTCCCGTTTCCAAAGACATCTTCGGAGAGGTCCACATATCCACTTGCAGATTCCACAAAAAGAGAGTTTCAACACTGCTCTATCCATAGGAGGGTTCAACTCTGTGAGTTGAATGCAATCATCACAGAGAAGTTTCTGAGAAGGCTTCTCTCCAGTTTTTATGTGACCATAATTCGTTTTCCACCACAGGCCTGAAAGCGCTCCAAATGTCCACTTGCAGACACTACGAAAAGCATGTTTCAGAACTACTCTATGAAAAGCAATGTGAAACTCTGGGAGTTGAACACAAACATCACAGAGAAGTTTCTGAGAATGCTTCTGTTTAGCTTTCCTGTGAAGATTCTCCCGTTTCCAACGAAATCTTCAAAATAGGTCCGAATATCCACTTGCAGATTACACACAAAGAGTGATTGGAAACTGCTCTTTGAAAAGGAACCTTCAACTCTGTGAGTTGAATGCAATCATCACAAAGAAGTTTCTGACAATGCTTCTATCTAGCTTTTACGGGAAGATAATTCCTTTTCCACCACAGGCCTCAAAGCCCTCCAAATGTCCACTTGCAGATTCTGGAAAAAGAGTGTTTCAAAGCTTCTCTCTCGAAAGGAAAGTTCAACTCTGTGAGTTGAATGCAAGCATCACAAAGAAGTTTCTGAGAATGCTTACTGTCTAGCTTTTATATGAAGCTATTTCCTTTACTACCATAGGCCTCAAAGCGGTCCGTATCTCCACTTGCAGATTCTACACAAAGAGAGTTTCCAAACTGCTCTGTCAAAGGGAATGTTCAACTCTGTGACTTGAATGCAATCATCACAAAGTAGTTTCTGAGAATGCTTCTGTTTAGTTCTGTGCGGTTTATCCCGTTTCCAACGAAATCCTCAGAGAGGCCTAAATATCCACTTGCACATTCTACAAATAGTGTGTTTCGAAACTGCTCCATCCAAAGGAATGTTCAGCTCTGTGAGTTAAACTCAGTCGTCACCAAGAGTTTTCTGTGAATGCTTCTGTTTTAGTTCTGTGCGGGTTATCCCGTTTCCAACGAAATCCTCAGAGAGGTCCAAATATCTACTTGCAGTTTCTACAGAAAGACCGTTTCAAACCTGAACTATCAAAGAAAGGTTCAACACTGTGAGTTGAATGCAAACATCACGAAGAAGGTTCTGAGAATGCTTCTGTTTAGTTCTGTGCAGTTTATCCCGTTTCCAACGAAATGCTCAGAGAGGACCAAATATCCACTTGCAGTTTCTACAAAAAGAGTGTTTCAAAGCTGAACTATCAAAGAAAGGTTCAGCACTGTGAGTTGAATGCAAACATCACGAAGAGGGTTCTGAGAATGCTTCTGTCTTCTTTTTATAGGAAGTTATTTCCTTTACTACGGTACTCCTCAAAGAGTGCAATGATCCCCTTGCAGTTTCTACAAAAAGAGTGTTTCAAACCTGAACTATCAAAGAAAGGTTCCACACTGTGAGTTGAATGCAGACATCACGAAGAAGGTTCTGAGAATGCTTCTGTTTAGTCAGCTGAAATTATCCCGTTTCCAACGAATTCCTCAGAGAGGTCCAAATATGCACTTGCAGATTCTGCAGAAAGTGTGTTTCTAAACTGCTACATCGCAAGGAATGCTCAGCTCTGTGAGTTCAACTCAATCATCCCAAAGAATTTTCTGAGAAAGCTTCTGTCTAGATGTCATGTGAAGATATACCCGTTTCGAACGAAGGACACAGAGTGGTCCAAATATCCACTTGTAGATCCTGCAAAAAGAGTGTTTCAAACGTGAACTTTGAAAGGAAAGTTCAACTCGGGGATTTGAATGCAAACATCACAAAGAAGATTCTGAGACTGCTTCTGTGTAGTTTTTATGTGAAGATGATTCCGTTTCCAACGAAATCTTCAAAGAGGTCTACATGTCCCCTTGCAGATGCCACAGAAAGAGAGTTTCAAAACTGCGCTCTCAAAAGGAGTGTTCAACTCCGTGAGTTGAATGCAGTCATCACAGAGAAGCTTCTGAGGATGCTTCTATCTAGTATTTAGGTGAAGATATTTCCTTTTCCACCACAAACCACAAAGCCCTCCAAACGTCCACTTGCAGATTCTAGAAAAAGAGTGTTTCATAGCTGCTCTTTCCAAAGGAAAGTTCAACTCTGGGAGTTGAATACAAACATCACCAAAAAGTTCCTGAGAATGCATCTGTCTAGTTTTTCTATGAAGCTATTCCCTTTACTACCATAGGCCTCAAAGCGCTCCAAATCTCCACTTGCACATTCCACAACAAGAGTGTTTCCAAACTGCTCTATCAATAGGAATGTTCAACTCTGTGAGGTGAATGCAATCATCACAAAGCAGTTTCTGAGAATGCTTCCGTTTAGTTAGGTGCAGTTATCCCGTTTCCAACGAAATCCTCAGAGAGGTCCAAATATCCACTTGTAGATTCTACAAAAAGTGTGTCTCAAACCTGCTCCATCCAAAGGAATGGTCAGCTCTGTGATTTAAACTCAATCATCACAAAGTATTTTCCTGAGAATGCTTCTCTCCAGTTTTTATGTGACCATAATTCGTTTTCCACCACAGGCCTGAAAGCGCTCCAAATGTCCACTTGCAGACACTACGAAAAGCATGTTTCAGAACTACTCTATGAAAAGCAACGTGAAACTCTGGGAGTTGAACACAAACATCACAGAGAAGTTTCTGAGAATGCTTCTGTTTTAGTTCTGTGCGTTTTATCCCGTTTCCAACGAAATCCTCAGAGAGGCCCAAATATCCACTTGCAGATTCCACAGAAAGAGTGATTGGAAACTGCTGTTTGAAAAGGAACCTTCAACTCTGTGAGTTGAATGCAATCATCACAAAGAAGTTTCTGACAATGCTTCTGTTTTAGTTCTGTGCGGTTTATCCCGTTTCCAACGAAATCCTCAGAGAGGACCAAATATCCACTTGCAGTTTCTACAAAAAGAGTGTTTCAAAGCTGCACTATCAAAGAAAGGTTCAGCACTGTGAGTTGAATGCAAACATCACGAAGAGGGCTCTGAGAATGCTTCTGTTTAGTTCTGTGCGGTTTATCCCGTTTCCAACGAAATCCTCAGAGAGGACCAAATATCCACTTGCAGTTTCTACAAGAAGAGTGTTTCAAAGCTGAACTATCAAAGAAAGGTTCAGCACTGTGAGTTGAATGCAAACATCACGAAGAGGGTTCTGAGAATGCTTCTGTCTTCTTTCTATAGGAAGTTATTTCCTTTACTACGGTAGGCCTCAAAGAAGTGCAATTATCCCCTTGCAGTTTCTACAAAAAGAGTGTTTCAAACCTGAACTATCAAAGAAAGGTTCCACACTGTGAGTTGAATGCAGACATCACGAAGAAGGTTCTGAGAATGCTTCTGTTTAGTCAGCTGAAATTATCCCGTTTCCAACGAATTCCTCAGAGAGGTCCAAATATGCACTTGCAGATTCTGCAGAAAGTGTGTTTCTAAACTGCTACATCGCAAGGAATGTTCAGCTCTGTGAGTTCCACTCAATCATCCCAAAGAATTTTCTGAGAAAGCTTCTGTCTAGATGTCGTGTGAAGATATACCCGTTTCGAACGAAGGACACAGAGTGGTCCAAATATCCACTTGTAGATCCTGCAAAAAGAGTGTTTCAAACGTGAACTTTGAAAGGAAAGTTCAACTCTGGGATTTGAATGCAAACATCACAAAGAAGATTCTGAGACTGCTTCTGTATAGTTTTTATGTGAAGATGATTCCGTTTCCAACGAAATCTTCAAAGAGGTCTACATGTCCCCTTGCAGATGCCACAGAAAGAGAGTTTCAAAACTGCGCTCTCAAAAGGAGTGTTCAACTCCGTGAGTTGAATGCAGTCATCACAGAGAAGCTTCTGAGAATGCTTCTATCTAGTATTTAGGTGAAGATATTTCCTTTTCCACCACAAACCACAAAGCCCTCCAAACGTCCACTTGCAGATTCTAGAAAAAGAGTGTTTCATAGCTGCTCTTTCCAAAGGAAAGTTCAACTCTGGGAGTTGAATACAAACATCACCAAAAAGTTCCTGAGAATGCATCTGTCTAGTTTTTCTATGAAGCTATTCCCTTTACTACCATAGGCCTCAAAGCGCTCCAAATCTCCACTTGCACATTCCACAACAAGAGTGTTTCCAAACTGCTCTATCAATAGGAATGTTCAACTCTGTGAGGTGAATGCAATCATCACAAAGCAGTTTCTGAGAATGCTTCCGTTTAGTTAGGTGCAGTTATCCCGTTTCCAACGAAATCCTCAGAGAGGTCCAAATATCCACTTGTAGATTCTACAAAAAGTGTGTCTCAAACCTGCTCCATCCAAAGGAATGGTCAGCTCTGTGATTTAAACTCAATCATCACAAAGTATTTTCTGAGAATGCTTCTGTCTAGATTTTATGCGAAGATATACCCGTTTCGAACGAAGGCCACAGAGTGGTCCAAATAGCCACTTGCAGATCCTACAGAAAGAGTGTTTCAAACCTGAACTATCAAAGGAAGGTTCAACTCTGGGATTTGAATGCAAACATCACCAAGAAGTTTCTGAGAATGCTTCTGTTTAGTTTTTATGTGAAGATATTCCCGTTTCCAAAGACATCTTCGGAGAGGTCCACATATCCACTTGCAGGTTCCACAAAAAGAGAGTTTCAACACTGCTCTATCCATAGGAGGGTTCAACTCTGTGAGTTGAATGCAATCATCACAGAGAAGTTTCTGAGAAGGCTTCTCTCCAGTTTTTATGTGACCATAATTCGTTTTCCACCACAGGCCTGAAAGCGCTCCAAATGTCCACTTGCAGACACTACGAAAAGCATGTTTCAGAACTACTCTATGAAAAGCAACGTGAAACTCTGGGAGTTGAACACAAACATCACAGAGAAGTTTCTGAGAATGCTTCTGTTTTAGTTCTGTGCGTTTTATCCCGTTTCCAACGAAATCCTCAGAGAGGCCCAAATATCCACTTGCAGATTCCACAGAAAGAGTGATTGGAAACTGCTGTTTGAAAAGGAACCTTCAACTCTGTGAGTTGAATGCAATCATCACAAAGAAGTTTCTGACAATGCTTCTGTTTTAGTTCTGTGCGGTTTATCCCGTTTCCAACGAAATCCTCAGAGAGGACCAAACATCCACTTGCAGTTTCTACAAAAAGAGTGTTTCAAAGCTGCACTATCAAAGAAAGGTTCAGCACTGTGAGTTGAATGCAAACATCACGAAGAGGGCTCTGAGAATTCTTCTGTTTAGTTCTGTGCGGTTTATCCCGTTTCCAACGAAATCCTCAGAGAGGACCAAATATCCACTTGCAGTTTCTACAAGAAGAGTGTTTCAAAGCTGAACTATCAAAGAAAGGTTCAGCACTGTGAGTTGAATGCAAACATCACGAAGAGGGTTCTGAGAATGCTTCTGTCTTCTTTCTATAGGAAGTTATTTCCTTTACTACGGTAGGCCTCAAAGAAGTGCAATTATCCCCTTGCAGTTTCTACAAAAAGAGTGTTTCAAACCTGAACTATCAAAGAAAGGTTCCACACTGTGAGTTGAATGCAGACATCACGAAGAAGGTTCTGAGAATGCTTCTGTTTAGTCAGCTGAAATTATCCCGTTTCCAACGAATTCCTCAGAGAGGTCCAAATATGCACTTGCAGATTCTGCAGAAAGTGTGTTTCTAAACTGCTACATCGCAAGGAATGTTCAGCTCTGTGAGTTCCACTCAATCATCCCAAAGAATTTTCTGAGAAAGCTTCTGTCTAGATGTCGTGTGAAGATATACCCGTTTCGAACGAAGGACACAGAGTGGTCCAAATATCCACTTGTAGATCCTGCAAAAAGAGTGTTTCAAACGTGAACTTTGAAAGGAAAGTTCAACTCTGGGATTTGAATGCAAACATCACAAAGAAGATTCTGAGACTGCTTCTGTATAGTTTTTATGTGAAGATGATTCCGTTTCCAACGAAATCTTCAAAGAGGTCTACATGTCCCCTTGCAGATGCCACAGAAAGAGAGTTTCAAAACTGCGCTCTCAAAAGGAGTGTTCAACTCCGTGAGTTGAATGCAGTCATCACAGAGAAGCTTCTGAGAATGCTTCTATCTAGTATTTAGGTGAAGATATTTCCTTTTCCACCACAAACCACAAAGCCCTCCAAACGTCCACTTGCAGATTCTAGAAAAAGAGTGTTTCATAGCTGCTCTTTCCAAAGGAAAGTTCAACTCTGGGAGTTGAATACAAACATCACCAAAAAGTTCCTGAGAATGCATCTGTCTAGTTTTTCTATGAAGCTATTCCCTTTACTACCACAGGCCTCAAAGCGCTCCAAATCTCCACTTGCACATTCCACAACAAGAGTGTTTCCAAACTGCTCTATCAATAGGAATGTTCAACTCTGTGAGGTGAATGCAATCATCACAAAGCAGTTTCTGAGAATGCTTCCGTTTAGTTAGGTGCAGTTATCCCGTTTCCAACGAAATCCTCAGAGAGGTCCAAATATCCACTTGTAGATTCTACAAAAAGTGTGTCTCAAACCTGCTCCATCCAAAGGAATGGTCAGCTCTGTGATTTAAACTCAATCATCACAAAGTATTTTCTGAGAATGCTTCTGTCTAGATTTTATGCGAAGATATACCCGTTTCGAACGAAGGCCACAGAGTGGTCCAAATAGCCACTTGCAGATCCTACAGAAAGAGTGTTTCAAACCTGAACTATCAAAGGAAGGTTCAACTCTGGGATTTGAATGCAAACATCACCAAGAAGTTTCTGAGAATGCTTCTGTTTAGTTTTTATGTGAAGATATTCCCGTTTCCAAAGACATCTTCGGAGAGGTCCACATATCCACTTGCAGATTCCACAAAAAGAGAGTTTCAACACTGCTCTATCCATAGGAGGGTTCAACTCTGTGAGTTGAATGCAATCATCACAGAGAAGTTTCTGAGAAGGCTTCTCTCCAGTTTTTATGTGACCATAATTCGTTTTCCACCACAGGCCTGAAAGCGCTCCAAATGTCCACTTGCAGACACTACGAAAAGCATGTTTCAGAACTACTCTATGAAAAGCAACGTGAAACTCTGGGAGTTGAACACAAACATCACAGAGAAGTTTCTGAGAATGCTTCTGTTTAGCTTTTCTGTGAAGATTCTCCCGTTTCCAACGAAATCTTCAAAGAGGTCGAAATATCCACTTGCAGATTCCACAGAAAGAGTGATTGGAAACTGCTGTTTGAAAAGGAACCTTCAACTCTGTGAGTTGAATGCAATCATCACAAAGAAGTTTCTGACAATGCTTCTATCTAGCTTTTACGGGAAGATAATTCCTTTTCCTCCACAGGCCTCAAAGCTCCCCAAATGTCCACTTGCACATTCTGGAAAAAGAGTGTTTCAAAGCTTCTCTCTCGAAAGGAAAGTTCAACTCTGTGAGTTGAATGCAAGCATCACAAAGAAGTTTCTGAGAATGCTACTGTCTAGCTTTTATATGAAGCTATTTCCTTTACTACCATAGGCCTCAAAGCGGTCCATATCTCCACTTGCAGATTCTACACAAAGAGAGTTTCCAAACTGCTCTGTCAAAGGGAATGTTCAACTCTGTGACTTGAATGCAATCATCACAAAGTAGTTTACTGAGAATGCTTCTGTTTTATTTCTGTGCGTTTTATCCCGTTTCCAACGAAATCCTCAGAGAGGCCAAAATATCCACTTGCAGATTCTACAAATAGTGTGTTTCGAAACTGCTCCATCCAAAGGAATGTTCAGCTCTGTGAGTTAAACTCAGTCGTCACCAAGAGTTTTCTGTGAATGCTTCTGTTTTAGTTCTGTGCGGGTTATCCCGTTTCCAACGAAATCCTCAGAGAGGTCCAAATATCTACTTGCAGTTTCTACAGAAAGACCGTTTCAAACCTGAACTATCAAAGAAAGGTTCAACACTGTGAGTTGAATGCAAACATCACGAAGAAGGTTCTGAGAATGCTTCTGTTTAGTTCTGTGCAGTTTATCCCGTTTCCAACGAAATGCTCAGAGAGGACCAAATATCCACTTGCAGTTTCTACAAAAAGAGTGTTTCAAAGCTGAACTATCAAAGAAATGTTCAGCACTGTGAGTTGAATGCAAACATCACGAAGAGGGTTCTGAGAATGCTTCTGTCTTCTTTTTATAGGAAGTTATTTCCTTTACTACGGTACTCCTCAAAGAGTGCAATGATCCCCTTGCAGTTTCTACAAAAAGAGTGTTTCAAACCTGAACTATCAAAGAAAGGTTCCACACTGTGAGTTGAATGCAGACATCACGAAGAAGGTTCTGAGAATGCTTCTGTTTAGTCAGCTGAAATTATCCCGTTTCCAACGAATTCCTCAGAGAGGTCCAAATATGCACTTGCAGATTCTGCAGAAAGTGTGTTTCTAAACTGCTACATCGCAAGGAATGCTCAGCTCTGTGAGTTCAACTCAATCATCCCAAAGAATTTTCTGAGAAAGCTTCTGTCTAGGTGTCATGTGAAGATATACCCGTTTCGAACGAAGGACACAGAGTGGTCCAAATATCCACTTGTAGATCCTGCAAAAAGAGTGTTTCAAACGTGAACTTTGAAAGGAAAGTTCAACTCTGGGATTTGAATGCAAACATCACAAAGAAGATTCTGAGACTGCTTCTGTATAGTTTTTATGTGAAGATGATTCCGTTTCCAACGAAATCTTCAAAGAGGTCTACATGTCCCCTTGCAGATGCCACAGAAAGAGAGTTTCAAAACTGCGCTCTCAAAAGGAGTGTTCAACTCCGTGAGTTGAATGCAGTCATCACAGAGAAGCTTCTGAGAATGCTTCTATCTAGTATTTAGGTGAAGATATTTCCTTTTCCACCACAAACCACAAAGCCCTCCAAACGTCCACTTGCAGATTCTAGAGAAACAGTGTCTCATAGCTGCTCTTTCCAAAGGAAAGTTCAACTCTGGGAGTTGAATACAAACATCACCAAAAAGTTCCTGAGAATGCATCTGTCTAGTTTTTCTATGAAGCTATTCCCTTTACTACCATAGGCCTCAAAGCGCTCCAAATCTCCACTTGCACATTCCACAACAAGAGTGTTTCCAAACTGCTCTATCAATAGGAATGTTCAACTCTGTGAGGTGAATGCAATCATCACAAAGCAGTTTCTGAGAATGCTTCCGTTTAGTTAGGTGCAGTTATCCCGTTTCCAACGAAATCCTCAGAGAGGTCCAAATATCCACTTGTAGATTCTACAAAAAGTGTGTCTCAAACCTGCTCCATCCAAAGGAATGTTCAGCTCTGTGAGTTAAACTCAATCATCACAAAGTATTTTCTGAGAATGCTTCTGTCTAGATTTTATGCGAAGATATACCCGTTTCGAACGAAGGCCACAGAGTGGTCCAAATATCCACTTGCAGATCCTACAAAAAGAGTGTTTCAAACCTGAATTATCAAAGGAAGGTTCAACTCTTGGATTTGAATGCAAACATCACCAAGAAGTTTCTGAGAATGCTTCTGTTTAGTTTTTATGTGAAGATATTCCCGTTTCCAAAGACATCTTCGGAGAGGTCCACATATCCACTTGCAGATTCCACAAAAAGAGAGTTTCAACACTGCTCTATCCATAGGAGGGTTCAACTCTGTGAGTTGAATGCAATCATCACAGAGAAGTTTCTGAGAAGGCTTCTCTCCAGTTTTTATGTGACCATTATTCGTTTTCCACCACAGGCCTGAAAGCGCTCCAAATGTCCACTTGTAGACACTACGAAAAGCATGTTTCAGAACTACTCTATGAAATGCAATGTGAAACTCTGGGAGTTGAACACAAACATCACAGAGAAGTTTCTGAGAATGCTTCTGTTTAGCTTTTCTGTGAAGATTCTCCCGTTTCCAACGAAATCTTCAAAATAGGTCCAAATATCCACTTGCAGATTCCACAGAAAGAGTGATTGGAAACTGCTGTTTGAAAAGGAACCTTCAACTCTGTGAGTTGAATGCAATCATCACAAAGAAGTTTCTGACAATGCTTCTATCTAGCTTTTACGGGAAGATAATTCCTTTTCCACCGCAGGCCTCAAAGCCCTCCAAATGTCCACTTGCACATTCTGGAAAAAGAGTGTTTCAAAGCTTCTCTCTCGAAAGGAAAGTTCAACTCTGTGAGTTGAATGCAAGCATCACAAAGAAGTTTCTGAGAATGCTACTGTCTAGCTTTTATATGAAGCTATTTCCTTTACTACCATAGGCCTCAAAGCGGTCCATATCTCCACTTGCAGATTCTACACAAAGAGAGTTTCCAAACTGCTCTGTCAAAGGGAATGTTCAACTCTGTGACTTGAATGCAATCATCACAAAGTAGTTTCTGAGAATGCTTCTGTTTAGTTCTGTGCGGTTTATCCCGTTTCCAACGAAATCCTCAGAGAGGCCTAAATATCCACTTGCACATTCTACAAATAGTGTGTTTCAAAACTGCTCCATCCAAAGGAATGTTCAGCTCTGTGAGTTAAACTCAGTCGTCACCAAGAGTTTTCTGTGAATGCTTCTGTTTTAGTTCTGTGCGGGTTATCCCGTTTCCAACGAAATCCTCAGAGAGGTCCAAATATCTACTTGCAGTTTCTACAGAAAGACCGTTTCAAACCTGAACTATCAAAGAAAGGTTCAACACTGTGAGTTGAATGCAAACATCACGAAGAAGGTTCTCAGAATGCTTCTGTTTAGTTCTGTGCGGTTTATCCCGTTTCCAACGAAATCCTCAGAGAGGACCAAATATCCACTTGCAGTTTCTACAAAAAGAGTGTTTCAAAGCTGAACTATCAAAGAAAGGTTCAGCACCGTGAGTTGAATGCAAGCATCACGAAGAGGGTTCTGAGAATGCTTCTGTCTTCTTTTTATAGGAAGTTATTTCCTTTACTACGGTAGGCCTCAAAGAAGTGCAATGATCCCCTTGCAGTTTCTACAAAAAGAGTGTTTCAAACCTGAACTATCAAAGAAAGGTTCCACACTGTGAGTTGAATGCAGACATCACGAAGAAGGTTACTGAGAATGCTTCTGTTTAGTCAGCTGAAATTATCCCGTTTCCAACGAATTCCTCAGAGAGGTCCACATATGCACTTGCAGATTCTGCAGAAAGGGTGTTTCTAAACTGCTACATCGCAAGGAGTGTTCAGCTCTGTTTGCTCAACTCAATCATCCCAAAGAATTTTCTGAGAAAGCTTCTGTCTAGATGTCATGTGAAGATATACCCGTTTCGAACGAAGGACACAGAGTGGTCCAAATATCCACTTGTAGATCCTGCAAAAAGAGTGTTTCAAACGTGAACTTTGAAAGGCAAGTTCAACTCTGGGATTTGAATGCAAACATCACAAAGAAGATTCTGAGACTGCTTCTGTATAGTTTTGATGTGAAGATGATTCCGTTTCCAACGAAATCTTCAAAGAGGTCTACATGTCCCCTTGCAGATGCCACAGAAAGAGAGTTCCAAAACTGCGCTCTCAAAAGGAGTGTTCAACTCCGTGAGTTGAATGCAGTCATCACAGAGAAGCTTCTGAGAATGCTTCTTTCTAGTATTTAGGTGAAGATATTTCCTTTTCCACCACAAACCACAAAGCCCTCCAAACGTCCACTTGCAGATTCTAGAAAAAGAGTGTTTCATAGCTGCTCTTTCCAAAGGAAAGTTCAACTCTGGGAGTTGAATACAAACATCACCAAAAAGTTCCTGAGAATGCATCTGTCTAGTTTTTCTATGAAGCTATTCCCTTTACTACCATAGGCCTCAAAGCGCTCCAAATCTCCACTTGCACATTCCACAACAAGAGTGTTTCCAAACTGCTCTATCAATAGGAATGTTCAACTCTGTGAGGTGAATGCAATCATCACAAAGCAGTTTCTGAGAATGCTTCCGTTTAGTTAGGTGCAGTTATCCCGTTTCCAACGAAATCCTCAGAGAGGTCCAAATATCCACTTGTAGATTCTACAAAAAGTGTGTCTCAAACCTGCTCCATCCAAAGGAATGTTCAGCTCTGTGAGTTCAACTCAATCATCACAAAGTATTTTCTGAGAATGCTTCTGTCTAGATTTTATGAGAAGATGTACCCGTTTAGAACGAAGGCCACAGAGTGGTCCAAATATCCACTTGCAGATCCTACAAAAAGAGTGTTTCAAACCTGAACTGTCAAAGGAAGGTTCAACTCTGGGATTTGAATGCAAACATCACCAAGAAGTTTCTGAGAATGCTTCTGTTTAGTTATTATGTGAAGATATTCCCGTTTCCAAAGACATCTTCGGAGAGGTCCACATATCCACTTGCAGATTCCCCAAAAAGAGAGTTTCAACACTGCTCTATCCATAGGAGGGTTCAACTCTGTGAGTTGAATGCAATCATCACAGAGAAGTTTCTGAGAAAGCTTCTCTCCAGTTTTTATGTGACCATAATTCGTTTTCCACCACAGGCCTGGAAGCGCTCCAAATGTCCACTTGTAGACACTACGAAAAGCATGCTTCAGAACTACTCTATGAAAAGCAATGTGAAACTCTGGGAGTTGAACACAAACATCACAGAGAAGTTTCTGAGAATGCTTCTGTTTAGCTTTTCTGTGAAGATTATCCCGTTTCCAACGAAATCTTCAAAATAGGTCGAAATATCCACTTGCAGATTCCACAGAAAGAGTGATTGGAAACTTCTCTTTGAAAAGGAACCTTCAACTCTGTGAGTTGAATGCAATCATCACAAAGAAGTTTCTGACAATGCTTCTATCTAGCTTTTACGGGAAGATAATTCCTTTTCCACCACAGGCCTCAAAGCCCTCCAAATGTCCACTTGCACATTCTTAAAAAAGAGTGTTTCAAAGCTTCTCTCTCGAAAGGAAAGTTCAACTCTGTGAGTTGAATGCAAGCATCACAAAGAAGTTTCTGAGAATGCTACTGTCTAGCTTTTATATGAAGCTATTTCCTTTACTACCATAGGCCTCAAAGCGGTCCATATCTCCACTTGCAGATTCTACACAAAGAGAGTTTCCAAACTGCTCTGTCAAAGGGAATGTTCAACTCTGTGACTTGAATGCAATCATCACAAAGTAGTTTCTGAGAATGCTTCTGTTTAGTTCTGTGCGGTTTATCCCGTTTCCAACGAAATCCTCAGAGAGGCCCAAATATCCACTTGCACATTCTACAAATAGTGTGTTTCGAAACTGCTCCATCCAAAGGAATGTTCAGCTCTGTGAGTTAAACTCAGTCGTCACCAAGAGTTTTCTGTGAATGCTTCTGTTTTAGTTCTGTGCGGTTCACCCCGTTTCCAAAGAAATCCTCAGAGAGGGCCAAATATCTACTTGCAGTTTCTACAGAAAGACCGTTTCCAACCTGAACTATCAAAGAAAGGTTCAACACTGTGAGTTGAATGCAAACATCACGAAGAAGGTTCTGAGAATGCTTCTGTTTAGTTCTGTGCAGTTTATCCCGTTTCCAACGAATTCCTCAGAGAGGACCAAATATCCACTTGCAGTTTCTACAAAAAGAGTGTTTCAAAGCTGAACTATCAAAGAAAGGTTCAGCACTGTGAGTTGAATGCAAACATCACGAAGAGGGTTACTGAGAATGCTTCTGTCTTCTTTTTATAGGAAGTTATTTCCTTTACTACGGTACTCCTCAAAGAGTGCAATTATCCCCTTGCAGTTTCTACAAAAAGAGTGTTTCAAACCTGAACTATCAAAGAAAGGTTCCACACTGTGAGTTGAATGCAGACATCACGAAGAAGGTTCTGAGAATGCTTCTGTTTAGTCAGCTGAAATTATCCCGTTTCCAACGAATTCCTCACAGAGGTCCAAATATGCACTTGCAGATTCTGCAGAAAGTGTGTTTCTAAACTGCTACATCGCAAGGAATGCTCAGCTCTGTGAGTTCAACTCAATCATCCCAAAGAATTTTCTGAGAAAGCTTCTGTCTAGATGTCATGTGAAGATATACCCGTTTCGAACGAAGGACACAGAGTGGTCCAAATATCCACTTGTAGATCCTGCAAAAAGAGTGTTTCAAACGTGAACTTTGAAAGGAAAGTTCAACTCGGGGATTTGAATGCAAACATCACAAAGAAGATTCTGAGACTGCTTCTGTATAGTTTTTATGTGAAGATGATTCCGTTTCCAACGAAATCTTCAAAGAGGTCTACATGTCCCCTTGCAGATGCCACAGAAAGAGAGTTTCAAAACTGCGCTCTCAAAAGGAGTGTTCAACTCCGTGAGTTGAATGCAGTCATCACAGAGAAGCTTCTGAGGATGCTTCTATCTAGTATTTAGGTGAAGATATTTCCTTTTCCACCACAAACCACAAAGCCCTCCAAACGTCCACTTGCAGATTCTAGAAAAAGAGTGTTTCATAGCTCCTCTTTCCAAAGGAAAGTTCAACTCTGGGAGTTGAATACAAACATCACCAAAAAGTTCCTGAGAATGCATCTGTCTAGTTTTTCTATGAAGCTATTCCCTTTACTACCATAGGCCTCAAAGCGCTCCAAATCTCCACTTGCACATTCCACAACAAGAGTGTTTCCAAACTGCTCTATCAATAGGAATGTTCAACTCTGTGAGGTGAATGCAATCATCACAAAGCAGTTTCTGAGAATGCTTCCGTTTAGTTAGGTGCAGTTATCCCGTTTCCAACGAAATCCTCAGAGAGGTCCAAATATCCACTTGTAGATTCTACAAAAAGTGTGTCTCAAACCTGCTCCATCCAAAGGAATGGTCAGCTCTGTGAGTTCAACTCAATCATCACAAAGTGTTTTCTGAGAATGCTTCTGTCTAGATATTATGCGAAGATGTACCCGTTTCGAACGAAGGCCACAGTGTGGTCCAAATATCCACTTGCAGATCCTACAAAAAGAGTGTTTCAAACCTGAACTATCAAAGGAAGGTTCAACTCTGGGATTTGAATGCAAACATCACCAAGAAGTTTCTGAGAATGCTTCCGTTTAGTTTTTATGTGAAGATATTCCCGTTTCCAAAGACATCTTCAAAGAGGTCCACATATCCACTTGCAGATTCCACAAAAAGAGAGTTTCAACACTGCTCTATCCATAGGAGGGTTCAACTCTGTGAGTTGAATGCAATCATCACAGAGAAGTTTCTGTGAAGGCTTCTCTCCAGTTTTTATGTGACCATAATTCGTTTTCCACCACAGGCCTGAAAGCGCTCCAAATGTCCACTTGCAGACACTACGAAAAGCATGTTTCAGAACTACTCTATGAAAAGCAACGTGAAACTCTGGGAGTTGAACACAAACATCACAGAGAAGTTTCTGAGAATGCTTCTGTTTTAGTTCTGTGCGTTTTATCCCGTTTCCAACGAAATCCTCAGAGAGGCCCAAATATCCACTTGCAGATTCCACAGAAAGAGTGATTGGAAACTGCTGTTTGAAAAGGAACCTTCAACTCTGTGAGTTGAATGCAATCATCACAAAGAAGTTTCTGACAATGCTTCTGTTTTAGTTCTGTGCGGTTTATCCCGTTTCCAACGAAATCCTCAGAGAGGACCAAACATCCACTTGCAGTTTCTACAAAAAGAGTGTTTCAAAGCTGCACTATCAAAGAAAGGTTCAGCACTGTGAGTTGAATGCAAACATCACGAAGAGGGCTCTGAGAATTCTTCTGTTTAGTTCTGTGCGGTTTATCCCGTTTCCAACGAAATCCTCAGAGAGGACCAAATATCCACTTGCAGTTTCTACAAGAAGAGTGTTTCAAAGCTGAACTATCAAAGAAAGGTTCAGCACTGTGAGTTGAATGCAAACATCACGAAGAGGGTTCTGAGAATGCTTCTGTCTTCTTTCTATAGGAAGTTATTTCCTTTACTACGGTAGGCCTCAAAGAAGTGCAATTATCCCCTTGCAGTTTCTACAAAAAGAGTGTTTCAAACCTGAACTATCAAAGAAAGGTTCCACACTGTGAGTTGAATGCAGACATCACGAAGAAGGTTCTGAGAATGCTTCTGTTTAGTCAGCTGAAATTATCCCGTTTCCAACGAATTCCTCAGAGAGGTCCACATATGCACTTGCAGATTCTGCAGAAAGTGTGTTTCTAAACTGCTACATCGCAAGGAATGTTCAGCTCTGTGAGTTCCACTCAATCATCCCAAAGGATTTTCTGAGAAAGCTTCTGTCTAGATGTCATGTGAAGATATACCCGTTTCGAACGAAGGACACAGAGTGGTCCAAATATCCACTTGTAGATCCTGCAAAAAGAGTGTTTCAAACGTGAACTTTGAAAGGCAAGTTCAACTCTGGGATTTGAATGCAAACATCACAAAGAAGATTCTGAGACTGCTTCTGTATAGTTTTTATGTGAAGATGATTCCGTTTCCAACGAAATCTTCAAAGAGGTCTACATGTCCCCTTGCAGATGCCACAGAAAGAGAGTTTCAAAACTACGCTCTCAAAAGGAGTGTTCAACTCCGTGAGTTGAATGCAGTCATCACAGAGAAGCTTCTGAGAATGCTTCTATCTAGTATTTAGGTGAAGATATTTCCTTTTCCACCACAAACCACAAAGCCCTCCAAACGTCCACTTGCAGATTCTAGAAAAAGAGTGTTTCATAGCTGCTCTTTCCAAAGGAAAGTTCAACTCTGGGAGTTGAATACAAACATCACCAAAAAGTTCCTGAGAATGCATCTGTCTAGTTTTTCTATGAAGCTATTCCCTTTACTACCACAGGCCTCAAAGCGCTCCAAATCTCCACTTGCACATTCCACAACAAGAGTGTTTCCAAACTGCTCTATCAATAGGAATGTTCAACTCTGTGAGGTGAATGCAATCATCACAAAGCAGTTTCTGAGAATGCTTCCGTTTAGTTAGGTGCAGTTA
Organism: Homo sapiens; assembly: GCF_000001405.40. Lineage (NCBI taxonomy): Eukaryota > Metazoa > Chordata > Mammalia > Primates > Hominidae > Homo > Homo sapiens. The sequence continues at coordinate 23,606,100 of NC_000017.11, read as the reverse complement.
TCCCGTTTCCAACGAAATCCTCAGAGAGGTCCAAATATCCACTTGTAGATTCTACAAAAAGTGTGTCTCAAACCTGCTCCATCCAAAGGAATGTTCAGCTCTGTGAGTTAAACTAAATCATCACAAAGTATTTTCTGAGAATGCTTCTGTCTAGATTTTATGCGAAGATGTACCCGTTTCGAACGAAGGCCACAGAGTGGTCCAAATATCCACTTTCAGATCCTACAAAAAGAGTGTTTCAAACCTGAACTATCAAAGGAAGGTTCAACTCTGGGATTTGAATGCAAACATCACCAAGAAGTTTCTGAGAATGCTTCTGTTTAGTTTTTATGTGAAGATATTCCCGTTTCCAAAGACATCTTCGGAGAGGTCCACATATCCACTTGCAGATTCCACAAAAAGAGAGTTTCAACAATGCTCTATCCATAGGAGGGTTCAAATCTGTGAGTTGCATGCAATCATCACAGAGAAGTTTCTGAGAAGGCTTCTCTCCAGTTTTTATGTGACCATAATTCGTTTTCCACCACAGGCCTGAAAGCGCTCCAAATGTCCACTTGCAGACACTACGAAAAGCATGTTTCAGAACTACTCTATGAAAAGCAATGTGAAACTCTGGGAGTTGAACACAAACATCACAGAGAAGTTTCTGAGAATGCTTCTGTTTAGCTTTTCTGTGAAGATTCTCCCGTTTCCAACGAAATCTTCAAAGAGGTCCAAATATCCACTTGCAGATTCCACAGAAAGAGTGATTGGAAACTGCTCTTTGAAAAGGAACCTTCAACTCTGTGAGTTGAATGCAATCATCACAAAGAAGTTTCTGACAATGCTTCTATCTAGCTTTTACGGGAAGATAATTCCTTTTCCACCACAGGCCTCAAAGCCTTCCAAATGTCCACTTGCAGATTCTGGAAAAAGAGTGTTTCAAAGCTTCTCTCTCGAAAGGAAAGTTCAACTCTGTGAGTTGAATGCAAGCATCACAAAGAAGTTTCTGAGAATGCTACTGTCTAGCTTTTATATGAAGCTATTTCCTTTACTACCATAGGCCTCAAAGTGGTCCATATCTCCACTTGCAGATTCTACACAAAGAGAGTTTCCAAACTGCTCTGTCAAAGGGAATGTTCAACTCTGTGACTTGAATGCAATCATAACAAAGTAGTTTCTGAGAATGCTTCTGTTTTAGTTCTGTGCGGTTTATCCCGTTTCCAACGAAATCCTCAGAGAGGCCCACATATCCACTTGCAGATTCTACAAATAGTGTGTTTTGAAACTGCTCCATCCAAAGGAATGTTCAGCTCTGTGAGTTAAACTCAGTCGTCACCAAGAGTTTTCTGTGAATGCTTCTGTTTTAGTTCTGTGCGGTTTATCCCGTTTCCAACGAAATCCTCAGAGAGGTCCAAATATCTACTTGCAGTTTCTACAGAAAGACCGTATCCAACCTGAACTATCAAAGAAAGGTTCAACACTGTGAGTTGAATGCAAACATCACGAAGAAGGTTCTGAGAATGCTTCTGTTTAGTTCTGCGCGGTTTATCCCGTTTCCAACGAAATCCTCAGAGAGGACCAAATATCCACTTGCAGTTTCTACAAAAAGAGTGTTTCAAAGCTGAACTATCAAAGAAAGGTTCAGCAGTGTGAGTTGAATGCAAACATCACGAAGAAGGTTCTGAGAATGCTTCTGTCTTCTTTTTATAGGAAGTTATTTCTTTTGCTACGGTAGGCCTCAAAGAAGTGCAATCATCCCCTGGCAGTTTCTACAAAAAGAGTGTTTCAAACCTGAACTATCAAAGAAAGGTTCCACACTGTGAGTTGAATGGAGACATCACGAAGAAGGTTCTGAGAATGCTTCTGTTTAGTCAGCTGAAATTATCCCGTTTCCAACGAATTCCTCAGAGAGGTCTAAATATGCACTTGCAGATTCTGCAGAAAGTGTGTTTCTAAACTGCTACATCGCAAGGAATGTTCAGCTCTGTGAGTTCAACTCAATCATCCCAAAGAATTTTCTGAGAAAGCTTCTGTCTAGATGTCATGTGAAGATATGCCCGTTTCGAAGGAAGGACACAGAGTGGTCCAAATATCCACTTGTAGATCCTGCAAAAAGAGTGTTTCAAACGTGAACTTTGAAAGGAAAGTTCATCTCTGGGATTTGAATGCAAACATCACAAAGAAGATTCTGAGACTGCTTCTGTATAGTTTTTATGTGAAGATGATTCCGTTTCCAACGAAATCTTCAAAGAGGTCTACATGTCCCCTTGCAGATGCCACAGAAAGAGAGTTTCAAAACTGCGCTCTCAAAAGGAGTGTTCAACTCCGTGAGTTGAATGCAGTCATCACAGAGAAGCTTATGAGAATGCTTCTATCTAGTATTTAGGTGAAGATATTTCCTTTTCCACCACAAACCACAAAGCCCTCCAAACGTCCACTTGCAGATTCTAGAAAAAGAGTGTTTCATAGCTGCTCTTTCCAAAGGAAAGTTCAACTCTGGGAGTTGAATACAAACATCACCAAAAGGTTCCTGAAAATGCATCTGTCTAGTTTTTCTATGAAGCTATTCCCTTTACTACCATAGGCCTCAAAGCGCTCCAAATCTCCACTTGCACATTCCACAACAAGAGTGTTTCCAAACTGCTCTATCAATAGGAATGTTCAACTCTGTGAGGTGAATGCAATCATCACAAAGCAGTTTCTGAGAATGCTTCCGTTTAGTTAGGTGCAGTTATCCCGTTTCCAACGAAATCCTCAGAGAGGTCCAAATATCCACTTGTAGATTCTACAAAAAGTGTGTCTCAAACCTGCTCCATCCAAAGGAATGGTCAGCTCTGTGATTTAAACTCAATCATCACAAAGTATTTTCTGAGAATGCTTCTGTCTAGATTTTATGCGAAGATATACCCGTTTCGAACGAAGGCCACAGAGTGGTCCAAATAGCCACTTGCAGATCCTACAGAAAGAGTGTTTCAAACCTGAACTATCAAAGGAAGGTTCAACTCTGGGATTTGAATGCAAACATCACCAAGAAGTTTCTGAGAATGCTTCTGTTTAGTTTTTATGTGAAGATATTCCCGTTTCCAAAGACATCTTCGGAGAGGTCCACATATCCACTTGCAGATTCCACAAAAAGAGAGTTTCAACACTGCTCTATCCATAGGAGGGTTCAACTCTGTGAGTTGAATGCAATCATCACAGAGAAGTTTCTGAGAAGGCTTCTCTCCAGTTTTTATGTGACCATAATTCGTTTTCCACCACAGGCCTGAAAGCGCTCCAAATGTCCACTTGCAGACACTACGAAAAGCATGTTTCAGAACTACTCTATGAAAAGCAACGTGAAACTCTGGGAGTTGAACACAAACATCACAGAGAAGTTTCTGAGAATGCTTCTGTTTTAGTTCTGTGCGTTTTATCCCGTTTCCAACGAAATCCTCAGAGAGGCCCAAATATCCACTTGCAGATTCCACAGAAAGAGTGATTGGAAACTGCTGTTTGAAAAGGAACCTTCAACTCTGTGAGTTGAATGCAATCATCACAAAGAAGTTTCTGACAATGCTTCTGTTTTAGTTCTGTGCGGTTTATCCCGTTTCCAACGAAATCCTCAGAGAGGACCAAACATCCACTTGCAGTTTCTACAAAAAGAGTGTTTCAAAGCTGCACTATCAAAGAAAGGTTCAGCACTGTGAGTTGAATGCAAACATCACGAAGAGGGCTCTGAGAATTCTTCTGTTTAGTTCTGTGCGGTTTATCCCGTTTCCAACGAAATCCTCAGAGAGGACCAAATATCCACTTGCAGTTTCTACAAGAAGAGTGTTTCAAAGCTGAACTATCAAAGAAAGGTTCAGCACTGTGAGTTGAATGCAAACATCACGAAGAGGGTTCTGAGAATGCTTCTGTCTTCTTTCTATAGGAAGTTATTTCCTTTACTACGGTAGGCCTCAAAGAAGTGCAATTATCCCCTTGCAGTTTCTACAAAAAGAGTGTTTCAAACCTGAACTATCAAAGAAAGGTTCCACACTGTGAGTTGAATGCAGACATCACGAAGAAGGTTCTGAGAATGCTTCTGTTTAGTCAGCTGAAATTATCCCGTTTCCAACGAATTCCTCAGAGAGGTCCAAATATGCACTTGCAGATTCTGCAGAAAGTGTGTTTCTAAACTGCTACATCGCAAGGAATGTTCAGCTCTGTGAGTTCCACTCAATCATCCCAAAGAATTTTCTGAGAAAGCTTCTGTCTAGATGTCATGTGAAGATATACCCGTTTCGTACGAAGGACACAGAGTGGTCCAAATATCCACTTGTAGATCCTGCAAAAAGAGTGTTTCAAACGTGAACTTTGAAAGGAAAGTTCAACTCTGGGATTTGAATGCAAACATCACAAAGAAGATTCTGAGACTGCTTCTGTATAGTTTTTATGTGAAGATGATTCCGTTTCCAACGAAATCTTCAAAGAGGTCTACATGTCCCCTTGCAGATGCCACAGAAAGAGATTTTCAAAACTGCGCTCTCAAAAGGAGTGTTCAACTCCGTGAGTTGAATGCAGTCATCACAGAGAAGCTTCTGAGAATGCTTCTATCTAGTATTTAGGTGAAGATATTTCCTTTTCCACCACAAACCACAAAGCCCTCCAAACGTCCACTTGCAGATTCTAGAAAAAGAGTGTTTCATAGCTGCTCTTTCCAAAGGAAAGTTCAACTCTGGGAGTTGAATACAAACATCACCAAAAAGTTCCTGAGAATGCATCTGTCTAGTTTTTCTATGAAGCTATTCCCTTTACTACCATAGGCCTCAAAGCGCTCCAAATCTCCACTTGCACATTCCACAACAAGAGTGTTTCCAAACTGCTCTATCAATAGGAATGTTCAACTCTGTGAGGTGAATGCAATCATCACAAAGCAGTTTCTGAGAATGCTTCCGTTTAGTTAGGTGCAGTTATCCCGTTTCCAACGAAATCCTCAGAGAGGTCCAAATATCCACTTGTAGATTCTACAAAAAGTGTGTCTCAAACCTGCTCCATCCAAAGGAATGTTCAGCTCTGTGATTTAAACTCAATCGTCACAAAGTATTTTCTGAGAATGCTTCTGTCTAGATTTTATGCGAAGATATACCCGTTTCGAACGAAGGCCACAGAGTGGTCCAAATAGCCACTTGCAGATCCTACAAAAAGAGTGTTTCAAACCTGAACTATCAAAGGAAGGTTCAACTCTGGGATTTGAATGCAAACATCACCAAGAAGTTTCTGAGAATGCTTCTGTTTAGTTTTTATGTGAAGATATTCCCGTTTCCAAAGACATCTTCAAAGAGGTCCACATATCCACTTGCAGATTCCACAAAAAGAGAGTTTCAACACTGCTCTATCCATAGGAGGGTTCAACTCTGTGAGTTGAATGCAATCATCACAGAGAAGTTTCTGAGAAGGCTTCTCTCCAGTTTTTATGTGACCATAATTCGTTTTCCACCACAGGCCTGAAAGCGCTCCAAATGTCCACTTGCAGACACTACGAAAAGCATGTTTCAGAACTACTCTATGAAAAGCAACGTGAAACTCTGGGAGTTGAACACAAACATCACAGAGAAGTTTCTGAGAATGCTTCTGTTTTAGTTCTGTGCGTTTTATCCCGTTTCCAACGAAATCCTCAGAGAGGCCCAAATATCCACTTGCAGATTCCACAGAAAGAGTGATTGGAAACTGCTGTTTGAAAAGGAACCTTCAACTCTGTGAGTTGAATGCAATCATCACAAAGAAGTTTCTGACAATGCTTCTGTTTTAGTTCTGTGCGGTTTATCCCGTTTCCAACGAAATCCTCAGAGAGGACCAAACATCCACTTGCAGTTTCTACAAAAAGAGTGTTTCAAAGCTGCACTATCAAAGAAAGGTTCAGCACTGTGAGTTGAATGCAAACATCACGAAGAGGGCTCTGAGAATTCTTCCTGTTTAGTTCTGTGCGGTTTATCCCGTTTCCAACGAAATCCTCAGAGAGGACCAAATATCCACTTGCAGTTTCTACAAGAAGAGTGTTTCAAAGCTGAACTATCAAAGAAAGGTTCAGCACTGTGAGTTGAATGCAAACATCACGAAGAGGGTTCTGAGAATGCTTCTGTCTTCTTTCTATAGGAAGTTATTTCCTTTACTACGGTAGGCCTCAAAGAAGTGCAATTATCCCCTTGCAGTTTCTACAAAAAGAGTGTTTCAAACCTGAACTATCAAAGAAAGGTTCCACACTGTGAGTTGAATGCAGACATCACGAAGAAGGTTCTGAGAATGCTTCTGTTTAGTCAGCTGAAATTATCCCGTTTCCAACGAATTCCTCAGAGAGGTCCAAATATGCACTTGCAGATTCTGCAGAAAGTGTGTTTCTAAACTGCTACATCGCAAGGAATGTTCAGCTCTGTGAGTTCCACTCAATCATCCCAAAGAATTTTCTGAGAAAGCTTCTGTCTAGATGTCGTGTGAAGATATACCCGTTTCGAACGAAGGACACAGAGTGGTCCAAATATCCACTTGTAGATCCTGCAAAAAGAGTGTTTCAAACGTGAACTTTGAAAGGAAAGTTCAACTCTGGGATTTGAATGCAAACATCACAAAGAAGATTCTGAGACTGCTTCTGTATAGTTTTTATGTGAAGATGATTCCGTTTCCAACGAAATCTTCAAAGAGGTCTACATGTCCCCTTGCAGATGCCACAGAAAGAGAGTTTCAAAACTGCGCTCTCAAAAGGAGTGTTCAACTCCGTGAGTTGAATGCAGTCATCACAGAGAAGCTTCTGAGAATGCTTCTATCTAGTATTTAGGTGAAGATATTTCCTTTTCCACCACAAACCACAAAGCCCTCCAAACGTCCACTTGCAGATTCTAGAAAAAGAGTGTTTCATAGCTGCTCTTTCCAAAGGAAAGTTCAACTCTGGGAGTTGAATACAAACATCACCAAAAGGTTCCTGAGAATGCATCTGTCTAGTTTTTCTATGAAGCTATTCCCTTTACTACCACAGGCCTCAAAGCGCTTCCAAATCTCCACTTGCACATTCCACAACAAGAGTGTTTCCAAACTGCTCTATCAATAGGAATGTTCAACTCTGTGAGGTGAATGCAATCATCACAAAGCAGTTTCTGAGAATGCTTCCGTTTAGTTAGGTGCAGTTATCCCGTTTCCAACGAAATCCTCAGAGAGGTCCAAATATCCACTTGTAGATTCTACAAAAAGTGTGTCTCAAACCTGCTCCATCCAAAGGAATGGTCAGCTCTGTGATTTAAACTCAATCATCACAAAGTATTTTCTGAGAATGCTTCTGTCTAGATTTTATGCGAAGATATACCCGTTTCGAACGAAGGCCACAGAGTGGTCCAAATAGCCACTTGCAGATCCTACAGAAAGAGTGTTTCAAACCTGAACTATCAAAGGAAGGTTCAACTCTGGGATTTGAATGCAAACATCACCAAGAAGTTTCTGAGAATGCTTCTGTTTAGTTTTTATGTGAAGATATTCCCGTTTCCAAAGACATCTTCGGAGAGGTCCACATATCCACTTGCAGATTCCACAAAAAGAGAGTTTCAACACTGCTCTATCCATAGGAGGGTTCAACTCTGTGAGTTGAATGCAATCATCACAGAGAAGTTTCTGAGAAGGCTTCTCTCCAGTTTTTATGTGACCATAATTCGTTTTCCACCACAGGCCTGAAAGCGCTCCAAATGTCCACTTGCAGACACTACGAAAAGCATGTTTCAAAACTACTCTATGAAAAGCAATGTGAAACTCTGGGAGTTGAACACAAACATCACAGAGAAGTTTCTGAGAATGCTTCTGTTTAGCTTTCCTGTGAAGATTCTCCCGTTTCCAACGAAATCTTCAAAATAGGTCCGAATATCCACTTGCAGATTCCACAGAAAGAGTGATTGGAAACTGCTCTTTGAAAAGGAACCTTCAACTCTGTGAGTTGAATGCAATCATCACAAAGAAGTTTCTGACAATGCTTTCTATCTAGCTTTTACGGGAAGATAATTCCTTTTCCACCACAGGCCTCAAAGCCCTCCAAATGTCCACTTGCAGATTCTGGAAAAAGAGTGTTTCAAAGCTTCTCTCTCGAAAGGAAAGTTCAACTCTGTGAGTTGAATGCAAGCATCACAAAGAAGTTTCTGAGAATGCTACTGTCTAGCTTTTATATGAAGCTATTTCCTTTACTACCATAGGCCTCAAAGCGGTCCATATCTCCACTTGCAGATTCTACACAAAGAGAGTTTCCAAACTGCTCTGTCAAAGGGAATGTTCAACTCTGTGACTTGAATGCAATCATCACAAAGTAGTTTCTGAGAATGCTTCTGTTTAGTTCTGTGCGGTTTATCCCGTTTCCAACGAAATCCTCAGAGAGGCCTAAATATCCACTTGCACATTCTACAAATAGTGTGTTTCGAAACTGCTCCATCCAAAGGAATGTTCAGCTCTGTGAGTTAAACTCAGTCGTCACCAAGAGTTTTCTGTGAATGCTTCTGTTTTAGTTCTGTGAGGTTTATCCCGTTTCCAACGAAATCCTCAGAGCGGTCCAAATATCTACTTGCAGTTTCTGCAGAAAGACCGTTTCAAACCTGAACTATCAAAGAAAGGTTCAACACTGTGAGTTGAATGCAAACATCACGAAGAAGGTTCTGAGAATGCTTCTGTTTAGTTCTGTGCAGTTTATCCCGTTTCCAACGAAATGCTCAGAGAGGACCAAATATCCACTTGCAGTTTCTACAAAAAGAGTGTTTCAAAGCTGAACTATCAAAGAAAGGTTCAGCACTGTGAGTTGAATGCAAACATCACGAAGAGGGTTCTGAGAATGCTTCTGTCTTCTTTTTATAGGAAGTTATTTCCTTTACTACGGTACTCCTCAAAGAGTGCAATTATCCCCTTGCAGTTTCTACAAAAAGAGTGTTTCAAACCTGAACTATCAAAGAAAGGTTCCACACTGTGAGTTGAATGCAGACATCACGAAGAAGGTTCTGAGAATGCTTCTGTTTAGTCAGCTGAAATTATCCCGTTTCCAACGAATTCCTCACAGAGGTCCAAATATGCACTTGCAGATTCTGCAGAAAGTGTGTTTCTAAACTGCTACATCGCAAGGAATGCTCAGCTCTGTGAGTTCAACTCAATCATCCCAAAGAATTTTCTGAGAAAGCTTCTGTCTAGATGTCATGTGAAGATATACCCGTTTCGAACGAAGGACACAGAGTGGTCCAAATATCCACTTGTAGATCCTGCAAAAAGAGTGTTTCAAACGTGAACTTTGAAAGGAAAGTTCAACTCGGGGATTTGAATGCAAACATCACAAAGAAGATTCTGAGACTGCTTCTGTATAGTTTTTATGTGAAGATGATTCCGTTTCCAACGAAATCTTCAAAGAGGTCTACATGTCCCCTTGCAGATGCCACAGAAAGAGAGTTTCAAAACTGCGCTCTCAAAAGGAGTGTTCAACTCCGTGAGTTGAATGCAGTCATCACAGAGAAGCTTCTGAGAATGCTTCTATCTAGTATTTAGGTGAAGATATTTCCTTTCCACCACAAACCACAAAGCCCTCCAAACGTCCACTTGCAGATTCTAGAGAAACAGTGTCTCATAGCTGCTCTTTCCAAAGGAAAGTTCAACTCTGGGAGTTGAATACAAACATCACCAAAAAGTTCCTGAGAATGCATCTGTCTAGTTTTTCTATGAAGCTATTCCCTTTACTACCATAGGCCTCAAAGCGCTCCAAATCTCCACTTGCACATTCCACAACAAGAGTGTTTCCAAACTGCTCTATCAATAGGAATGTTCAACTGCTGTGAGGTGAATGCAATCATCACAAAGCAGTTTCTGAGAATGCTTCCGTTTAGTTAGGTGCAGTTATCCCGTTTCCAACGAAATCCTCAGAGAGGTCCAAATATCCACTTGTAGATTCTACAAAAAGTGTGTCTCAAACCTGCTCCATCCAAAGGAATGGTCAGCTCTGTGATTTAAACTCAATCATCACAAAGTATTTTCTGAGAATGCTTCTGTCTAGATTTTATGCGAAGATATACCCGTTTCGAACGAAGGCCACAGAGTGGTCCAAATAGCCACTTGCAGATCCTACAGAAAGAGTGTTTCAAACCTGAACTATCAAAGGAAGGTTCAACTCTGGGATTTGAATGCAAACATCACCAAGAAGTTTCTGAGAATGCTTCTGTTTAGTTTTTATGTGAAGATATTCCCGTTTCCAAAGACATCTTCGGAGAGGTCCACATATCCACTTGCAGATTCCACAAAAAGAGAGTTTCAACACTGCTCTATCCATAGGAGGGTTCAAATCTGTGAGTTGAATGCAATCATCACAGAGAAGTTTCTGAGAAGGCTTCTCTCCAGTTTTTATGTGACCATAATTCGTTTTCCACCACAGGCCTGAAAGCGCTCCAAATGTCCACTTGTAGACACTACGAAAAGCATGTTTCAGAACTACTCTATGAAAAGCAATGTGAAACTCTGGGAGTTGAACACAAACATCACAGAGAAGTTTCTGAGAATGCTTCTGTTTAGCTTTTCTGTGAAGATTCTCCCGTTTCCAACGAAATCTTCAAAGAGATCCAAATATCCACTTGCAGATTCCACAGAAAGAGTGATTGGAAACTGCTCTTTGAAAAGGAACCTTCAACTCTGTGAGTTGAATGCAATCATCACAAAGAAGTTTCTGACAATGCTTCTATCTAGCTTTTACGGGAAGATAATTCCTTTTCCACCACAGGCCTCAAAGCCCTCCAAATGTCCACTTGCAGATTCTGGAAAAAGAGTGTTTCAAAGCTTCTCTCTCGAAAGGAAAGTTCAACTCTGTGAGTTGAATGCAAGCATCACAAAGAAGTTTCTGAGAATGCTACTGTCTAGCTTTTATATGAAGCTATTTCCTTTACTACCATAGGCCTCAAAGCGGTCCATATCTCCACTTGCAGATTCTACACAAAGAGAGTTTCCAAACTGCTCTGTCAAAGGGAATGTTCAACTCTGTGACTTGAATGCAATCATCACAAAGTAGTTTCTGAGAATGCTTCTGTTTTAGTTCTGTGCGGTTTATCCCGTTTCCAATGAAATCCTCAGAGAGGCCCACATATCCACTTGCAGATTCTACAAATAGTGTGTTTTGAAACTGCTCCATCCAAAGGAATGTTCAGCTCTGTGAGTTAAACTCAGTCGTCACCAAGAGTTTTCTGTGAATGCTTCTGTTTAGTTCTGTGCGTTTTATCCCTTTTCCAACGAAATCCTCAGAGAGGACCAAATATCCATTTGCAGTTTCTACAAAAAGAGTGTTTCAAAGCTGAACTATCAAAGAAAGGTTCAGCACTGTGAGTTGAATGCAAACATCACGAAGAGGGTTCTGAGAATGCTTCTGTCTTCTTTTTATAGGAAGTTATTTCCTTTACTACGGTACTCCTCAAAGAGTGCAATTATCCCCTTGCAGTTTCTACAAAAAGAGTGTTTCAAACCTGAACTATCAAAGAAAGGTTCCACACTGTGAGTTGAATGCAGACATCACGAAGAAGGTTCTGAGAATGCTTCTGTTTAGTCAGCTGAAATTATCCCGTTTCCAACGAATTCCTCAGAGAGGTCCAAATATGCACTTGCAGATTCTGCAGAAAGTGTGTTTCTAAACTGCTACATCGCAAGGAATGCTCAGCTCTGTGAGTTCAAATCAATCATCCCAAACAATTTTCTGAGAAAGCTTCTGTCTAGATGTCCTGTGAAGATATACCCGTTTCGAACGAAGGACACAGAGTGGTCCAAATATCCACTTGTAGATCCTGCAAAAAGAGTGTTTCAAACGTGAACTTTGAAAGGAAAGTTCAACTCTGGGATTTGAATGCAAACATCACAAAGAAGATTCTGAGACTGCTTCTGTATAGTTTTTATGTGAAGATGATTCCGTTTCCAACGAAATCTTCAAAGAGGTCTACATGTCCCCTTGCAGATGCCACAGAAAGAGAGTTTCAAAACTGCGCTCTCAAAAGGAGTGTTCAACTCCGTGAGTTGAATGCAGTCATCACAGAGAAGCTTCTGAGAATGCTTCTATCTAGTATTTAGGTGAAGATATTTCCTTTTCCACCACAAACCACAAAGCCCTCCAAACGTCCACTTGCAGATTCTAGAAAAAGAGTGTTTCATAGCTGCTCTTTCCAAAGGAAAGTTCAACTCTGGGAGTTGAATACAAACATCACCAAAAGGTTCCTGAGAATGCATCTGTCTAGTTTTTCTATGAAGCTATTCCCTTTACTACCACAGGCCTCAAAGCGCTCCAAATCTCCACTTGCACATTCCACAACAAGAGTGTTTCCAAACTGCTCTATCAATAGGAATGTTCAACTCTGTGAGGTGAATGCAATCATCACAAAGCAGTTTCTGAGAATGCTTCCGTTTAGTTAGGTGCAGTTATCCCGTTTCCAACGAAATCCTCAGAGAGGTCCAAATATCCACTTGTAGATTCTACAAAAAGTGTGTCTCAAACCTGCTCCATCCAAAGGAATGGTCAGCTCTGTGATTTAAACTCAATCATCACAAAGTATTTTCTGAGAATGCTTCTGTCTAGATTTTATGCGAAGATATACCCGTTTCGAACGAAGGCCACAGAGTGGTCCAAATAGCCACTTGCAGATCCTACAGAAAGAGTGTTTCAAACCTGAACTATCAAAGGAAGGTTCAACTCTGGGATTTGAATGCAAACATCACCAAGAAGTTTCTGAGAATGCTTCTGTTTAGTTTTTATGTGAAGATATTCCCGTTTCCAAAGACATCTTCGGAGAGGTCCACATATCCACTTGCAGATTCCACAAAAAGAGAGTTTCAACACTGCTCTATCCATAGGAGGGTTCAACTCTGTGAGTTGAATGCAATCATCACAGAGAAGTTTCTGAGAAGGCTTCTCTCCAGTTTTTATGTGACCATAATTCGTTTTCCACCACAGGCCTGAAAGCGCTCCAAATGTCCACTTGCAGACACTACGAAAAGCATGTTTCAGAACTACTCTATGAAAAGCAACGTGAAACTCTGGGAGTTGAACACAAACATCACAGAGAAGTTTCTGAGAATGCTTCTGTTTAGCATTTCTGTGAAGATTCTCCCGTTTCCAACGAAATCTTCAAAGAGGTCCAAATATCCACTTGCAGATTCCACAGAAAGAGTGATTGGAAACTGCTCTTTGAAAAGGAACCTTCAACTCTGTGACTTGAATGCAATCATCACAAAGAAGTTTCTGACAATGCTTCTGTCTAGCTTTTACGGGAAGATAATTCCTTTTCCACCACAGGCCTCAATGCCCTCCAAATGTCCACTTGCAGATTCTGGAAAAGAGTTTTTCAAAGCTTCTCTCTCGAAAGGAAAGTTCAACTCTGTGAGTTGAATGCAAGCATCACAAAGAAGTTTCTGAGAATGCTACTGTCTAGCTTTTATATGAAGCTATTTCCTTTACTACCATAGGCCTCAAAGCGGTCCATATCTCCACTTGCAGATTCTACACAAAGAGAGTTTCCAAACTGCTCTGTCAAAGGGAATGTTCAAGTCTGTGACTTGAATGCAATCATCACAAAGTAGTTTCTGAGAATGCTTCTGTTTAGTTCTGTGCGGTTTATCCCGTTTCCAACGAAATCCTCAGAGAGGCCCAAATATCCACTTGCACATTCTACAAATAGTGTGTTTCGAAACTGCTCCATCCAAAGGAATGTTCAGCTCTGTGAGTTAAACTCAGTCGTCACCAAGAGTTTTCTGTGAATGCTTCTGTTTTAGTTCTGTGCGGGTTATCCCGTTTCCAACGAAATCCTCAGAGAGGTCCAAATATCTACTTGCAGTTTCTACAGAAAGACCGTTTCAAACCTGAACTATCAAAGAAAGGTTCAACACTGTGAGTTGAATGCAAACATCACGAAGAAGGTTCTGAGAATGCTTCTGTTTAGTTCTGTGCAGTTTATCCCGTTTCCAACGAAATCCTCAGAGAAGACCAAATATCCACTTGCAGTTTCTACAAGAAGAGTGTTTCAAAGCTGAACTATCAAAGAAAGGTTCAGCACTGTGAGTTGAATGCAAACATCACGAAGAGGGTTCTGAGAATGCTTCTGTCTTCTTTTTATAGGAAGTTATTTCCTTTACTACGGTACTCCTCAAAGAGTGCAATTATCCCCTTGCAGTTTCTACAAAAAGAGTGTTTCAAACCTGAACTATCAAAGAAAGGTTCCACACTGTGAGTTGAATGCAGACATCACGAAGAAGGTTCTGAGAATGCTTCTGTTTAGTCAGCTGAAATTATCCCGTTTCCAACGAATTCCTCACAGAGGTCCAAATATGCACTTGCAGATTCTGCAGAAAGTGTGTTTCTAAACTGCTACATCGCAAGGAATGCTCAGCTCTGTGAGTTCAACTCAATCATCCTAAAGAATTTTCTGAGAAAGCTTCTGTCTAGATGTCATGTGAAGATATACCCGTTTCGAACGAAGGACACAGAGTGGTCCAAATATCCACTTGTAGATCCTGCAAAAAGAGTGTTTCAAACGTGAACTTTGAAAGGAAAGTTCAACTCGGGGATTTGAATGCAAACATCACAAAGAAGATTCTGAGACTGCTTCTGTATAGTTTTTATGTGAAGATGATTCCGTTTCCAACGAAATCTTCAAAGAGGTCCACATGTCCCCTTGCGGATGCCACAGAAAGAGAGTTTCAAAACTGCGCTCTCAAAAGGAGTGTTCAACTCCGTGAGTTGAATGCAGTCATCACAGAGAAGCTTCTGAGAATGCTTCTATCTAGTATTTAGGTGAAGATATTTCCTTTTCCACCACAAACCACAAAGCCCTCCAAACGTCCACTTGCAGATTCTAGAAAAAGAGTGTTTCATAGCTGCTCTTTCCAAAGGAAAGTTCAACTCTGGGAGTTGAATACAAACATCACCAAAAAGTTCCTGAGAATGCATCTGTCTAGTTTTTCTATGAAGCTATTCCCTTTACTACCATAGGCCTCAAAGCGCTCCAAATCTCCACTTGCACATTCCACAACAAGAGTGTTTCCAAACTGCTCTATCAATAGGAATGTTCAACTCTGTGAGGTGAATGCAATCATCACAAAGCAGTTTCTGAGAATGCTTCCGTTTAGTTAGGTGCAGTTATCCCGTTTCCAACGAAATCCTCAGAGAGGTCCAAATATCCACTTGTAGATTCTACAAAAGGTGTGTCTCAAACCTGCTCCATCCAAAGGAATGTTCAGCTCTGTGAGTTAAACTCAATCATCACAAAGTATTTTCTGAGAATGCTTCTGTCTAGATTTTATGCGAAGATATACCCGTTTCGAATGAAGGCCACAGAGTGGTCCAAATATCCACTTGCAGATCCTACAAAAAGAGTGTTTCAAACCTGAACTATCAAAGGAAGGTTCAACTCTGGGATTTGAATGCAAACATCACCAAGAAGTTTCTGAGAATGCTTCTGTTTAGTTTTTATGTGAAGATATTCCCGTTTCCAAAGACATCTTCGGAGAGGTCCACATATCCACTTGCAGATTCCACAAAAAGAGAGTTTCAACACTGCTCTATCCATAGGAGGGTTCAACTCTGTGAGTTGAATGCAATCATCACAGAGAAGTTTCTGAGAAGGCTTCTCTCCAGTTTTTATGTGACCATAATTCGTTTTCCACCACAGGCCTGAAAGCGCTCCAAATGTCCACTTGTAGACACTACGAAAAGCATGTTTCAGAACTACTCTATGAAAAGCAATGTGAAACTCTGGGAGTTGAACACAAACATCACAGAGAAGTTTCTGAGAATGCTTCTGTTTAGCTTTCCTGTGAAGATTCTCCCGTTTCCAACGAAATCTTCAAAATAGGTCCAAATATCCACTTGCAGATTCCACAGAAAGAGTGATTGGAAACTGCTCTTTGAAAAGGAACCTTCAACTCTGTGAGTTGAATGCAATCATCACAAAGAAGTTTCTGACAATGCTTCTATCTAGCTTTTACGGGAAGATAATTCCTTTTCCACCACAGGCCTCAAAGCCCTCCAAATGTCCACTTGCAGATTCTGGAAAAAGAGTGTTTCAAAGCTTCTCTCTCGAAAGGAAAGTTCAACTCTGTGAGTTGAATGCAAGCATCACAAAGAAGTTTCTGAGAATGCTACTGTCTAGCTTTTATATGAAGCTATTTCCTTTACTACCATAGGCCTCAAAGCGGTCCATATCTCCACTTGCAGATTCTACACAAAGAGAGTTTCCAAACTGCTCTGTCAAAGGGAATGTTCAACTCTGTGACTTGAATGCAATAATCAGAAAGTAGTTTCTGAGAATGCTTCTGTTTTAGTTCTGTGCGTTTTATCCCGTTTCCAACGAAATCCTCAGAGAGGCCCAAATATCCACTTGCAGATTCTACAAATAGTGTGTTTCGAAACTGCTCCATCCAAAGGAATGTTCAGCTCTGTGAGTTAAACTCAGTCGTCAACAAGAGTTTTCTGTGAATGCTTCTGTTTTAGTTCTGTGCGGTTTATCCCGTTTCCAACGAAATCCTCAGAGAGGACCAAATATCCACTTGCAGTTTCTACAAAAAGAGTGTTTCAAAGCTGCACTATCAAAGAAAGGTTCAGCACTTTGAGTTGAATGCAAACATCACGAAGAGGGCTCTGAGAATTCTTCTGTCTTCTTTCTATAGGAAGTTATTTCCTTTACTACGGTAGGCCTCAAAGAAGTGCAATTATCCCCTTGCAGTTTCTACAAAAAGAGTGTTTCAAACCTGAACTATCAAAGAAAGGTTCCACACTGTGAGTTGAATGCAGACATCACGAAGAAGGTTCTGAGAATGCTTCTGTTTAGTCAGCTGAAATTATCCCGTTTCCAACGAATTCCTCACAGAGGTCCAAATATGCACTTGAAGATACTGCAGAAAGTGTGTTTCTAAACTGCTACATCGCAAGGAATGTTCAGCTCTGTGAGTTCCACTCAATCATCCCAAAGAATTTTCTGAGAAAGCTTCTGTCTAGATGTCATGTGAAGATATACCCGTTTCGAACGAAGGACGCAGAGTGGTCCAAATATCCACTTGTAGATCCTGCAAAAAGAGTGTTTCAAACGTGAACTTTGAAAGGAAAGTTCAACTCTGGGATTTGAATGCAAACATCACAAAGAAGATTCTGAGACTGCTTCTGTATAGTTTTGATGTGAAGATGATTCCGTTTCCAACGAAATCTTCAAAGAGGTCTACATGTCCCCTTGCAGATGCCACAGAAAGAGAGTTTCAAAACTGCGCTCTCAAAAGGAGTGTTCAACTCCGTGAGTTGAATGCAGTCATCACAGAGAAGCTTCTGAGAATGCTTCTCTCTAGTATTTCGGTGAAGATATTTCCTTTTCCACCACAAACCACAAAGCCCTCCAAACGTCCACTTGCAGATTCTAGAAAAAGAGTGTTTCATAGCTGCTCTTTCCAAAGGAAAGTTCAACTCTGGGAGTTGAATACAAACATCACCAAAAAGTTCCTGAGAATGCATCTGTCTAGTTTTTCTATGAAGCTATTCCCTTTACTATCATAGGCCTCAAAGCGCTCCAAATCTCCACTTGCACATTCCACAACAAGAGTGTTTCCAAACTGCTCTATCAATAGGAATGTTCAACTCTGTGAGGTGAATGCAATCATCACAAAGCAGTTTCTGAGAATGCTTCCGTTTAGTTAGGTGCAGTTATCCCGTTTCCAACGAAATCCTCAGAGAGGTCCAAATATCCACTTGTAGATTCTACAAAAAGTGTGTCTCAAACCTGCTCCATCCAAAGGAATGTTCAGCTCTGTGATTTAAACTCAATCATCACAAAGTATTTTCTGAGAATGCTTTCTGTCTAGATTTTATGCGAAGATATACCCGTTTCGAACGAAGGCCACAGAGTGGTCCAAATAGCCACTTGCAGATCCTACAGAAAGAGTGTTTCAAACCTGAACTATCAAAGGAAGGTTCAACTCTGGGATTTGAATGCAAACATCACCAAGAAGTTTCTGAGAATGCTTCTGTTTAGTTTTTATGTGAAGATATTCCCGTTTCCAAAGACATCTTCGGAGAGGTCCACATATCCACTTGCAGGTTCCACAAAAAGAGAGTTTCAACACTGCTCTATCCATAGGAGGGTTCAACTCTGTGAGTTGAATGCAATCATCACAGAGAAGTTTCTGAGAAGGCTTCTCTCCAGTTTTTATGTGACCATAATTCGTTTTCCACCACAGGCCTGAAAGCGCTCCAAATGTCCACTTGCAGACACTACGAAAAGCATGTTTCAGAACTACTCTATGAAAAGCAACGTGAAACTCTGGGAGTTGAACACAAACATCACAGAGAAGTTTCTGAGAATGCTTCTGTTTTAGTTCTGTGCGTTTTATCCCGTTTCCAACGAAATCCTCAGAGAGGCCCAAATATCCACTTGCAGATTCCACAGAAAGAGTGATTGGAAACTGCTGTTTGAAAAGGAACCTTCAACTCTGTGAGTTGAATGCAATCATCACAAAGAAGTTTCTGACAATGCTTCTGTTTTAGTTCTGTGCGGTTTATCCCGTTTCCAACGAAATCCTCAGAGAGGACCAAACATCCACTTGCAGTTTCTACAAAAAGAGTGTTTCAAAGCTGCACTATCAAAGAAAGGTTCAGCACTGTGAGTTGAATGCAAACATCACGAAGAGGGCTCTGAGAATTCTTCTGTTTAGTTCTGTGCGGTTTATCCCGTTTCCAACGAAATCCTCAGAGAGGACCAAATATCCACTTGCAGTTTCTACAAGAAGAGTGTTTCAAAGCTGAACTATCAAAGAAAGGTTCAGCACTGTGAGTTGAATGCAAACATCACGAAGAGGGTTCTGAGAATGCTTCTGTCTTCTTTCTATAGGAAGTTATTTCCTTTACTACGGTAGGCCTCAAAGAAGTGCAATTATCCCCTTGCAGTTTCTACAAAAAGAGTGTTTCAAACCTGAACTATCAAAGAAAGGTTCCACACTGTGAGTTGAATGCAGACATCACGAAGAAGGTTCTGAGAATGCTTCTGTTTAGTCAGCTGAAATTATCCCGTTTCCAACGAATTCCTCAGAGAGGTCCAAATATGCACTTGCAGATTCTGCAGAAAGTGTGTTTCTAAACTGCTACATCGCAAGGAATGTTCAGCTCTGTGAGTTCCACTCAATCATCCCAAAGAATTTTCTGAGAAAGCTTCTGTCTAGATGTCATGTGAAGATATACCCGTTTCGAACGAAGGACACAGAGTGGTCCAAATATCCACTTGTAGATCCTGCAAAAAGAGTGTTTCAAACGTGAACTTTGAAAGGAAAGTTCAACTCTGGGATTTGAATGCAAACACCACAAAGAAGATTCTGAGACTGCTTCTGTATAGTTTTTATGTGAAGATGATTCCGTTTCCAACGAAATCTTCAAAGAGGTCTACATGTCCCCTTGCGGATGCCACAGAAAGAGAGTTTCAAAACTGCGCTCTCAAAAGGAGTGTTCAACTCCGTGAGTTGAATGCAGTCATCACAGAGAAGCTTCTGAGAATGCTTCTATCTAGTATTTAGGTGAAGATATTTCCTTTTCCACCACAAACCACAAAGCCCTCCAAACGTCCACTTGCAGATTCTAGAAAAAGAGTGTTTCATAGCTGCTCTTTCCAAAGGAAAGTTCAACTCTGGGAGTTGAATACAAACATCACCAAAAAGTTCCTGAGAATGCATCTGTCTAGTTTTTCTATGAAGCTATTCCCTTTACTACCATAGGCCTCAAAGAGCTCCAAATCTCCACTTGCACATTCCACAACAAGAGTGTTTCCAAACTGCTCTATCAATAGGAATGTTCAACTCTGTGAGGTGAATGCTATCATCACAAAGCAGTTTCTGAGAATGCTTCCGTTTAGTTAGGTGCAGTTATCCCGTTTCCAACGAAATCCTCTGAGAGGTCCAAATATCCACTTGTAGATTCTACAAAAAGTGTGTCTCAAACCTGCTCCATCCAAAGGAATGTTCAGCTCTGTGATTTAAACTCAATCATCACAAAGTATTTTCTGAGAATGCTTCTGTCTAGATTTTATGCGAAGATATACCCGTTTCGAACGAAGGCCACAGAGTGGTCCAAATAGCCACTTGCAGATCCTACAAAAAGAGTGTTTCAAACCTGAACTATCAAAGGAAGGTTCAACTCTGGGATTTGAATGCAAACATCACCAAGAAGTTTCTGAGAATGCTTCTGTTTAGTTTTTATGTGAAGATATTCCCGTTTCCAAAGACATCTTCGGAGAGGTCCACATATCCACTTGCAGATTCCACAAAAAGAGAGTTTCAACACTGCTCTATCCATAGGAGGGTTCAACTCTGTGAGTTGAATGCAATCATCACAGAGAAGTTTCTGAGAAGGCTTCTCTCCAGTTTTTATGTGACCATAATTCGTTTTCCACCACAGGCCTGAAAGCGCTCCAAATGTCCACTTGCAGACACTACGAAAAGCATGTTTCAGAACTACTCTATGAAAAGCAACGTGAAACTCTGGGAGTTGAACACAAACATCACAGAGAAGTTTCTGAGAATGCTTCTGTTTTAGTTCTGTGCGTTTTATCCCGTTTCCAACGAAATCCTCAGAGAGGCCCAAATATCCACTTGCAGATTCCACAGAAAGAGTGATTGGAAACTGCTGTTTGAAAAGGAACCTTCAACTCTGTGAGTTGAATGCAATCATCACAAAGAAGTTTCTGACAATGCTTCTGTTTTAGTTCTGTGCGGTTTATCCCGTTTCCAACGAAATCCTCAGAGAGGACCAAACATCCACTTGCAGTTTCTACAAAAAGAGTGTTTCAAAGCTGCACTATCAAAGAAAGGTTCAGCACTGTGAGTTGAATGCAAACATCACGAAGAGGGCTCTGAGAATTCTTCTGTTTAGTTCTGTGCGGTTTATCCCGTTTCCAACGAAATCCTCAGAGAGGACCAAATATCCACTTGCAGTTTCTACAAGAAGAGTGTTTCAAAGCTGAACTATCAAAGAAAGGTTCAGCACTGTGAGTTGAATGCAAACATCACGAAGAGGGTTCTGAGAATGCTTCTGTCTTCTTTTTATAGGAAGTTATCTCCTTTACTACGGTTAGCCCTCAAAGAAGTGCAATTATCCCCTTGCAGTTTCTACAAAAAGAGTGTTTCAAACCTGAACTATCAAAGAAAGGTTCCACACTGTGAGTTGAATGCAGACATCACGAAGAAGGTTCTGAGAATGCTTCTGTTTAGTCAGCTGAAATTATCCCGTTTCCAACGAATTCCTCAGAGAGGTCCAAATATGCACTTGCAGATTCTGCAGAAAGTGTGTTTCTAAACTGCTACATCGCAAGGAATGTTCAGCTCTGTGAGTTCCACTCAATCATCCAAAGAATTTTCTGAGAAAGCTTCTGTCTAGATGTCATGTGAAGATATACCCGTTTCGAACGAAGGACACAGAGTGGTCCAAATATCCACTTGTAGATCCTGCAAAAAGAGTGTTTCAAACGTGAACTTTGAAAGGAAAGTTCAACTCTGGGATTTGAATGCAAACATCACAAAGAAGATTCTGAGACTGCTTCTGTATAGTTTTTATGTGAAGATGATTCCGTTTCCAACGAAATCTTCAAAGAGGTCTACATGTCCCCTTGCGGATGCCACAGAAAGAGAGTTTCAAAACTGCGCTCTCAAAAGGAGTGTTCAACTCCGTGAGTTGAATGCAGTCATCACAGAGAAGCTTCTGAGAATGCTTCTCTCTAGTATTTAGGTGAAGATATTTCCTTTTCCACCACAAACCACAAAGCCCTCCAAACGTCCACTTGCAGATCCTAGAAAAAGAGTGTTTCATAGCTGCTCTTTCCAAAGGAAAGTTCAACTCTGGGAGTTGAATACAAACATCACCAAAAAGTTCCTGAGAATGCATCTGTCTAGTTTTTCTATGAAGCTATTCCCTTTACTACCATAGGCCTCAAAGCGCTCCAAATCTCCACTTGCACATTCCACAACAAGAGTGTTTCCAACCTGCTCTATCAATAGGAATGTTCAACTCTGTGAGGTGAATGCAATCGTCACAAAGCAGTTTCTGAGAATGCTTCCGTTTAGTTAGGTGCAGTTATCCCGTTTCCAACGAAATCCTCAGAGAGGTCCAAATATCCACTTGTAGTTTCTACAAAAAGTGTGTCTCAAACCTGCTCCATCCAAAGGAATGTTCAGCTCTGTGAGTTCAACTCAATCATCACAAAATATTTTCTGAGAATGCTTCTGTCTAGATTTTATGCGAAGATGTACCCGTTTCGAACGAAGGCCACAGAGTGGTCCAAATATCCACTTGCAGATCCTACAAAAAGAGTGTTTCAAACCTGAACTATCAAAGGAAGGTTCAACTCTGGGATTTGAATGCAAACATCACCAAGAAGTTTCTGAGAATGCTTCTGTTTAGTTTTTATGTGAAGATATTCCCGTTTCCAAAGACATCTTCGGAGAGGTCCACATATCCACTTGCAGATTCCACAAAAAGAGAGTTTCAACACTGCTCTATGCATAGGAGGGTTCAACTCTGTGAGTTGAATGCAATCATCACAGAGAAGTTTCTGAGAAGGCTTCTCTCCAGTTTTTATGTGACCATAATTCGTTTTCCACCACAGGCCTGAAAGCGCTCCAAATGTCCACTTGCAGATACTACGAAAAGCATGTTTCAGAACTACTCTATGAGAAGCAATGTGAAACTCTGGGAGTTGAACACAAACATCACAGAGAAGTTTCTGAGAATGCTTCTGTCTAGTTTTTCTATGAAGCTATTCCCTTTACTACCATAGGCCTCAAAGCGCTCCAAATCTCCACTTGCACATTCCACAACAAGAGTGTTTCCAAACTGCTCTATCAATAGGAATGTTCAACTCTGTGAGGTGAATGCAATCATCACAAAGCAGTTTCTGAGAATGCTTCCGTTTAGTTAGGTGCAGTTATCCCGTTTCCAACGAAATCCTCAGAGAGGTCCAAATATCCACTTGTAGATTCTACAAAAAGTGTGTCTCAAACCTGCTCCATCCAAAGGAATGGTCAGCTCTGTGATTTAAACTCAATCATCACAAAGTATTTTCTGAGAATGCTTCTGTCTAGATTTTATGCGAAGATATACCCGTTTCGAACGAAGGCCACAGAGTGGTCCAAATAGCCACTTGCAGATCCTACAGAAAGAGTGTTTCAAACCTGAACTATCAAAGGAAGGTTCAACTCTGGGATTTGAATGCAAACATCACCAAGAAGTTTCTGAGAATGCTTCTGTTTAGTTTTTATGTGAAGATATTCCCGTTTCCAAAGACATCTTCGGAGAGGTCCACATATCCACTTGCAGATTCCACAAAAAGAGAGTTTCAACACTGCTCTATCCATAGGAGGGTTCAACTCTGTGAGTTGAATGCAATCATCACAGAGAAGTTTCTGAGAAGGCTTCTCTCCAGTTTTTATGTGACCATAATTCGTTTTCCACCACAGGCCTGAAAGCGCTCCAAATGTCCACTTGCAGACACTACGAAAAGCATGTTTCAGAACTACTCTATGAAAAGCAACGTGAAACTCTGGGAGTTGAACACAAACATCACAGAGAAGTTTCTGAGAATGCTTCTGTTTTAGTTCTGTGCGTTTTATCCCGTTTCCAACGAAATCCTCAGAGAGGCCCAAATATCCACTTGCAGATTCCACAGAAAGAGTGATTGGAAACTGCTGTTTGAAAAGGAACCTTCAACTCTGTGAGTTGAATGCAATCATCACAAAGAAGTTTCTGACAATGCTTCTGTTTTAGTTCTGTGCGGTTTATCCCGTTTCCAACGAAATCCTCAGAGAGGACCAAACATCCACTTGCAGTTTCTACAAAAAGAGTGTTTCAAAGCTGCACTATCAAAGAAAGGTTCAGCACTGTGAGTTGAATGCAAACATCACGAAGAGGGCTCTGAGAATTCTTCTGTTTAGTTCTGTGCGGTTTATCCCGTTTCCAACGAAATCCTCAGAGAGGACCAAATATCCACTTGCAGTTTCTACAAGAAGAGTGTTTCAAAGCTGAACTATCAAAGAAAGGTTCAGCACTGTGAGTTGAATGCAAACATCACGAAGAGGGTTCTGAAGAATGCTTCTGTCTTCTTTCTATAGGAAGTTATTTCCTTTACTACGGTAGGCCTCAAAGAAGTGCAATTATCCCCTTGCAGTTTCTACAAAAAGAGTGTTTCAAACCTGAACTATCAAAGAAAGGTTCCACACTGTGAGTTGAATGCAGACATCACGAAGAAGGTTCTGAGAATGCTTCTGTTTAGTCAGCTGAAATTATCCCGTTTCCAACGAATTCCTCAGAGAGGTCCAAATATGCACTTGCAGATTCTGCAGAAAGTGTGTTTCTAAACTGCTCCATCGCAAGGAATGTTCAGCTCTGTGAGTTCCACTCAATCATCCCAAAGAATTTTCTGAGAAAGCTTCTGTCTAGATGTCATGTGAAGGTATACCCGTTTCGAACGAAGGACTCAGAGTGGTCCAAATATCCACTTGTAGATCCTGCAAAAAGAGTGTTTCAAACGTGAACTTTGAAAGGAAAGTTCAACTCTGGGATTTGAATGCAAACATCACAAAGAAGATTCTGAGACTGCTTCTGTATAGTTTTTATGTGAAGATGATTCCGTTTCCAACGAAATCTTCAAAGAGGTCTACATGTCCCCTTGCAGATGCCACAGAAAGAGAGTTTCAAAACTGCGCTCCCAAAAGGAGTGTTCAACCCCGTGAGTTGAATGCAGTCATCACAGAGAAGCTTCTGAGAATGCTTCTCTCTAGTATTTAGGTGAAGATATTTCCTTTTCCACCACAAACCACAAAGCCCTCCAAACGTCCACTTGCAGATTCTAGAAAAAGAGTGTTTCATAGCTGCTCTTTCCAAAGGAAAGTTCAACTCTGGGAGTTGAATACAAACATCACCAAAAAGTTCCTGAGAATGCATCTGTCTAGTTTTTCTATGAAGCTATTCCCTTTACTACCATAGGCCTCAAAGCGCTCCAAATCTCCACTTGCACATTCCACAACAAGAGTGTTTCCAAACTGCTCTATCAATAGGAATGTTCAACTCTGTGAGGTGAATGCAATCATCACAAAGCAGTTTCTGAGAATGCTTCCGTTTAGTTAGGTGCAGTTATCCCGTTTCCAACGAAATCCTCAGAGAGGTCCAAATATCCACTTGTAGATTCTACAAAAAGTGTGTCTCAAACCTGCTCCATCCAAAGGAATGTTCAGCTCTGTGATTTAAACTCAATCATCACAAAGTATTTTCTGAGAATGCTTCTGTCTAGATTTTATGCGAAGATATACCCGTTTCGAACGAAGGCCACAGAGTGGTCCAAATAGCCACTTGCAGATCCTACAAAAAGAGTGTTTCAAACCTGAACTATCAAAGGAAGGTTCAACTCTGGGATTTGAATGCAAACATCACCAAGAAGTTTCTGAGAATGCTTCTGTTTAGTTTTTATGTGAAGATATTCCCGTTTCCAAAGACATCTTCGGAGAGGTCCACATATCCACTTGCAGATTCCACAAAAAGAGAGTTTCAACACTGCTCTATCCATAGGAGGGTTCAACTCTGTGAGTTGAATGCAATCATCACAGACAAGTTTCTGAGAAGGCTTCTCTCCAGTTTTTATGTGACCATAATTCGTTTTCCACCACAGGCCTGAAAGCGCTCCAAATGTCCACTTGCAGACACTACGAAAAGCATGTTTCAGAACTACTCTATGAAAAACAACGTGAAACTCTGGGAGTTGAACACAAACATCACAGAGAAGTTTCTGAGAATGCTTCTGTTTAGCTTTTCTGTGAAGATTCTCCCGTTTCCAACGAAATCTTCAAAGAGGTCCAAACATCCACTTGCAGATTCCACAGAAAGAGTGATTGGAAACTGCTCTTTGAAAAGGAACCTTCAACTCTGTGAGTTGAATGCAATCATCACAAAGAAGTTTCTGACAATGCTTCTGTCTAGCTTTTACGGGAAGATAATTCCTTTTCCACCACAGGCCTCAAAGCCCTCCAAATGTCCACTTGCAGATTCTGGAAAAAGAGTGTTTCAAAGCTTCTCTCTCGAAAGGAAAGTTCAACTCTGTGAGTTGAATGCAAGCATCACAAAGAAGTTTCTGAGAATGCTACTGTCTAGCTTTTATATGAAGCTATTTCCTTTACTACCATAGGCCTCAAAGCGGTCCATATCTCCACTTGCAGATTCTACACAAAGAGAGTTTCCAAACTGCTCTGTCAAAGGGAATGTTCAACTCTGTGACTTGAATGCAATCATCACAAAGTAGTTTCTGAGAATGCTTCTGTTTTAGTTCTGTGCGTTTTATCCCGTTTCCAACGAAATCCTCAGAGAGGCCCAAATATCCACTTGCAGATTCTACAAATGGTGTGTTTCGAAACTGCTCCATCCAAAGGAATGTTCAGCTCTGTGAGTTAAACTCAGTCGTCACCAAGAGTTTTCTGTGAATGCTTCTGTTTTAGTTCTGTGCGGTTTATCCCGTTTCCAACGAAATCCTCAGAGAGGACCAAACATCCACTTGCAGTTTCTACAAAAAGAGTGTTTCAAAGCTGCACTATCAAAGAAAGGTTCAGCACTGTGAGTTGAATGCAAACATCACGAAGAGGGCTCTGAGAATTCTTCTGTTTAGTTCTGTGCGGTTTATCCCGTTTCCAACGAAATCCTCAGAGAGGACCAAATATCCACTTGCAGTTTCTACAAGAAGAGTGTTTCAAAGCTGAACTATCAAAGAAAGGTTCAGCACTGTGAGTTGAATGCAAACATCACGAAGAGGGTTCTGAGAATGCTTCTGTCTTCTTTCTATAGGAAGTTATTTCCTTTACTACGGTAGGCCTCAAAGAAGTGCAATTATCCCCTTGCAGTTTCTACAAAAAGAGTGTTTCAAACCTGAACTATCAAAGAAAGGTTCCACACTGTGAGTTGAATGCAGACATCACGAAGAAGGTTCTGAGAATGCTTCTGTTTAGTCAGCTGAAATTATCCCGTTTCCAACGAATTCCTCAGAGAGGTCCAAATATGCACTTGCAGATTCTGCAGAAAGTGTGTTTCTAAACTGCTACATCGCAAGGAATGTTCAGCTCTGTGAGTTCCACTCAATCATCCCAAAGAATTTTCTGAGAAAGCTTCTGTCTAGATGTCGTGTGAAGATATACCCGTTTCGAACGAAGGACACAGAGTGGTCCAAATATCCACTTGTAGATCCTGCAAAAAGAGTGTTTCAAACGTGAACTTTGAAAGGAAAGTTCAACTCTGGGATTTGAATGCAAACATCACAAAGAAGATTCTGAGACTGCTTCTGTATAGTTTTTATGTGAAGATGATTCCGTTTCCAACGAAATCTTCAAAGAGGTCTACATGTCCCCTTGCAGATGCCACAGAAAGAGAGTTTCAAAACTGCGCTCTCAAAAGGAGTGTTCAACTCCGTGAGTTGAATGCAGTCATCACAGAGAAGCTTCTGAGAATGCTTCTATCTAGTATTTAGGTGAAGATATTTCCTTTTCCACCACAAACCACAAAGCCCTCCAAACGTCCACTTGCAGATTCTAGAAAAAGAGTGTTTCATAGCTGCTCTTTCCAAAGGAAAGTTCAACTCTGGGAGTTGAATACAAACATCACCAAAAGGTTCCTGAGAATGCATCTGTCTAGTTTTTCTATGAAGCTATTCCCTTTACTACCATAGGCCTCAAAGCGCTCCAAATCTCCACTTGCACATTCCACAACAAGAGTGTTTCCAAACTGCTCTATCAATAGGAATGTTCAACTCTGTGAGGTGAATGCAATCATCACAAAGCAGTTTCTGAGAATGCTTCCGTTTAGTTAGGTGCAGTTATCCCGTTTCCAACGAAATCCTCAGAGAGGTCCAAATATCCACTTGTAGATTCTACAAAAAGTGTGTCTCAAACCTGCTCCATCCAAAGGAATGGTCAGCTCTGTGATTTAAACTCAATCATCACAAAGTATTTTCTGAGAATGCTTCTGTCTAGATTTTATGCGAAGATATACCCGTTTCGAACGAAGGCCACAGAGTGGTCCAAATAGCCACTTGCAGATCCTACAGAAAGAGTGTTTCAAACCTGAACTATCAAAGGAAGGTTCAACTCTGGGATTTGAATGCAAACATCACCAAGAAGTTTCTGAGAATGCTTCTGTTTAGTTTTTATGTGAAGATATTCCCGTTTCCAAAGACATCTTCGGAGAGGTCCACATATCCACTTGCAGATTCCACAAAAAGAGAGTTTCAACACTGCTCTATCCATAGGAGGGTTCAACTCTGTGAGTTGAATGCAATCATCACAGAGAAGTTTCTGAGAAGGCTTCTCTCCAGTTTTTATGTGACCATAATTCGTTTTCCACCACAGGCCTGAAAGCGCTCCAAATGTCCACTTGCAGACACTACGAAAAGCATGTTTCAGAACTACTCTATGAAAAGCAACGTGAAACTCTGGGAGTTGAACACAAACATCACAGAGAAGTTTCTGAGAATGCTTCTGTTTTAGTTCTGTGCGTTTTATCCCGTTTCCAACGAAATCCTCAGAGAGGCCCAAATATCCACTTGCAGATTCCACAGAAAGAGTGATTGGAAACTGCTGTTTGAAAAGGAACCTTCAACTCTGTGAGTTGAATGCAATCATCACAAAGAAGTTTCTGACAATGCTTCTGTTTTAGTTCTGTGCGGTTTATCCCGTTTCCAACGAAATCCTCAGAGAGGACCAAACATCCACTTGCAGTTTCTACAAAAAGAGTGTTTCAAAGCTGCACTATCAAAGAAAGGTTCAGCACTGTGAGTTGAATGCAAACATCACGAAGAGGGCTCTGAGAATTCTTCTGTTTAGTTCTGTGCGGTTTATCCCGTTTCCAACGAAATCCTCAGAGAGGACCAAATATCCACTTGCAGTTTCTACAAGAAGAGTGTTTCAAAGCTGAACTATCAAAGAAAGGTTCAGCACTGTGAGTTGAATGCAAACATCACGAAGAGGGTTCTGAGAATGCTTCTGTCTTCTTTCTATAGGAAGTTATTTCCTTTACTACGGTAGGCCTCAAAGAAGTGCAATTATCCCCTTGCAGTTTCTACAAAAAGAGTGTTTCAAACCTGAACTATCAAAGAAAGGTTCCACACTGTGAGTTGAATGCAGACATCACGAAGAAGGTTCTGAGAATGCTTCTGTTTAGTCAGCTGAAATTATCCCGTTTCCAACGAATTCCTCAGAGAGGTCCAAATATGCACTTGCAGATTCTGCAGAAAGTGTGTTTCTAAACTGCTACATCGCAAGGAATGTTCAGCTCTGTGAGTTCCACTCAATCATCCCAAAGAATTTTCTGAGAAAGCTTCTGTCTAGATGTCGTGTGAAGATATACCCGTTTCGAACGAAGGACACAGAGTGGTCCAAATATCCACTTGTAGATCCTGCAAAAAGAGTGTTTCAAACGTGAACTTTGAAAGGAAAGTTCAACTCTGGGATTTGAATGCAAACATCACAAAGAAGATTCTGAGACTGCTTCTGTATAGTTTTTATGTGAAGATGATTCCATTTCCAACGAAATCTTCAAAGAGGTCCACATGTCCCCTTGCGGATGCCACAGAAAGAGAGTTTCAAAACTGCGCTCTCAAAAGGAGTGTTCAACTCCGTGAGTTGAATGCAGTCATCACAGAGAAGCTTCTGAGAATGCTTCTATCTAGTATTTAGGTGAAGATATTTCCTTTTCCACCACAAACCACAAAGCCCTCCAAACGTCCACTTGCAGATTCTAGAAAAAGAGTGTTTCATAGCTGCTCTTTCCAAAGGAAAGTTCAACTCTGGGAGTTGAATACAAACATCACCAAAAAGTTCCCTGAGAATGCATTCTGTCTAGTTTTTCTATGAAGCTATTCCCTTTACTACCATAGGCCTCAAAGCGCTCCAAATCTCCACTTGCACATTCCACAACAAGAGTGTTTCCAAACTGCTCTATCAATAGGAATGTTCAACTCTGTGAGGTGAATGCAATCATCACAAAGCAGTTTCTGAGAATGCTTCCGTTTAGTTAGGTGCAGTTATCCCGTTTCCAACGAAATCCTCAGAGAGGTCCAAATATCCACTTGTAGATTCTACAAAAAGTGTGTCTCAAACCTGCTCCATCCAAAGGAATGTTCAGCTCTGTGATTTAAACTCAATCATCACAAAGTATTTTCTGAGAATGCTTCTGTCTAGATTTTATGCGAAGATATACCCGTTTCGAACGAAGGCCACAGAGTGGTCCAAATAGCCACTTGCAGATCCTACAAAAAGAGTGTTTCAAACCTGAACTACCAAAGGAAGGTTCAACTCTGGGATTTGAATGCAAACATCACCAAGAAGTTTCTGAGAATGCTTCTGTTTAGTTTTTATGTGAAGATATTCCCGTTTCCAAAGACATCTTCGGAGAGGTCCACATATCCACTTGCAGATTCCACAAAAAGAGAGTTTCAACACTGCTCTATCCATAGGAGGGTTCAACTCTGTGAGTTGAATGCAATCATCACAGAGAAGTTTCTGAGAAGGCTTCTCTCCAGTTTTTATGTGACCATAATTCGTTTTCCACCACAGGCCTGAAAGCGCTCCAAATGTCCACTTGCAGACACTACGAAAAGCATGTTTCAGAACTACTCTATGAAAAGCAACGTGAAACTCTGGGAGTTGAACACAAACATCACAGAGAAGTTTCTGAGAATGCTTCTGTTTTAGTTCTGTGCGTTTTATCCCGTTTCCAACGAAATCCTCAGAGAGGCCCAAATATCCACTTGCAGATTCCACAGAAAGAGTGATTGGAAACTGCTGTTTGAAAAGGAACCTTCAACTCTGTGAGTTGAATGCAATCATCACAAAGAAGTTTCTGACAATGCTTCTGTTTTAGTTCTGTGCGGTTTATCCCGTTTCCAACGAAATCCTCAGAGAGGACCAAACATCCACTTGCAGTTTCTACAAAAAGAGTGTTTCAAAGCTGCACTATCAAAGAAAGGTTCAGCACTGTGAGTTGAATGCAAACATCACGAAGAGGGCTCTGAGAATTCTTCTGTTTAGTTCTGTGCGGTTTATCCCGTTTCCAACGAAATCCTCAGAGAGGACCAAATATCCACTTGCAGTTTCTACAAGAAGAGTGTTTCAAAGCTGAACTATCAAAGAAAGGTTCAGCACTGTGAGTTGAATGCAAACATCACGAAGAGGGTTCTGAGAATGCTTCTGTCTTCTTTCTATAGGAAGTTATTTCCTTTACTACGGTAGGCCTCAAAGAAGTGCAATTATCCCCTTGCAGTTTCTACAAAAAGAGTGTTTCAAACCTGAACTATCAAAGAAAGGTTCCACACTGTGAGTTGAATGCAGACATCACGAAGAAGGTTCTGAGAATGCTTCTGTTTAGTCAGCTGAAATTATCCCGTTTCCAACGAATTCCTCAGAGAGGTCCAAATATGCACTTGCAGATTCTGCAGAAAGTGTGTTTCTAAACTGCTACATCGCAAGGAATGTTCAGCTCTGTGAGTTCCACTCAATCATCCCAAAGAATTTTCTGAGAAAGCTTCTGTCTAGATGTCGTGTGAAGATATACCCGTTTCGAATGAAGGACACAGAGTGGTCCAAATATCCACTTGTAGATCCTGCAAAAAGAGTGTTTCAAACGTGAACTTTGAAAGGAAAGTTCAACTCTGGGATTTGAATGCAAACATCACAAAGAAGATTCTGAGACTGCTTCTGTATAGTTTTTATGTGAAGATGATTCCGTTTCCAACGAAATCTTCAAAGAGGTCTACATGTCCCCTTGCAGATGCCACAGAAAGAGAGTTTCAAAACTGCGCTCTCAAAAGGAGTGTTCAACTCCGTGAGTTGAATGCAGTCATCACAGAGAAGCTTCTGAGAATGCTTCTATCTAGTATTTAGGTGAAGATATTTCCTTTTCCACCACAAACCACAAAGCCCTCCAAACGTCCACTTGCAGATTCTAGAAAAAGAGTGTTTCATAGCTGCTCTTTCCAAAGGAAAGTTCAACTCTGGGAGTTGAATACAAACATCACCAAAAAGTTCCTGAGAATGCATCTGTCTAGTTTTTCTATGAAGCTATTCCCTTTACTACCACAGGCCTCAAAGCGCTCCAAATCTCCACTTGCACATTCCACAACAAGAGTGTTTCCAAACTGCTCTATCAATAGGAATGTTCAACTCTGTGAGGTGAATGCAATCATCACAAAGCAGTTTCTGAGAATGCTTCCGTTTAGTTAGGTGCAGTTATCCCGTTTCCAACGAAATCCTCAGAGAGGTCCAAATATCCACTTGTAGATTCTACAAAAAGTGTGTCTCAAACCTGCTCCATCCAAAGGAATGGTCAGCTCTGTGATTTAAACTCAATCATCACAAAGTATTTTCTGAGAATGCTTCTGTCTAGATTTTATGCGAAGATATACCCGTTTCGAACGAAGGCCACAGAGTGGTCCAAATAGCCACTTGCAGATCCTACAGAAAGAGTGTTTCAAACCTGAACTATCAAAGGAAGGTTCAACTCTGGGATTTGAATGCAAACATCACCAAGAAGTTTCTGAGAATGCTTCTGTTTAGTTTTTATGTGAAGATATTCCCGTTTCCAAAGACATCTTCGGAGAGGTCCACATATCCACTTGCAGATTCCACAAAAAGAGAGTTTCAACACTGCTCTATCCATAGGAGGGTTCAACTCTGTGAGTTGAATGCAATCATCACAGAGAAGTTTCTGAGAAGGCTTCTCTCCAGTTTTTATGTGACCATAGTTCGTTTTGCACCACAGGCCTGAAAGCGCTCCAAATGTCCACTTGCAGACACTACGAAAAGCATGTTTCAGAACTACTCTATGAAAAGCAATGTGAAACTCTGGGAGTTGAACACAAACATCACAGAGAAGTTTCTGAGAATGCTTCTGTTTAGCTTTTCTGTGAAGATTCTCCCGTTTCCAACGAAATCTTCAAAGAGGTCCAAATATCCACTTGCAGATTCCACAGAAAGAGTGTTTGGAAACTGCTGTTTGTAAAGGAACCTTCATCTCTGTGAGTTGAATGCAATCATCACAAAGAAGTTTCTGACAATGCTTCTATCTAGCTTTTACGGGAAGATAATTCCTTTTCCACCACAGGCCTCAAAGCCCTCCAAATGTCCACTTGCAGATTCTGGAAAAAGAGTGTTTCAAAGCTTCTCTCTCGAAAGGAAAGTTCAACTCTGTGAGTTGAATGCAAGCATCACAAAGAAGTTTCTGAGAATGCGACTGTCTAGCTTTTATATGAAGCTATTTCCTTTACTACCATAGGCCTCAAAGCGGTCCATATCTCCACTTGCAGATTCTACACAAAGAGAGTTTCCAAACTGCTCTGTCAAAGGGAATGTTCAACTCTGTGACTTGAATGCAATCATCACAAAGTAGTTTCTGAGAATGCTTCTGTTTAGTTCTGTGCGGTTTATCCCGTTTCCAACGAAATCCTCAGAGAGGCCCAAATATCCACTTGCACATTCTACAAATAGTGTGTTTCGAAACTGCTCCATCCAAAGGAATGTTCAGCTCTGTGAGTTAAACTCAGTCGTCACCAAGAGTTTTCTGTGAATGCTTCTGTTTTAGTTCTGTGCGGTTTATCCCGTTTCCAAAGAAATCCTCAGAGAGGTCCAAATATCTACTTGCAGTTTCTACAGAAAGACCATTTCCAACCTGAACTATCAAAGAAAGGTTCAACACTGTGAGTTGAATGCAAACATCACGAAGAAGGTTCTGAGAATGCTTCTGTTTAGTTCTGTGCGGTTTATCCCGTTTCCAACGAAATCCTCAGAGAGGACCAAATATCCACTTGCAGTTTCTACAAGAAGAGTGTTTCAAAGCTGAACTATCAAAGAAAGGTTCAGCACTGTGAGTTGAATGCAAACATCACGAAGAGGGTTCTGAGAATGCTTCTGTCTTCTTTCTATAGGAAGTTATTTCCTTTACTACGGTAGGCCTCAAAGAAGTGCAATTATCCCCTTGCAGTTTCTACAAAAAGAGTGTTTCAAACCTGAACTATCAAAGAAAGGTTCCACACTGTGAGTTGAATGCAGACATCACGAAGAAGGTTCTGAGAATGCTTCTGTTTAGTCAGCTGAAATTATCCCGTTTCCAACGAATTCCTCAGAGAGGTCCAAATATGCACTTGCAGATTCTGCAGAAAGTGTGTTTCTAAACTGCTACATCGCAAGGAATGTTCACCTCTGTGAGTTCCACTCAATCATCCCAAAGAATTTTCTGAGAAAGCTTCTGTCTAGATGTCGTGTGAAGTTATACCCGTTTCGAACGAAGGACACAGAGTGGTCCAAATATCCACTTGTAGATCCTGCAAAAAGAGTGTTTCAAACGTGAACTTTGAAAGGAAAGTTCAACTCTGGGATTTGAATGCAAACATCACAAAGAAGATTCTGAGACTGCTTCTGTATAGTTTTTATGTGAAGATGATTCCGTTTCCAACGAAATCTTCAAAGAGGTCTACATGTCCCCTTGCAGATGCCACAGAAAGAGAGTTTCAAAACTGCGCTCTCAAAAGGAGTGTTCAACTCCGTGAGTTGAATGCAGTCATCACAGAGAAGCTTCTGAGAATGCTTCTATCTAGTATTTAGGTGAAGATATTTCCTTTTCCACCACAAACCACAAAGCCCTCCAAACGTCCACTTGCAGATTCTAGAAAAAGAGTGTTTCATAGCTGCTCTTTCCAAAGGAAAGTTCAACTCTGGGAGTTGAATACAAACATCACCAAAAAGAAGTTCCTGAGAATGCATCTGTCTAGTTTTTCTATGAAGCTATTCCCTTTACTACCACAGGCCTCAAAGCGCTCCAAATCTCCACTTGCACATTCCACAACAAGAGTGTTTCCAAACTGCTCTATCAATAGGAATGTTCAACTCTGTGAGGTGAATGCAATCATCACAAAGCAGTTTCTGAGAATGCTTCCGTTTAGTTAGGTGCAGTTATCCCGTTTCCAACGAAATCCTCAAAGAGGTCCAAATATCCACTTGTAGATTCTACAAAAAGTGTGTCTCAAACCTGCTCCATCCAAAGGAATGGTCAGCTGCTGTGATTTAAACTCAATCATCACAAAGTATTTTCTGAGAATGCTTCTGTCTAGATTTTATGCGAAGATATACCCGTTTCGAACGAAGGCCACAGAGTGGTCCAAATAGCCACTTGCAGATCCTACAGAAAGAGTGTTTCAAACCTGAACTATCAAAGGAAGGTTCAACTCTGGGATTTGAATGCAAACATCACCAAGAAGTTTCTGAGAATGCTTCTGTTTAGTTTTTATGTGAAGATATTCCCGTTTCCAAAGACATCTTCGGAGAGGTCCACATATCCACTTGCAGATTCCACAAAAAGAGAGTTTCAACACTGCTCTATCCATAGGAGGGTTCAACTCTGTGAGTTGAATGCAATCATCACAGAGAAGTTTCTGAGAAGGCTTCTCTCCAGTTTTTATGTGACCATAATTCGTTTTCCACCACAGGCCTGAAAGCGCTCCAAATGTCCACTTGCAGACACTACGAAAAGCATGTTTCAGAACTACTCTATGAAAAGCAACGTGAAACTCTGGGAGTTGAACACAAACATCACAGAGAAGTTTCTGAGAATGCTTCTGTTTAGCTTTTCTGTGAACATTCTCCCGTTTCCAACGAAATCTTCAAAGAGGTCCAAATATCCACTTGCAGATTCCACAGAAAGAGTGATTGGAAACTGCTGTTTGAAAAGGAACCTTCAACTCTGTGAGTTGAATGCAATCATCACAAAGAAGTTTCTGACAATGCTTCTATCTAGCTTTTACGGGAAGATAATTCCTTTTCCACCACAGGCCTCAAAGCCCTCCAAATGTCCACTTGCAGATTCTGGAAAAAGAGTGTTTCAAAGCTTCTCTCTCGAAAGGAAAGTTCAACTCTGTGAGTTGAATGCAAGCATCACAAAGAAGTTTCTGAGAATGCTACTGTTTAGCTTTTATATGAAGCTATTTCCTTTACTACCATAGTCCTCAAAGCGGTCCATATCTCCACTTGCAGATTCTACACAAAGAGAGTTTCCAAACTGCTCTGTCAAAGGGAATGTTCAACTCTGTGACTTGAATGCAATCATCACAAAGTAGTTTCTGAGAATGCTTCTGTTTAGTTCTGTGCGGTTTATCCCGTTTCCAACGAAATCCTCAGAGAGGCCCCAATATCCACTTGCACATTCTACAAATAGTGTGTTTCGAAACTGCTCCATCCAAAGGGATGTTCAGCTCTGTGAGTTAAACTCAGTCGTCACCAAGAGTTTTCTGTGAATGCTTCTGTTTAGTTCTGTGCGGTTTATCCCTTTTCCAACGAAATCCTCACAGAGGACCAAATATCCACTTGCAGTTTCTACAAAAAGAGTGTTTCAAAGCTGAACTATCAAAGAAAGGTTCAGCACTGTGAGTTGAATGCAAACATCACGAAGAAGGTACTGAGAATGCTTCTGTCTTGTTTTTATAGGAAGTTATTTCCTTTACTACGGTAGGCCTCAAAGAAGTGCAATTATCCCCTTGCAGTTTCTACAAAAAGAGTGTTTCAAACCTGAACTATCAAAGAAAGGTTCCACACTGTGAGTTGAATGCAGACATCACGAAGAAGGTTCTGAGAATGCTTCTGTTTAGTCAGCTGAAATTATCCCGTTTCCAACGAATTCCTCAGAGAGGTCCAAATATGCACTTGCAGATTCTGCAGAAAGTGTGTTTCTAAACTGCTACATCGCAAGGAATGTTCAGCTCTATGAGTTCAACTCAATCATCCCAAAGAATTTTCTGAGAAAGCTTCTGTCTAGATGTCATGTGAAGATATACCCGTTTCGAACGAAGGACACAGAGTGGTCCAAATATCCACTTGTAGATCCTGCAAAAAGAGTGTTTCAAACGTGAACTTTGAAAGGAAAGTTCAACTCTGGGATTTGAATGCAAACATCACAAAGAAGATTCTGAGACTGCTTCTGTATAGTTTTTATGTGAAGATGATTCCGTTTCCAACGAAATCTTCAAAGAGGTCTACATGTCCCGTTGCAGATGCCACAGAAAGAGAGTTTCAAAACTGCGCTCTCAAAAGGAGTGTTCAACTCCGTGAGTTGAATGCAGTCATCACAGAGAAGCTTCTGAGAATGCTTCTATCTAGTATTTAGGTGAAGATATTTCCTTTTCCACCACAAACCACAAAGCCCTCCAAACGTCCACTTGCAGATTCTAGAAAAAGAGTGTTTCATAGCTGCTCTTTCCAAAGGAAAGTTCAACTCTGGGAGTTGAATACAAACATCACCAAAAAGTTCCTGAGAATGCATCTGTCTAGTTTTTCTATGAAGCTATTCCCTTTACTACCATAGGCCTCAAAGCGCTCCAAATCTCCACTTGCACATTCCACAACAAGAGTTTTTCCAAACTGCTCTATCAATAGGAATGTTCAACTCTGTGAGGTGAATGCAATCATCACAAAGCAGTTTCTGAGAATGCTTCCGTTTAGTTAGGTGCAGTTATCCCGTTTCCAACGAAATCCTCAGAGAGGTCCAAATATCCACTTGTAGATTCTACAAAAAGTGTGTCTCAAACCTGCTCCATCCAAAGGAATGTTCAGCTCTGTGAGTTCAACTCTATCATCACAAAGTATTTTCTCAGAATGCTTCTGTCTAGATTTTATGCGAAGATGTACCCGTTTTGAACGAAGGCCACAGAGTGGTCCAAATATCCACTTGCAGATCCTACAAAAAGAGTGTTTCAAACCTGAACTCTCAAAGGAAGGTTCAACTCTGGGATTTGAATGCAAACATCACCAAGAAGTTTCTGAGAATGCTTCTGTTTAGTTTTTATGTGAAGATATTCCCGTTTCCAAAGACATCTTCGGAGAGGTCCACATATCCACTTGCAGATTCCACAAAAAGAGAGTTTCAACACTGCTCTATCCAGAGGACGGTTCAACTCTGTGAGTTGAATGCAATCATCACAGAGAAGTTTCTGAGAAGGCTT
This sequence comes from Homo sapiens, assembly GCF_000001405.40. Classification (NCBI taxonomy): domain Eukaryota; kingdom Metazoa; phylum Chordata; class Mammalia; order Primates; family Hominidae; genus Homo; species Homo sapiens. The sequence goes on along the minus strand of NC_000017.11, from coordinate 23,568,112 downwards.
CTCTCCAGTTTTTATGTGACCATAATTCGTTTTCCACCACAGGCCTGAAAGCGCTCCAAATGTCCAATTGCAGACACTACGAAAAGCATGTTTCAGAACTACTCTATGAGAAGCAATGTGAAACTCTGGGAGTTGAACACAAACATCACAGAGAAGTTTCTGAGAATGCTTCTGTTTAGCTTTTCTGTGAACATTCTCCCGTTTCCAACGAAATCTTCAAAGAGGTCCAAATATCCACTTGCAGATTCCACAGAAAGAGTGATTGGAAACTGCTGTTTGAAAAGGAACCTTCAACTCTGTGAGTTGAATGCAATCATCACAAAGAAGTTTCTGACAATGCTTCTATCTAGCTTTTACGGGAAGATAATTCCTTTTCCACCACAGGCCTCAAAGCCCTCCAAATGTCCACTTGCAGATTCTGGAAAAAGAGTGTTTCAAAGCTTCTCTCTCGAAAGGAAAGTTCAACTCTGTGAGTTGAATGCAAGCATCACAAAGAAGTTTCTGAGAATGCTACTGTCTAGCTTTTATATGAAGCTATTTCCTTTACTACCATAGGCCTCAAAGCGGTCCATATCTCCACTTGCAGATTCTACACAAAGAGAGTTTCCAAACTGCTCTGTCAAAGGGAATGTTCAACTCTGTGACTTGAATGCAATCATCACAAAGTAGTTTCTGAGAATGCTTCTGTTTAGTTCTGTGCGGTTTATCCCGTTTCCAACGAAATCCTCAGAGAGGCCCAAATATCCACTTGCACATTCTACAAATAGTGTGTTTCGAAACTGCTCCATCCAAAGGAATGTTCAGCTCTGTGAGTTAAACTCAGTCGTCACCAAGAGTTTTCTGTGAATGCTTCTGTTTAGTTCTGTGTGGTTTATCCCGTTTCCAACGAAATCCTCAGAGAGGCCCCAATATCCACTTGCACATTCTACAAATAGTGTTTTTCGAAACTGCTCCATCCTAAGGGATTTTCAGCTCTGTGAGTTAAACGCAGTCGTCACCAAGAGTTTTCTGTGAATGCTTCTGTTTTAGTTCTGTGCGGTTTATCCCGTTTCCAACGAAATCCTCAGAGACGTCCAAATATCCACTTGCAGTTTCTACAAAAAGAGTGTTTCAAAGCTGAACTATCAAAGAAAGGTTCAGCACTGTGAGTTGAATGCAAACATCACGAAGAAGGTTCTGAGGATGCTTCTGTCTTCTTTTTATAGGAAGTTATCTCCTTTACTACGGTAGGCCTCAAAGAAGTGCAATGATCCCCTTGCAGTTTCTACAAAAAGAGTGTTTCAAACCTGAACTATCAAAGAAAGGTTCCACACTGTGAGTTGAATGCAAACATCACGAAGAGGGTTCTGAGAATGCTTCTGTTTAGTCAGCTGAAATTATCCCGTTTCCAACGAATTCCTCAGAGAGGTCCACATATGCACTTGCAGATTCTGCAGAAAGTGTGTTTCTAAACTGCTACATCGCAAGGAGTGTTCAGCTCTGTTTGCTCAACTCAATCATCCCAAAGAATTTTCTGAGAAAGCTTCTGTCTAGATGTCATGTGAAGATATACCCGTTTCGAACGAAGGACACAGAGTGGTCCAAATATCCACTTGTAGATCCTGCAAAAAGAGTGTTTCAAACGTCAACTTGGAAAGAAAAGTTCAACTCTGGGATTTGAATGCAAACATCACAAAGAAGATTCTGAGACTGCTTCTGTATAGTTTTGATGTGAAGATGATTCCGTTTCCAACGAAATCTTCAAAGAGGTCTACATGTCCCCTTGCAGATGCCACAGAAAGAGAGTTTCAAAACTGCGCTCTCAAAAGGAGTGTTCAACTCCGTGAGTTGAATGCAGTCATCACAGAGAAGCTTCTGAGAATGCTTCTATCTAGTATTTAGGTGAAGATATTTCCTTTTCCACCACAAACCACAAAGCCCTCCAAACGTCCTCTTGCAGATTCTAGAAAAAGAGTGTTTCATAGCTGCTCTTTCCAAAGGAAAGTTCAACTCTGGGAGTTGAATACAAACATCACCAAAAAGTTCCTGAGAATGCATCTGTCTAGTTTTTCTATGAAGCTATTCCCTTTACTACCATAGGCCTCAAAGCGCTCCAAATCTCCACTTGCACATTCCACAACAAGAGTGTATCCAAACTGCTCTATCAATAGGAATGTTCAACTCTGTGAGGTGAATGCAATCATCACAAAGCAGTTTCTGAGAATGCTTCCGTTTAGTTAGGTGCAGTTATCCCGTTTCCAACGAAATCCTCAGAGAGGTCCAAATATCCACTTGTAGATTCTACAAAAAGTGTGTCTCAAACCTGCTCCATCCAAAGGAATGTTCAGCTCTGTGAGTTCAACTCAATCATCACAAAGTATTTTCTGAGAATGCTTCTGTCTAGATTTTATGCGAAGATGTACCCGTTTCGAACAAAGGCCACAGAGTGGTCCAAATATCCACTTGCAGATCCTACAAAAAGAGTGTTTCAAACCTGAACTATCAAAGGAAGGTTCAACTCTGGGATTTGAATGCAAACATCACCAAGAAGTTTCTGAGAATGCTCTGTTTAGTTTTTATGTGAAGATATTCCCGTTTCCAAAGACATCTTCGGAGAGGTCCACATATCCACTTGCAGATTCCACAAAAAGAGAGTTTCAACACTGCTCTATCCATAGGAGGGTTCAACTCTGTGAGTTGAATGCAATCATCACAGAGAAGTTTCTGAGAAGGCTTTCTCTCCAGTTTTTATGTGACCATAATTCGTTTTCCACCACAGGCCTGAAAGCGCTCCAAATGTCCACTTGTAGACACTACGAAAAGCATGTTTCAGAACTACTCTATGAAAAGCAATGTGAAACTCTGGGAGTTGAACACAAACATCACAGAGAAGTTTCTGAGAATGCTTCTGTTTAGCTTTCCTGTGAAGATTCTCCCGTTTCCAACGAAATCTTCAAAATAGGTCCAAATATCCACTTGCAGATTCCACACAAAGAGTGATTGGAAACTGCTCTTTGAAAAGGAACCTTCAACTCTGTGAGTTGAATGCAATCATCACAAAGAAGTTTCTGACAATGCTTCTATCTAGCTTTTACGGGAAGATAATTCCTTTTCCACCACAGGCCTCAAAGCCCTCCAAATGTCCACTTGCAGATTCTGGAAAAAGAGTGTTTCAAAGCTTCTCTCTCGAAAGGAAAGTTCAACTCTGTGAGTTGAATGCAAGCATCACAAAGAAGTTTCTGAGAATGCTACTGTCTAGCTTTTATATGAAGCTATTTCCTTTACTACCATAGGCCTCAAAGCGGTCCATATCTCCACTTGCAGATTCTACACAAAGAGAGTTTCCAAACTGCTCTGTCAAAGGGAATGTTCAACTCTGTGACTTGAATGCAATCATCACAAAGTAGTTTCTGAGAATGCTTCTGTTTTAGTTCTGTGCGGTTTATCCCGTTTCCAACGAAATCCTCAGAGAGGCCCACATATCCACTTGCAGATTCTACAAATAGTGTGTTTTGAAACTGCTCCATCCAAAGGAATGTTCAGCTCTGTGAGTTAAACTCAGTCGTCACCAAGAGTTTTCTGTGAATGCTTCTGTTTAGTTCTGTGCGTTTTATCCCTTTTCCAACGAAATCCTCAGAGAGGACCAAATATCCACTTGCAGTTTCTACAAAAAGAGTGTTTCAAAGCTGAACTATCAAAGAAAGGTTCAGCACTGTGAGTTGAATGCAAACATCACGAAGAGGGTTCTGAGAATGCTTCTGTCTTCTTTTTATAGGAAGTTATTTCCTTTACTACGGTACTCCTCAAAGAGTGCAATTATCCCCTTGCAGTTTCTACAAAAAGAGTGTTTCAAACCTGAACTATCAAAGAAAGGTTCCACACTGTGAGTTGAATGCAGACATCACGAAGAAGGTTCTGAGAATGCTTCTGTTTAGTCAGCTGAAATTATCCCGTTTCCAACGAATTCCTCAGAGAGGTCCAAATATGCACTTGCAGATTCTGCAGAAAGTGTGTTTCTAAACTGCTACATCGCAAGGAATGCTCAGCTCTGTGAGTTCAAATCAATCATCCCAAACAATTTTCTGAGAAAGCTTCTGTCTAGATGTCATGTGAAGATATACCCGTTTCGAACGAAGGACACAGAGTGGTCCAAATATCCACTTGTAGATCCTGCAAAAAGAGTGTTTCAAACGTAAACTTTGAAAGGAAAGTTCAACTCTGGGATTTGAATGCAAACATCACAAAGAAGATTCTGAGACTGCTTCTGTATAGTTTTGATGTGAAGATGATTCCGTTTCCAACGAAATCTTCAAAGAGGTCTACATGTCCCCCTGCAGATGCCACAGAAAGAGAGTTCCAAAACTGCGCTCTCAAAAGGAGTGTTCAACTCCGTGAGTTGAATGCAGTCATCACAGAGAAGCTTCTGAGAATGCTTCTCTCTACTATTTAGGTGAAGATATTTCCTTTTCCACCACAAACCACAAAGCCCTCCAAACGTCCACTTGCAGATTCTAGAAAAAGAGTGTTTCACAGCTGCTCTTTCCAAAGGAAAGTTCAACTCTGGGAGTTGAATACAAACATCACCAAAAAGTTCCTGAGAATGCATCTGTCTAGTTTTTCTATGAAGCTATTCCCTTTACTACCATAGGCCTCAAAGCGCTCCAAATCTCCACTTGCACATTCCACAACAAGAGTGTTTCCAAACTGCTCTATCAATAGGAATGTTCAACTCTGTGAGGTGAATGCAATCATCACAAAGCAGTTTCTGAGAATGCTTCCGTTTAGTTAGGTGCAGTTATCCCGTTTCCAACGAAATCCTCAGAGAGGTCCAAATATCCACTTGTAGATTTTACAAAAAGTGTGTCTCAAACCTGCTCCATCCAAAGGAATGTTCACCTCTGTGAGTTCAACTCAATCATCACAAAGTATTTTCTGAGAATGCTTCTGTCTAGATTTTATGCGAAGATATACCCGTTTTGAACGAATGCCACAGGAGTGGTCCAAATAGCCACTTGCAGATCCTACAAAAAGAGTGTTTCAAACCTGAACTATCAAAGGAAGGTTCAACTCTGGGATTTGAATGCAAACATCACCAAGAAGTTTCTGAGAATCCTTCTGTTTAGTTTTTATGTGAAGATATTCCCGTTTCCAAAGACATCTTCGGAGAGGTCCACATATCCACTTGCAGATTCCACAAAAAGAGAGTTTCAACACTGCTCTATCCATAGGAGGGTTCAACTCTGTGAGTTGAATGCAATCATCACAGAGAAGTTTCTGAGAAGGCTTCTCTCCAGTTTTTATGTGACCATAATTCGTTTTCCACCACAGGCCTGAAAGCGCTCCAAATGTCCACTTGTAGACACTACGAAAAGCATGTTTCAGAACTACTCTATGAAAAGCAATGTGAAACTCTGGGAGTTGAACACAAACATCACAGAGAAGTTTCTGAGAATGCTTCTGTTTTAGTTCTGTGCGTTTTATCCCGTTTCCAACGAAATCCTCAGAGAGGCCCAAATATCCACTTGCAGATTCCACAGAAAGAGTGATTGGAAACTGCTGTTTGAAAAGGAACCTTCAACTCTGTGAGTTGAATGCAATCATCACAAAGAAGTTTCTGACAATGCTTCTGTTTTAGTTCTGTGCGGTTTATCCCGTTTCCAACGAAATCCTCAGAGAGGACCAAACATCCACTTGCAGTTTCTACAAAAAGAGTGTTTCAAAGCTGCACTATCAAAGAAAGGTTCAGCACTGTGAGTTGAATGCAAACATCACGAAGAGGGCTCTGAGAATTCTTCTGTTTAGTTCTGTGCGGTTTATCCCGTTTCCAACGAAATCCTCAGAGAGGACCAAATATCCACTTGCAGTTTCTACAAGAAGAGTGTTTCAAAGCTGAACTATCAAAGAAAGGTTCAGCACTGTGAGTTGAATGCAAACATCACGAAGAGGGTTCTGAGAATGCTTCTGTCTTCTTTCTATAGGAAGTTATTTCCTTTACTACGGTAGGCCTCAAAGAAGTGCAATTATCCCCTTGCAGTTTCTACAAAAAGAGTGTTTCAAACCTGAACTATCAAAGAAAGGTTCCACACTGTGAGTTGAATGCAGACATCACGAAGAAGGTTCTGAGAATGCTTCTGTTTAGTCAGCTGAAATTATCCCGTTTCCAACGAATTCCTCAGAGAGGTCCAAATATGCACTTGCAGATTCTGCAGAAAGTGTGTTTCTAAACTGCTACATCGCAAGGAATGTTCAGCTCTGTGAGTTCCACTCAATCATCCCAAAGAATTTTCTGAGAAAGCTTCTGTCTAGATGTCGTGTGAAGATATACCCGTTTCGAACGAAGGACACAGAGTGGTCCAAATATCCACTTGTAGATCCTGCAAAAAGAGTGTTTCAAACGTGAACTTTGAAAGGAAAGTTCAACTCTGGGATTTGAATGCAAACATCACAAAGAAGATTCTGAGACTGCTTCTGTATAGTTTTTATGTGAAGATGATTCCGTTTCCAACGAAATCTTCAAAGAGGTCTACATGTCCCCTTGCAGATGCCACAGAAAGAGAGTTTCAAAACTGCGCTCTCAAAAGGAGTGTTCAACTCCGTGAGTTGAATGCAGTCATCACAGAGAAGCTTCTGAGAATGCTTCTATCTAGTATTTAGGTGAAGATATTTCCTTTTCCACCACAAACCACAAAGCCCTCCAAACGTCCACTTGCAGATTCTAGAAAAAGAGTGTTTCATAGCTGCTCTTTCCAAAGGAAAGTTCAACTCTGGGAGTTGAATACAAACATCACCAAAAAGTTCCTGAGAATGCATCTGTCTAGTTTTTCTATGAAGCTATTCCCTTTACTACCATAGGCCTCAAAGCGCTCCAAATCTCCACTTGCACATTCCACAACAAGAGTGTTTCCAAACTGCTCTATCAATAGGAATGTTCAACTCTGTGAGGTGAATGCAATCATCACAAAGCAGTTTCTGAGAATGCTTCCGTTTAGTTAGGTGCAGTTATCCCGTTTCCAACGAAATCCTCAGAGAGGTCCAAATATCCACTTGTAGATTCTACAAAAAGTGTGTCTCAAACCTGCTCCATCCAAAGGAATGTTCAGCTCTGTGAGTTAAACTCAATCATCACAAAGTATTTTCTGAGAATGCTTCTGTCTAGATTTTATGCGAAGATATACCCGTTTCGAACGAAGGCCACAGAGTGGTCCAAATATCCACTTGAAGATCCTACAAAAAGAGTGTTTCAAACCTGAACTATCAAAGGAAGGTTCAACTCTGGGATTTGAATGCAAACATCACCAAGAAGTTTCTGAGAATGCTTCTGTTTAGTTTTTATGTGAAGATATTCCCGTTTCCAAAGACATCTTCGGAGAGGTCCACATATCCACTTGCAGATTCCACAAAAAGAGAGTTTCAACACTGCTCTATCCATAGGAGGGTTCAACTCTGTGAGTTGAATGCAAACATCACAGAGAAGTTTCTGAGAAGGCTTCTCTCCAGTTTTTATGTGACCATAATTCGTTTTCCACCACAGGCCGGAAAGCGCTCCAAATGACCACTTGCAGACACTACGAAAAGCATGTTTCAGAACTACTCTATGAGAAGCAATGTGAAACTCTGGGAGTTGAACACAAACATCACAGAGAAGTTTACTGAGAATGCTTCTGTTTAGATTTTCTGTGAAGATTCTCCCGTTTCCAACGAAATCTTCAAAGAGGTCCAAATATCCACTTGCAGATTCCACAGAAAGAGTGTTTGGAAACTGCTGTTTGTAAAGGAACCTTCATCTCTGTGAGTTGAATGCAATCATCACAAAGAAGTTTCTGACAATGCTTCTATCTAGCTTTTACGGGAAGTTAATTCCTTTTCCACCACAGGCCTCAAAGCCCTCCAAATGTCCACTTGCAGATTCTGGAAAAAGAGTGTTTCAAAGCTTCTCTCTCGAAAGGAAAGTTCAACTCTGTGAGTTGAATGCAAGCATCACAAAGAAGTTTCTGAGAATGCTACTGTCTAGCTTTTATATGAAGCTATTTCCTTTACTACCATAGGCCTCAAAGCGGTCCATATCTCCACTTGCAGATTCTACACAAAGAGAGTTTCCAAACTGCTCTGTCAAAGGGAATGTTCAACTCTGTGACTTGAATGCAATCATCACAAAGTAGTTTCTGAGAATGCTTCTGTTTAGTTCTGTGCGGTTTATCCCGTTTCCAACGAAATCCTCAGAGAGGCCCAAATATCCACTTGCACATTCTACAAATAGTGTGTTTCGAAACTGCTCCATCCAAAGGAATGTTCAGCTCTGTGAGTTAAACTCAGTCGTCACCAAGAGTTTTCTGTGAATGCTTCTGTTTTAGTTCTGTGCGGTTCATCCCGTTTCCAACGAAATCCTCAGAGAGGTCCAAATATCTACTTGCAGTTTCTACAGAAAGACCGTTTCAAACCTGAACTATGAAAGAAAGGTTCAACACTGTGAGTTGAATGCAAACATCACGAAGAAGGTTCTGAGAATGCTTCTGTTTAGTTCTGTGCGGTTTATCCCTTTTCCAACGAAATCCTCAGAGAGGACCAAATATCCACTTGCAGTTTCTACAAGAAGAGTGTTTCAAAGCTGAACTATCAAAGAAAGGTTCAGCACTGTGAGTTGAATGCAAACATCACGAAGAGGGTTCTGAGAATGCTTCTGTCTTCTTTCTATAGGAAGTTATTTCCTTTACTACGGTAGGCCTCAAAGAAGTGCAATTATCCCCTTGCAGTTTCTACAAAAAGAGTGTTTCAAACCTGAACTATCAAAGAAAGGTTCCACACTGTGAGTTGAATGCAGACATCACGAAGAAGGTTCTGAGAATGCTTCTGTTTAGTCAGCTGAAATTATCCCTTTTCCAACGAATTCCTCAGAGAGGTCCAAATATGCACTTGCAGATTCTGCAGAAAGTGTGTTTCTAAACTGCTACATCGCAAGGAATGTTCAGCTCTGTGAGTTCCACTCAATCATCCCAAAGAATTTTCTGAGAAAGCTTCTGTCTAGATGTCATGTGAAGATATACCCGTTTCGAACGAAGGACACAGAGTGGTCCAAATATCCACTTGTAGATCCTGCAAAAAGAGTGTTTCAAACGTGAACTTTGAAAGGAAAGTTCAACTCTGGGATTTGAATGCAAACATCACAAAGAAGATTCTGAGACTGCTTCTGTATAGTTTTTATGTGAAGATGATTCCGTTTCCAAAGAAATCTTCAAAGAGGTCTACATGTCCCCTTGCAGATGCCACAGAAAGAGAGTTTCAAAACTGCGCTCTCAAAAGGAGTGTTCAACTCCGTGAGTTGAATGCAGTCATCACAGAGAAGCTTCTGAGAATGCTTCTATCTAGTATTTAGGTGAAGATATTTCCTTTTCCACCACAAACCACAAAGCCCTCCAAACGTTCACTTGCAGATTCTAGAAAAAGAGTGTTTCATAGCTGCTCTTTCCAAAGGAAAGTTCAACTCTGGGAGTTGAATACAAACATCACCAAAAAGTTCCTGAGAATGCATCTGTCTAGTTTTTCTATGAAGCTATTCCCTTTACTACCATAGGCCTCAAAGCGCTCCAAATCTCCACTTGCACATTCCACAACAAGAGTGTTTCCAAACTGCTCTATCAATAGGAATGTTCAACTCTGTGAGGTGAATGCAATCATCACAAAGCAGTTTCTGAGAATGCTTCCGTTTAGTTAGGTGCAGTTATCCCGTTTCCAACGAAATCCTCAGAGAGGTCCAAATATCCACTTGTAGATTCTACAAAAAGTGTGTCTCAAACCTGCTCCATCCAAAGGAATGGTCAGCTCTGTGATTTAAACTCAATCATCACAAAGTATTTTCTGAGAATGCTTCTGTCTAGATTTTATGCGAAGATATACCCGTTTCGAACGAAGGCCACAGAGTGGTCCAAATAGCCACTTGCAGATCCTACAGAAAGAGTGTTTCAAACCTGAACTATCAAAGGAAGGTTCAACTCTGGGATTTGAATGCAAACATCACCAAGAAGTTTCTGAGAATGCTTCTGTTTAGTTTTTATGTGAAGATATTCCCGTTTCCAAAGACATCTTCGGAGAGGTCCACATATCCACTTGCAGATTCCACAAAAAGAGAGTTTCAACACTGCTCTATCCATAGGAGGGTTCAACTCTGTGAGTTGAATGCAATCATCACAGAGAAGTTTCTGAGAAGGCTTCTCTCCAGTTTTTATGTGACCATAATTCGTTTTCCACCACAGGCCTGAAAGCGCTCCAAATGTCCACTTGCAGACACTACGAAAAGCATGTTTCAGAACTACTCTATGAAAAGCAACGTGAAACTCTGGGAGTTGAACACAAACATCACAGAGAAGTTTCTGAGAATGCTTCTGTTTTAGTTCTGTGCGTTTTATCCCGTTTCCAACGAAATCCTCAGAGAGGCCCAAATATCCACTTGCAGATTCCACAGAAAGAGTGATTGGAAACTGCTGTTTGAAAAGGAACCTTCAACTCTGTGAGTTGAATGCAATCATCACAAAGAAGTTTCTGACAATGCTTCTGTTTTAGTTCTGTGCGGTTTATCCCGTTTCCAACGAAATCCTCAGAGAGGACCAAACATCCACTTGCAGTTTCTACAAAAAGAGTGTTTCAAAGCTGCACTATCAAAGAAAGGTTCAGCACTGTGAGTTGAATGCAAACATCACGAAGAGGGCTCTGAGAATTCTTCTGTTTAGTTCTGTGCGGTTTATCCCGTTTCCAACGAAATCCTCAGAGAGGACCAAATATCCACTTGCAGTTTCTACAAGAAGAGTGTTTCAAAGCTGAACTATCAAAGAAAGGTTCAGCACTGTGAGTTGAATGCAAACATCACGAAGAGGGTTCTGAGAATGCTTCTGTCTTCTTTCTATAGGAAGTTATTTCCTTTACTACGGTAGGCCTCAAAGAAGTGCAATTATCCCCTTGCAGTTTCTACAAAAAGAGTGTTTCAAACCTGAACTATCAAAGAAAGGTTCCACACTGTGAGTTGAATGCAGACATCACTAAGAAGGTTCTGAGAATGCTTCTGTTTAGTCAGCTGAAATTATCCCGTTTCCAACGAATTCCTCAGAGAGGTCCAAATATGCACTTGCAGATTCTGCAGAAAGTGTGTTTCTAAACTGCTACATCGCAAGGAATGTTCAGCTCTGTGAGTTCCACTCAATCATCCCAAAGAATTTTCTGAGAAAGCTTCTGTCTAGATGTCGTGTGAAGATATACCCGTTTCGAACGAAGGACACAGAGTGGTCCAAATATCCACTTGTAGATCCTGCAAAAAGAGTGTTTCAAACGTGAACTTTGAAAGGAAAGTTCAACTCTGGGATTTGAATGCAAACATCACAAAGAAGATTCTGAGACTGCTTCTGTATAGTTTTTATGTGAAGATGATTCCGTTTCCAACGAAATCTTCAAAGAGGTCTACATGTCCCCTTGCAGATGCCACAGAAAGAGAGTTTCAAAACTGCGCTCTCAAAAGGAGTGTTCAACTCCGTGAGTTGAATGCAGTCATCACAGAGAAGCTTCTGAGAATGCTTCTATCTAGTATTTAGGTGAAGATATTTCCTTTTCCACCACAAACCACAAAGCCCTCCAAACGTCCACTTGCAGATTCTAGAAAAAGAGTGTTTCATAGCTGCTCTTTCCAAAGGAAAGTTCAACTCTGGGAGTTGAATACAAACATCACCAAAAGGTTCCTGAGAATGCATCTGTCTAGTTTTTCTATGAAGCTATTCCCTTTACTACCACAGGCCTCAAAGCGCTCCAAATCTCCACTTGCACATTCCACAACAAGAGTGTTTCCAAACTGCTCTATCAATAGGAATGTTCAACTCTGTGAGGTGAATGCAATCATCACAAAGCAGTTTCTGAGAATGCTTCCGTTTAGTTAGGTGCAGTTATCCCGTTTCCAACGAAATCCTCAGAGAGGTCCAAATATCCACTTGTAGATTCTACAAAAAGTGTGTCTCAAACCTGCTCCATCCAAAGGAATGGTCAGCTCTGTGATTTAAACTCAATCATCACAAAGTATTTTCTGAGAATGCTTCTGTCTAGATTTTATGCGAAGATATACCCGTTTCGAACGAAGGCCACAGAGTGGTCCAAATAGCCACTTGCAGATCCTACAGAAAGAGTGTTTCAAACCTGAACTATCAAAGGAAGGTTCAACTCTGGGATTTGAATGCAAACATCACCAAGAAGTTTCTGAGAATGCTTCTGTTTAGTTTTTATGTGAAGATATTCCCGTTTCCAAAGACATCTTCGGAGAGGTCCACATATCCACTTGCAGATTCCACAAAAAGAGAGTTTCAACACTGCTCTATCCATAGGAGGGTTCAACTCTGTGAGTTGAATGCAATCATCACAGAGAAGTTTCTGAGAAGGCTTCTCTCCAGTTTTTATGTGACCATAATTCGTTTTCCACCACAGGCCTGAAAGCGCTCCAAATGTCCACTTGCAGACACTACGAAAAGCATGTTTCAGAACTACTCTATGAAAAGCAACGTGAAACTCTGGGAGTTGAACACAAACATCACAGAGAAGTTTCTGAGAATGCTTCTGTTTTAGTTCTGTGCGTTTTATCCCGTTTCCAACGAAATCCTCAGAGAGGCCCAAATATCCACTTGCAGATTCCACAGAAAGAGTGATTGGAAACTGCTGTTTGAAAAGGAACCTTCAACTCTGTGAGTTGAATGCAATCATCACAAAGAAGTTTCTGACAATGCTTCTGTTTTAGTTCTGTGCGGTTTATCCCGTTTCCAACGAAATCCTCAGAGAGGACCAAACATCCACTTGCAGTTTCTACAAAAAGAGTGTTTCAAAGCTGCACTATCAAAGAAAGGTTCAGCACTGTGAGTTGAATGCAAACATCACGAAGAGGGCTCTGAGAATTCTTCTGTTTAGTTCTGTGCGGTTTATCCCGTTTCCAACGAAATCCTCAGAGAGGACCAAATATCCACTTGCAGTTTCTACAAGAAGAGTGTTTCAAAGCTGAACTATCAAAGAAAGGTTCAGCACTGTGAGTTGAATGCAAACATCACGAAGAGGGTTCTGAGAATGCTTCTGTCTTCTTTCTATAGGAAGTTATTTCCTTTACTACGGTAGGCCTCAAAGAAGTGCAATTATCCCCTTGCAGTTTCTACAAAAAGAGTGTTTCAAACCTGAACTATCAAAGAAAGGTTCCACACTGTGAGTTGAATGCAGACATCACGAAGAAGGTTCTGAGAATGCTTCTGTTTAGTCAGCTGAAATTATCCCGTTTCCAACGAATTCCTCAGAGAGGTCCACATATGCACTTGCAGATTCTGCAGAAAGTGTGTTTCTAAACTGCTACATCGCAAGGAATGTTCAGCTCTGTGAGTTCAACTCAATCATCCCAAAGAATTTTCTGAGAAAGCTTCTGTCTAGATGCCATGTGAAGATATACCCGTTTCGAACGAAGGACACAGAGTGGTCCAAATATCCACTTGTAGATCCTGCAAAAAGAGTGTTTCAAACGTGAACTTTGAAAGGGAAGTTCAACTCTGGGATTTGAATGCAAACATCACAAAGAAGATTCTGAGACTGCTTCTGTATAGTTTTTATGTGAAGATGATTCCGTTTCCAACGAAATCTTCAAAGAGGTCTACATGTCCCCTTGCAGATGCCACAGAAAGAGAGTTTCAAAACTGCGCTCTCAAAAGGAGTGTTCAACTCCGTGAGTTGAATGCAGTCATCACAGAGAAGCTTCTGAGAATGCTTCTATCTAGTATTTAGGTGAAGATATTTCCTTTTCCACCACAAACCACAAAGCCCTCCAAACGTCCACTTGCAGATTCTAGAAAAAGAGTGTTTCATAGCTGCTCTTTCCAAAGGAAAGTTCAACTCTGGGAGTTGAATACAAACATCACCAAAAAGTTCCTGAGAATGCATCTGTCTAGTTTTTCTATGAAGCTATTCCCTTTACTACCATAGGCCTCAAAGCGCTCCAAATCTCCACTTGCACATTCCACAACAAGAGTGTTTCCAAACTGCTCTATCAATAGGAATGTTCAACTCTGTGAGGTGAATGCAATCATCACAAAGCAGTTTCTGAGAATGCTTCCGTTTAGTTAGGTGCAGTTATCCCGTTTCCAACGAAATCCTCAGAGAGGTCCAAATATCCACTTGTAGATTCTACAAAAAGTGTGTCTCAAACCTGCTCCATCCAAAGGAATGGTCAGCTCTGTGATTTAAACTCAATCATCACAAAGTATTTTCTGAGAATGCTTCTGTCTAGATTTTATGCGAAGATATACCCGTTTCGAACGAAGGCCACAGAGTGGTCCAAATAGCCACTTGCAGATCCTACAGAAAGAGTGTTTCAAACCTGAACTATCAAAGGAAGGTTCAACTCTGGGATTTGAATGCAAACATCACCAAGAAGTTTCTGAGAATGCTTCTGTTTAGTTTTTATGTGAAGATATTCCCGTTTCCAAAGACATCTTCGGAGAGGTCCACATATCCACTTGCAGATTCCACAAAAAGAGAGTTTCAACACTGCTCTATCCATAGGAGGGTTCAACTCTGTGAGTTGAATGCAATCATCACAGAGAAGTTTCTGAGAAGGCTTCTCTCCAGTTTTTATGTGACCATAATTCGTTTTCCACCACAGGCCTGAAAGCGCTCCAAATGTCCACTTGCAGACACTACGAAAAGCATGTTTCAGAACTACTCTATGAAAAGCAACGTGAAACTCTGGGAGTTGAACACAAACATCACAGAGAAGTTTCTGAGAATGCTTCTGTTTTAGTTCTGTGCGTTTTATCCCGTTTCCAACGAAATCCTCAGAGAGGCCCAAATATCCACTTGCAGATTCCACAGAAAGAGTGATTGGAAACTGCTGTTTGAAAAGGAACCTTCAACTCTGTGAGTTGAATGCAATCATCACAAAGAAGTTTCTGACAATGCTTCTGTTTTAGTTCTGTGCGGTTTATCCCGTTTCCAACGAAATCCTCAGAGAGGACCAAACATCCACTTGCAGTTTCTACAAAAAGAGTGTTTCAAAGCTGCACTATCAAAGAAAGGTTCAGCACTGTGAGTTGAATGCAAACATCACGAAGAGGGCTCTGAGAATTCTTCTGTTTAGTTCTGTGCGGTTTATCCCGTTTCCAACGAAATCCTCAGAGAGGACCAAATATCCACTTGCAGTTTCTACAAGAAGAGTGTTTCAAAGCTGAACTATCAAAGAAAGGTTCAGCACTGTGAGTTGAATGCAAACATCACGAAGAGGGTTCTGAGAATGCTTCTGTCTTCTTTCTATAGGAAGTTATTTCCTTTACTACGGTAGGCCTCAAAGAAGTGCAATTATCCCCTTGCAGTTTCTACAAAAAGAGTGTTTCAAACCTGAACTATCAAAGAAAGGTTCCACACTGTGAGTTGAATGCAGACATCACGAAGAAGGTTCTGAGAATGCTTCTGTTTAGTCAGCTGAAATTATCCCGTTTCCAACGAATTCCTCAGAGAGGTCCAAATATGCACTTGCAGATTCTGCAGAAAGTGTGTTTCTAAACTGCTCCATCGCAAGGAATGTTCAGCTCTGTGAGTTCCACTCAATCATCCCAAAGAATTTTCTGAGAAAGCTTCTGTCTAGATGTCATGTGAAGATATACCCGTTTGGAACGAAGGACACAGAGTGGTCCAAATATCCACTTGTAGATCCTGCAAAAAGAGTGTTTCAAACGTGAACTTTGAAAGGAAAGTTCAACTCTGGGATTTGAATGTAAACATCACAAAGAAGATTCTGAGACTGCTTCTGTATAGTTTTTATGTGAAGATGATTCCCTTTCCAAAGAAATCTTCAAACAGGTCTACATGTCCCCTTGCGGATGCCACAGAAAGAGAGTTTCAAAACTGCGCTCTCAAAAGGAGTGTTCAACTCCGTGAGTTGAATGCAGTCATCACAGAGAAGCTTCTGAGAATGCTTCTATCTAGTATTTAGGTGAAGATATTTCCTTTTCCACCACAAACCACAAAGCCCTCCAAACGTCCACTTGCAGATTCTAGAAAAAGAGTGTTTCATAGCTGCTCTTTCCAAAGGAAAGTTCAACTCTTGGGAGTTGAATACAAACATCACCAAAAAGTTCCTGAGAATGCATCTGTCTAGTTTTTCTATGAAGCTATTCCCTTTACTACCATAGGCCTCAAAGCGCTCCAAATCTCCACTTGCACATTCCACAACAAGAGTGTTTCCAAACTGCTCTATCAATAGGAATGTTCAACTCTGTGAGGTGAATGCAATCATCACAAAGCAGTTTCTGAGAATGCTTCCGTTTAGTTAGGTGCAGTTATCCCGTTTCCAACGAAATCCTCAGAGAGGTCCAAATATCCACTTGTAGATTCTACAAAAAGTGTGTCTCAAACCTGCTCCATCCAAAGGAATGGTCAGCTCTGTGATTTAAACTCAATCATCACAAAGTATTTTCTGAGAATGCTTCTGTCTAGATTTTATGCGAAGATATACCCGTTTCGAACGAAGGCCACAGTAGTGGTCCAAATAGCCACTTGCAGATCCTACAGAAAGAGTGTTTCAAACCTGAACTATCAAAGGAAGGTTCAACTCTGGGATTTGAATGCAAACATCACCAAGAAGTTTCTGAGAATGCTTCTGTTTAGTTTTTATGTGAAGATATTCCCGTTTCCAAAGACATCTTCGGAGAGGTCCACATATCCACTTGCAGATTCCACAAAAAGAGAGTTTCAACACTGCTCTATCCATAGGAGGGTTCAACTCCTGTGAGTTGAATGCAATCATCACAGAGAAGTTTCTGAGAAGGCTTCTCTCCAGTTTTTATGTGACCATAATTCGTTTTCCACCACAGGCCTGAAAGCGCTCCAAATGTCCACTTGCAGACACTACGAAAAGCATGTTTCAGAACTACTCTATGAAAAGCAACGTGAAACTCTGGGAGTTGAACACAAACATCACAGAGAAGTTTCTGAGAATGCTTCTGTTTTAGTTCTGTGCGTTTTATCCCGTTTCCAACGAAATCCTCAGAGAGGCCCAAATATCCACTTGCAGATTCCACAGAAAGAGTGATTGGAAACTGCTGTTTGAAAAGGAACCTTCAACTCTGTGAGTTGAATGCAATCATCACAAAGAAGTTTCTGACAATGCTTCTGTTTTAGTTCTGTGCGGTTTATCCCGTTTCCAACGAAATCCTCAGAGAGGACCAAACATCCACTTGCAGTTTCTACAAAAAGAGTGTTTCAAAGCTGCACTATCAAAGAAAGGTTCAGCACTGTGAGTTGAATGCAAACATCACGAAGAGGGCTCTGAGAATTCTTCTGTTTAGTTCTGTGCGGTTTATCCCGTTTCCAACGAAATCCTCAGAGAGGACCAAATATCCACTTGCAGTTTCTACAAGAAGAGTGTTTCAAAGCTGAACTATCAAAGAAAGGTTCAGCACTGTGAGTTGAATGCAAACATCACGAAGAGGGTTCTGAGAATGCTTCTGTCTTCTTTCTATAGGAAGTTATTTCCTTTACTACGGTAGGCCTCAAAGAAGTGCAATTATCCCCTTGCAGTTTCTACAAAAAGAGTGTTTCAAACCTGAACTATCAAAGAAAGGTTCCACACTGTGAGTTGAATGCAGACATCACGAAGAAGGTTCTGAGAATGCTTCTGTTTAGTCAGCTGAAATTATCCCGTTTCCAACGAATTCCTCAGAGAGGTCCAAATATGCACTTGCAGATTCTGCAGAAAGTGTGTTTCTAAACTGCTCCATCGCAAGGAATGTTCAGCTCTGTGAGTTCCACTCAATCATCCCAAAGAATTTTCTGAGAAAGCTTCTGTCTAGATGTCGTGTGAAGATATACCCGTTTCGAACGAAGGACACAGAGTGGTCCAAATATCCACTTGTAGATCCTGCAAAAAGAGTGTTTCAAACGTGAACTTTGAAAGGAAAGTTCAACTCTGGGATTTGAATGCAAACATCACAAAGAAGATTCTGAGACTGCTTCTGTATAGTTTTTATGTGAAGATGATTCCGTTTCCAACGAAATCTTCAAAGAGGTCTACATGTCCCCTTGCAGATGCCACAGAAAGAGAGTTTCAAAACTGCGCTCTCAAAAGGAGTGTTCAACTCCGTGAGTTGAATGCAGTCATCACAGAGAAGCTTCTGAGAATGCTTCTATCTAGTATTTAGGTGAAGATATTTCCTTTTCCACCCACAAACCACAAAGCCCTCCAAACGTCCACTTGCAGATTCTAGAAAAAGGGTGTTTCATAGCTGCTCTTTCCAAAGGAAAGTTCAACTCTGGGAGTTGAATACAAACATCACCAAAAAGTTCCTGAGAATGCATCTGTCTAGTTTTTCTATGAAGCTATTCCCTTTACTACCATAGGCCTCAAAGCGCTCCAAATCTCCACTTGCACATTCCACAACAAGAGTGTTTCCAAACTGCTCTATCAATAGGAATGTTCAACTCTGTGAGGTGAATGCAGTCATCACAAAGCAGTTTGCTGAGAATGCTTCCGTTTAGTTAGGTGCAGTTATCCCGTTTCCAACGAAATCCTCAG
The DNA here is from genome assembly GCF_000001405.40 of Homo sapiens. Taxonomy (NCBI): domain Eukaryota; kingdom Metazoa; phylum Chordata; class Mammalia; order Primates; family Hominidae; genus Homo; species Homo sapiens. The sequence continues at coordinate 23,549,574 of NC_000017.11, read as the reverse complement.
AGAGGTCCAAATATCCACTTGTAGATTCTACAAAAAGTGTGTCTCAAACCTGCTCCATCCAAAGGAATGTTCAGCTCTGTGAGTTCAACTCAATCATCACAAAGTATTTTCTGAGAATGCTTCTGTCTAGATTTTATGCGAAGATATACCCGTTTCGAACGAAGGCCACAGAGTGGTCCAAATAGCCACTTGCAGATCCTACAAAAAGAGTGTTTCAAACCTGAACTATCAAAGGAAGGTTCACCTCTGGGATTTGAATGCAAACATCACCAAGAAGTTTCTGAGAATGCTTCTGTTTAGTTTTTATGTGAAGATATTCCCGTTTCCAAAGACATCTTCGGAGAGGTCCACATATCCACTTGCAGATTCCACAAAAAGAGAGTTTCAACACTGCTCTATCCATAGGAGGGTTCAACTCTGTGAGTTGAATGCAATCATCACAGAGAAGTTTCTGAGAAGGCTTCTCTCCAGTTTTTATGTGACCATAATTCGTTTTCCACCACAGGCCTGAAAGCGCTCCAAATGTCCACTTGCAGACACTACGAAAAGCATGTTTCAGAACTACTCTATGAAAAGCAATGTGAAACTCTGGGAGTTGAACACAAACATCACAGAGAAGTTTCTGAGAATGCTTCTGTTTAGCTTTTCTGTGAAGATTATCCCGTTTCCAACGAAATCTTCAAAATAGGTCCAAATATCCACTTGCAGATTCCACAGAAAGAGTGATTGGAAACTGCTGTTTGAAAAGGAACCTTCAACTCTGTGAGTTGAATGCAATCATCACAAAGAAGTTTCTGACAATACTTCCATCTAGCTTTTACGGGAAGATAATTCCTTTTCCACCACAGGCCTCAAAGCCCTCCAAATGTCCACTTGCACATTCTGGAAAAAGAGTGTTTCAAAGCTTCTCTCTCGAAAGGAAAGTTCAACTCTGTGAGTTGAATGCAAGCATCACAAAGAAGTTTCTGAGAATGCTACTGTCTAGCTTTTATATGAAGCTATTTCCTTTACTACCATAGGCCTCAAAGCGGTCCATATCTCCACTTGCAGATTCTACACAAAGAGAGTTTCCAAACTGCTCTGTCAAAGGGAATGTTCAACTCTGTGACTTGAATGCAATCATCACAAAGTAGTTTCTGAGAATGCTTCTGTTTAGTTCTGTGCGGTTTATCCGGTTTCCAACAAAATCCTCAGAGAGGCCCAAATATCCACTTGCACATTCTACAAATAGTGTGTTTCGAAACTGCTCCATCCAAAGGAATGTTCAGCTCTGTGAGTTAAACTCAGTCGTCACCAAGAGTTTTCTATGAATGCTTCTGTTTTAGTTCTGTGCGGTTTATCCCGTTTCCAACGAAATCCTCAGAGAGGTCCAAATATCTACTTGCAGTTTCTACAGAAAGACCGTTTCCAACCTGAACTATCAAAGAAAGGTTCAACACTGTGAGTTGAATGCAAACATCACGAAGAAGGTTCTGAGAATGCTTCTGTTTAGTTCTGTGCGGTTTTTCCCGTTTCCAACGAAATCCTCAGAGAGGACCAAATATCCACTTGCAGTTTCTACAAGAAGAGTGTTTCAAAGCTGAACTATCAAAGAAAGGTTCAGCACTGTGAGTTGAATGCAAACATCACGACGAGGGTTCTGAGAATGCTTCTGTCTTCTTTCTATAGGAAGTTATTTCCTTTACTACGGTAGGCCTCAAAGAAGTGCAATTATCCCCTTGCAGTTTCTACAAAAAGAGTGTTTCAAACCTGAACTATCAAAGAAAGGTTCCACACTGTGAGTTGAATGCAGACATCACGAAGAAGGTTCTGAGAATGCTTCTGTTTAGTCAGCTGAAATTATCCCGTTTCCAACGAATTCCTCAGAGAGGTCCAAATATGCACTTGCAGATTCTGCAGAAAGTGTGTTTCTAAACTGCTACATCGCAAGGAATGTTCAGCTCTGTGAGTTCCACTCAATCATCCCAAAGAATTTTCTGAGAAAGCTTCTGTCTAGATGTCGTGTGAAGATATACCCGTTTCGAACGAAGGACACAGAGTGGTCCAAATATCCACTTGTAGATCCTGCAAAAAGAGTGTTTCAAACGTGAACTTTGAAAGGAAAGTTCAACTCTGGGATTTGAATGCAAACATCACAAAGAAGATTCTGAGACTGCTTCTGTATAGTTTTTATGTGAAGATGATTCCGTTTCCAACGAAATCTTCAAAGAGGTCTACATGTCCCCTTGCAGATGCCACAGAAAGAGAGTTTCAAAACTGCGCTCTCAAAAGGAGTGTTCAACTCCGTGAGTTGAATGCAGTCATCACAGAGAAGCTTCTGAGAATGCTTCTATCTAGTATTTAGGTGAAGATATTTCCTTTTCCACCACAAACCACAAAGCCCTCCAAACGTCCACTTGCAGATTCTAGAAAAAGAGTGTTTCATAGCTGCTCTTTCCAAAGGAAAGTTCAACTCTGGGAGTTGAATACAAACATCACCAAAAAGTTCCTGAGAATGCATCTGTCTAGTTTTTCTATGAAGCTATTCCCTTTACTACCATAGGCCTCAAAGCGCTCCAAATCTCCACTTGCACATTCCACAACAAGAGTGTTTCCAAACTGCTCTATCAATAGGAATGTTCAACTCTGTGAGGTGAATGCAATCATCACAAAGCAGTTTCTGAGAATGCTTCCGTTTAGTTAGGTGCAGTTATCCCGTTTCCAACGAAATCCTCAGAGAGGTCCAAATATCCACTTGTAGATTCTACAAAAAGTGTGTCTCAAACCTGCTCCATCCAAAGGAATGTTCAGCTCTGTGATTTAAACTCAATCATCACAAAGTATTTTCTGAGAATGCTTCTGTCTAGATTTTATGCGAAGATATACCCGTTACGAACGAAGGCCACAGAGTGGTCCAAATAGCCACTTGCAGATCCTACAAAAAGAGTGTTTCAAACCTGAACTATCAAAGGAAGGTTCAACTCTGGGATTTGAATGCAAACATCACCAAGAAGTTTCTGAGAATGCTTCTGTTTAGTTTTTATGTGAAGATATTCCCGTTTCCAAAGACATCTTCGGAGAGGTCCACATATCCACTTGCAGATTCCACAAAAAGAGAGTTTCAACACTGCTCTATCCATAGGAGGGTTCAACTCTGTGAGTTGAATGCAATCATCACAGAGAAGTTTCTGAGAAGGCTTCTCTCCAGTTTTTAAGTGACCATAATTCGTTTTCCACCACAGGCCTGAAAGCGCTCCAAATGTCCACTTGCAGACACTACGAAAAGCATGTTTCAGAACTACTCTATGAAAAGCAACGTGAAACTCTGGGAGTTGAACACAAACATCACAGAGAAGTTTCTGAGAATGCTTCTGTTTAGCTTTTCTGTGAAGATTCTCCCGTTTCCAACGAAATCTTCAAAGAGGTCGAAATATCCACTTGCAGATTCCACAGAAAGAGTGATTGGAAACTGCTGTTTGAAAAGGAACCTTCAACTCTGTGAGTTGAATGCAATCATCACAAAGAAGTTTCTGACAATGCTTCTATCTAGCTTTTACGGGAAGATAATTCCTTTTCCTCCACAGGCCTCAAAGCTCCCCAAATGTCTACTTGCACATTCTGGAAAAAGAGTGTTTCAAAGCTTCTCTCTCGAAAGGAAAGTTCAACTCTGTGAGTTGAATGCAAGCATCACAAAGAAGTTTCTGAGAATGCTACTGTCTAGCTTTTATATGAAGCTATTTCCTTTACTACCATAGGCCTCAAAGCGGTCCATATCTCCACTTGCAGATTCTACACAAAGAGAGTTTCCAAACTGCTCTGTCAAAGGGAATGTTCAACTCTGTGACTTGAATGCAATCATCACAAAGTAGTTTCTGAGAATGCTTCTGTTTTAGTTCTGTGCGTTTTATCCCGTTTCCAACGAAATCCTCAGAGAGGCCCAAATATCCACTTGCAGATTCTACAAATAGTGTGTTTCGAAACTGCTCCATCCAAAGGAATGTTCAGCTCTGTGAGTTAAACTCAGTCGTCACCAAGAGTTTTCTGTGAATGCTTCTGTTTTAGTTCTGTGCGGTTTATCCCGTTTCCAACGAAATCCTCAGAGAGGACCAAACATCCACTTGCAGTTTCTACAAAAAGAGTGTTTCAAAGCTGCACTATCAAAGAAAGGTTCAGCACTTGTGAGTTGAATGCAAACATCACGAAGAGGGCTCTGAGAATTCTTCTGTTTAGTTCTGTGCGGTTTATCCCGTTTCCAACGAAATCCTCAGAGAGGACCAAATATCCACTTGCAGTTTCTACAAGAAGAGTGTTTCAAAGCTGAACTATCAAAGAAAGGTTCAGCACTGTGAGTTGAATGCAAACATCACGAAGAGGGTTCTGAGAATGCTTCTGTCTTCTTTCTATAGGAAGTTATTTCCTTTACTACGGTAGGCCTCAAAGAAGTGCAATTATCCCCTTGCAGTTTCTACAAAAAGAGTGTTTCAAACCTGAACTATCAAAGAAAGGTTCCACACTGTGAGTTGAATGCAGACATCACGAAGAAGGTTCTGAGAATGCTTCTGTTTAGTCAGCTGAAATTATCCCGTTTCCAACGAATTCCTCAGAGAGGTCCAAATATGCACTTGCAGATTCTGCAGAAAGTGTGTTTCTAAACTGCTACATCGCAAGGAATGTTCAGCTCTGTGAGTTCCACTCAATCATCCCAAAGAATTTTCTGAGAAAGCTTCTGTCTAGATGTCATGTGAAGATATACCCGTTTCGAACGAAGGACACAGAGTGGTCCAAATATCCACTTGTAGATCCTGCAAAAAGAGTGTTTCAAACGTGAACTTTGAAAGGAAAGTTCAACTCTGGGATTTGAATGCAAACATCACAAAGAAGATTCTGAGACTGCTTCTGTATAGTTTTTATGTGAAGATGATTCCGTTTCCAACGAAATCTTCAAAGAGGTCTACATGTCCCCATGCGGATGCCACAGAAAGAGAGTTTCAAAACTGCGCTCTCAAAAGGAGTGTTCAACTCCGTGAGTTGAATGCAGTCATCACAGAGAAGCTTCTGAGAATGCTTCTATCTAGTATTTAGGTGAAGATATTTCCTTTTCCACCACAAACCACAAAGCCCTCCAAACGTCCACTTGCAGATTCTAGAAAAAGAGTGTTTCATAGCTGCTCTTTCCAAAGGAAAGTTCAACTCTGGGAGTTGAATACAAACATCACCAAAAAGTTCCTGAGAATGCATCTGTCTAGTTTTTCTATGAAGCTATTCCCTTTACTACCATAGACCTCAAAGCGCTCCAAATCTCCACTTGCACATTCCACAACAAGAGTGTTTCCAAACTGCTCTATCAATAGGAATGTTCAACTCTGTGAGGTGAATGCAATCATCACAAAGCAGTTTCTGAGAATGCTTCCGTTTAGTTAGGTGCAGTTATCCCGTTTCCAACGAAATCCTCAGAGAGGTCCAAATATCCACTTGTAGATTCTACAAAAAGTGTGTCTCAAACCTGCTCCATCCAAAGGAATGTTCAGCTCTGTGATTTAAACTCAATCATCACAAAGTATTTTCTGAGAATGCTTCTGTCTAGATTTTATGCGAAGATATACCCGTTTCGAACGAAGGCCACAGAGTGGTCCAAATATCCACTTGCAGATCCTACAAAAAGAGTGTTTCAAACCTGAACTATCAAAGGAAGGTTCAACTCTGGGATTTGAATGCAAACATCACCAAGAAGTTTCTGAGAATGCTTCTGTTTAGTTTTTATGTGAAGATATTCCCGTTTCCAAAGACATCTTCGGAGAGCTCCACATATCCACTTGCAGATTCCACAAAAAGAGAGTTTCAACACTGCTCTATCCATAGGAGGGTTCAACTCTGTGAGTTGAATGCAATCATCACAGAGAAGTTTCTGAGAAGGCTTCTCTCCAGTTTTTATGTGACCATAATTCGTTTTCCACCACAGGCCTGAAAGCGCTCCAAATGTCCACTTGCAGACACTACGAAAAGCATGTTTCAGAACTACTCTATGAAAAGCAACGTGAAACTCTGGGAGTTGAACACAAACATCACAGAGAAGTTTCTGAGAATGCTTCTGTTTAGCTTTTCTGTGAAGATTCTCCCGTTTCCAACGAAATCTTCAAAGAGGTCGAAATATCCACTTGCAGATTCCACAGAAAGAGTGATTGGAAACTGCTGTTTGAAAAGGAACCTTCAACTCCTGTGAGTTGAATGCAATCATCACAAAGAAGTTTCTGACAATGCTTCTATCTAGCTTTTACGGGAAGATAATTCCTTTTCCACCACAGGCCTCAAAGCTCCCCAAATGTCCACTTGCACATTCTGGAAAAAGAGTGTTTCAAAGCTTCTCTCTCGAAAGGAAAGTTCAACTCTGTGAGTTGAATGCAAGCATCACAAAGAAGTTTTCTGAGAATGCTACTGTCTAGCTTTTATATGAAGCTATTTCCTTTACTACCATAGGCCTCAAAGCGGTCCATATCTCCACTTGCAGATTCTACACAAAGAGAGTTTCCAAACTGCTCTGTCAAAGGGAATGTTCAACTCTGTGACTTGAATGCAATCATCACAAAGTAGTTTCTGAGAATGCTTCTGTTTTAGTTCTGTGCGTTTTATCCCGTTTCCAACGAAATCCTCAGAGAGGCCCAAATATCCACTTGCAGATTCTACAAATAGTGTGTTTCGAAACTGCTCCATCCAAAGGAATGTTCAGCTCTGTGAGTTAAACTCAGTCGTCACCAAGAGTTTTCTGTGAATGCTTCTGTTTTAGTTCTGTGCGGTTTATCCCGTTTCCAACGAAATCCTCAGAGAGGACCAAATATCCACTTGCAGTTTCTACAAAAAGAGTGTTTCAAAGCTGCACTATCAAAGAAAGGTTCAGCACTGTGAGTTGAATGCAAACATCACGAAGAGGGCTCTGAGAATTCTTCTGTTTAGTTCTGTGCGGTTTATCCCGTTTCCAACGAAATCCTCAGAGAGGACCAAATATCCACTTGCAGTTTCTACAAGAAGAGTGTTTCAAAGCTGAACTATCAAAGAAAGGTTCAGCACTGTGAGTTGAATGCAAACATCACGAAGAGGGTTCTGAGAATGCTTCTGTCTTCTTTTTATAGGAAGTTATTTCCTTTACTACGGTAGGCCTCAAAGAAGTGCAATTATCCCCTTGCAGTTTCTACAAAAAGAGTGTTTCAAACCTGAACTATCAAAGAAAGGTTCCACACTGTGAGTTGAATGCAGACATCACGAAGAAGGTTCTGAGAATGCTTCTGTTTAGTCAGCTGAAATTATCCCGTTTCCAACGAATTCCTCAGAGAGGTCCAAATATGCACTTGCAGATTCTGCAGAAAGTGTGTTTCTAAACTGCTACATCGCAAGGAATGTTCAGCTCTGTGAGTTCAACTCAATCATCCCAAAGAATTTTCTGAGAAAGCTTCTGTCTAGATGTCATGTGAAGATAGACCTGTTTCGAACGAAGGACACAGAGTGGTCCAAATATCCACTTGTAGATCCTGCAAAAAGAGTGTTTCAAACGTGAACTTTGAAAGGAAATTTCAACTCTGGGATTTGAATGCAAACATCACAAAGAAGATTCTGAGACTGCTTCTGTATAGTTTTTATGTGAAGATGATTCCGTTTCCAACGAAATCTTCAAAGAGGTCTACATGTCCCCTTGCAGATGCCACAGAAAGGGAGTTTCAAAACTGCGCTCTCAAAAGGAGTGTTCAACTCCGTGAGTTGAATGCAGTCATCACAGAGAAGCTTCTGAGAATGCTTCTCTCTAGTATTTAGGTGAAGATATTTCCTTTTCCACCACAAACCACAAAGCCCTCCAAACGTCCACTTGTAGATTCTAGAAAAAGAGTGTTTCATAGCTGCTCTTTCCAAAGGAAAGTTCAACTCTGGGAGTTGAATACAAACATCACCAAAAAGTTCCTGAGAATGCATCTGTCTAGTTTTTCTATGAAGCTATTCCCTTTACTACCATAGGCCTCAAAGCGCTCCAAATCTCCACTTGCACATTCCACAACAAGAGTGTTTCCAAACTGCTCTATCAATAGGAATGTTCAACTCTGTGAGGTGAATGCAATCATCACAATGCAGTTTCTGAGAATGCTTCCGTTTAGTTAGGTGCAGTTATCCCGTTTCCAACGAAATCCTCAGAGAGGTCCAAATATCCACTTGTAGATTCTACAAAAAGTGTGTCTCAAACCTGCTCCATCCAAAGGAATGTTCAGCTCTGTGATTTAAACTCAATCATCACAAAGTATTTTCTGAGAATGCTTCTGTCTAGATTTTATGCGAAGATATACCCGTTTCGAACGAAGGCCACAGAGTGGTCCAAATATCCACTTGCAGATCCTACAAAAAGAGTGTTTCAAACCTGAACTATCAAAGGAAGGTTCAACTCTGGGATTTGAATGCAAACATCACCAAGAAGTTTCTGAGAATGCTTCTGTTTAGTTTTTATGTGAAGATATTCCCGTTTCCAAAGACATCTTCGGAGAGGTCCACATATCCACTTGCAGATTCCACAAAAAGAGAGTTTCAACACTGCTCTATCCATAGGAGGGTTCAACTCTGTGAGTTGAATGCAATCATCACAGAGAAGTTTCTGAGAAGGCTTCTCTCCAGTTTTTATGTGACCATAACTCGTTTTCCACCACAGGCCTGAAAGCGCTCCAAATGTCCACTTGTAGACACTACGAAAAGCATGTTTCAGAACTACTCTATGAAAAGCAATGTGAAACTCTGGGAGTTGAACACAAACATCACAGAGAAGTTTCTGAGAATGCTTCTGTTTAGCTTTCCTGTGAAGATTCTCCCGTTTCCAACGAAATCTTCAAAATAGGTCCAAATATCCACTTGCAGATTCCACACAAAGAGTGATTGGAAACTGCTCTTTGAAAAGGAACCTTCAACTCTGTGAGTTGAATGCAATCATCACAAAGAAGTTTCTGACAATGCTTCTATCTAGCTTTTACGGGAAGATAATTCCTTTTCCACCACAGGCCTCAAAGCCCTCCAAATGTCCACTTGCAGATTCTGGAAAAAGAGTGTTTCAAAGCTTCTCTCTCGAAAGGAAAGTTCAACTCTGTGAGTTGAATGCAAGCATCACAAAGAAGTTTCTGAGAATGCTACTGTCTAGCTTTTATATGAAGCTATTTCCTTTACTACCATAGGCCTCAAAGCGGTCCATATCTCCACTTGCAGATTCTACACAAAGAGAGTTTCCAAACTGCTCTGTCAAAGGGAATGTTCAACTACTGTGACTTGAATGCAATCATCACAAAGTAGTTTCTGAGAATGCTTCTGTTTAGTTCTGGGCGGTTTATCCCGTTTCCAACGAAATCCTCAGAGAGGCCCACATATCCACTTGCACATTCTACAAATAGTGTGTTTCGAAACTGCTCCATCCAAAGGAATGTTCAGCTCTGTGAGTTAAACTCAGTCGTCACCAAGAGTTTTCTGTGAAAGCTTCTGTTTTAGTTCTGTGCGGTTTATCCGGTTTCTAACGAAATCCTCAGAGAGGTCCAAATATCTACTTGCAGTTTCTACAGAAAGACCGTTTCAAACCTGAACTATCAAAGAAAGGTTCAACACTGTGAGTTGAATGCAAACATCACGAAGAAGGTTCTGAGAATGCTTCTGTTTTAGTTCTGTGCGGTTTATCCCGTTTCCAACGGAAATCCTCAGAGAGGACCAAACATCCACTTGCAGTTTCTACAAAAAGAGTGTTTCAAAGCTGCACTATCAAAGAAAGGTTCAGCACTGTGAGTTGAATGCAAACATCACGAAGAGGGCTCTGAGAATGCTTCTGTTTAGTTCTGTGCGGTTTATCCCGTTTCCAACGAAATCCTCAGAGAGGACCAAATATCCACTTGCAGTTTCTACAAGAAGAGTGTTTCAAAGCTGAACTATCAAAGAAAGGTTCAGCACTGTGAGTTGAATGCAAACATCACGAAGAGGGTTCTGAGAATGCTTCTGTCTTCTTTCTATAGGAAGTTATTTCCTTTACTACGGTAGGCCTCAAAGAAGTGCAATTATCCCCTTGCAGTTTCTACAAAAAGAGTGTTTCAAACCTGAACTATCAAAGAAAGGTTCCACACTGTGAGTTGAATGCAGACATCACGAAGAAGGTTCTGAGAATGCTTCTGTTTAGTCAGCTGAAATTATCCCGTTTCCAACGAATTCCTCAGAGAGGTCCAAATATGCACTTGCAGATTCTGCAGAAAGTGTGTTTCTAAACTGCTACATCGCAAGGAATGTTCAGCTCTGTGAGTTCCACTCAATCATCCCAAAGAATTTTCTGAGAAAGCTTCTGTCTAGATGTCATGTGACGATATACCCGTTTCGAACGAAGGACACAGAGTGGTCCAATTATCCACTTGTAGATCCTGCAAAAAGAGTGTTTCAAACGTGAACTTTGAAAGGAAAGTTCAACTCTGGGATTTGAATGCAAACATCACAAAGAAGATTCTGAGACTGCTTCTGTATAGTTTTTATGTGAAGATGATTCCGTTTCCAACGAAATCTTCAAAGAGGTCTACATGTCCCCTTGCAGATGCCACAGAAAGAGAGTTTCAAAACTGCGCTCTCAAAAGGAGTGTTCAACTCCGTGAGTTGAATGCAGTCATCACAGAGAAGCTTCTGAGAATGCTTCTATCTAGTATTTAGGTGAAGATATTTCCTTTTCCACCACAAACCACAAAGCCCTCCAAACGTCCACTTGCAGATTCTAGAAAAAGAGTGTTTCATAGCTGCTCTTTCCAAAGGAAAGTTCAACTCTGGGAGTTGAATACAAACATCACCAAAAAGTTCCTGAGAATGCATCTGTCTAGTTTTTCTATGAAGCTATTCCCTTTACTACCATAGGCCTCAAAGCGCTCCAAATCTCCACTTGCACATTCCACAACAAGAGTGTTTCCAAACTGCTCTATCAATAGGAATGTTCAACTCTGTGAGGTGAATGCAATCATCACAAAGCAGTTTCTGAGAATGCTTCCGTTTAGTTAGGTGCAGTTATCCCGTTTCCAACGAAATCCTCAGAGAGGTCCAAATATCCACTTGTAGATTCTACAAAAAGTGTGTCTCAAACCTGCTCCATCCAAAGGAATGGTCAGCTCTGTGATTTAAACTCAATCATCACAAAGTATTTTCTGAGAATGCTTCTGTCTAGATTTTATGCGAAGATATACCCGTTTCGAACGAAGGCCACAGAGTGGTCCAAATAGCCACTTGCAGATCCTACAGAAAGAGTGTTTCAAACCTGAACTATCAAAGGAAGGTTCAACTCTGGGATTTGAATGCAAACATCACCAAGAAGTTTCTGAGAATGCTTCTGTTTAGTTTTTATGTGAAGATATTCCCGTTTCCAAAGACATCTTCGGAGAGGTCCACATATCCACTTGCAGATTCCACAAAAAGAGAGTTTCAACACTGCTCTATCCATAGGAGGGTTCAACTCTGTGAGTTGAATGCAATCATCACAGAGAAGTTTCTGAGAAGGCTTCTCTCCAGTTTTTATGTGACCATAATTCGTTTTCCACCACAGGCCTGAAAGCGCTCCAAATGTCCACTTGCAGACACTACGAAAAGCATGTTTCAGAACTACTCTATGAAAAGCAACGTGAAACTCTGGGAGTTGAACACAAACATCACAGAGAAGTTTCTGAGAATGCTTCTGTTTTAGTTCTGTGCGTTTTATCCCGTTTCCAACGAAATCCTCAGAGAGGCCCAAATATCCACTTGCAGATTCCACAGAAAGAGTGATTGGAAACTGCTGTTTGAAAAGGAACCTTCAACTCTGTGAGTTGAATGCAATCATCACAAAGAAGTTTCTGACAATGCTTCTGTTTTAGTTCTGTGCGGTTTATCCCGTTTCCAACGAAATCCTCAGAGAGGACCAAACATCCACTTGCAGTTTCTACAAAAAGAGTGTTTCAAAGCTGCACTATCAAAGAAAGGTTCAGCACTGTGAGTTGAATGCAAACATCACGAAGAGGGCTCTGAGAATTCTTCTGTTTAGTTCTGTGCGGTTTATCCCGTTTCCAACGAAATCCTCAGAGAGGACCAAATATCCACTTGCAGTTTCTACAAGAAGAGTGTTTCAAAGCTGAACTATCAAAGAAAGGTTCAGCACTGTGAGTTGAATGCAAACATCACGAAGAGGGTTCTGAGAATGCTTCTGTCTTCTTTCTATAGGAAGTTATTTCCTTTACTACGGTAGGCCTCAAAGAAGTGCAATTATCCCCTTGCAGTTTCTACAAAAAGAGTGTTTCAAACCTGAACTATCAAAGAAAGGTTCCACACTGTGAGTTGAATGCAGACATCACGAAGAAGGTTCTGAGAATGCTTCTGTTTAGTCAGCTGAAATTATCCCGTTTCCAACGAATTCCTCAGAGAGGTCCAAATATGCACTTGCAGATTCTGCAGAAAGTGTGTTTCTAAACTGCTACATCGCAAGGAATGTTCAGCTCTGTGAGTTCCACTCAATCATCCCAAAGAATTTTCTGAGAAAGCTTCTGTCTAGATGTCGTGTGAAGATATACCCGTTTCGAACGAAGGACACAGAGTGGTCCAAATATCCACTTGTAGATCCTGCAAAAAGAGTGTTTCAAACGTGAACTTTGAAAGGAAAGTTCAACTCTGGGATTTGAATGCAAACATCACAAAGAAGATTCTGAGACTGCTTCTGTATAGTTTTTATGTGAAGATGATTCCGTTTCCAACGAAATCTTCAAAGAGGTCTACATGTCCCCTTGCAGATGCCACAGAAAGAGAGTTTCAAAACTGCGCTCTCAAAAGGAGTGTTCAACTCCGTGAGTTGAATGCAGTCATCACAGAGAAGCTTCTGAGAATGCTTCTATCTAGTATTTAGGTGAAGATATTTCCTTTTCCACCACAAACCACAAAGCCCTCCAAACGTCCACTTGCAGATTCTAGAAAAAGAGTGTTTCATAGCTGCTCTTTCCAAAGGAAAGTTCAACTCTGGGAGTTGAATACAAACATCACCAAAAAGTTCCTGAGAATGCATCTGTCTAGTTTTTCTATGAAGCTATTCCCTTTACTACCATAGGCCTCAAAGCGCTCCAAATCTCCACTTGCACATTCCACAACAAGAGTGTTTCCAAACTGCTCTATCAATAGGAATGTTCAACTCTGTGAGGTGAATGCAATCATCACAAAGCAGTTTCTGAGAATGCTTCCGTTTAGTTAGGTGCAGTTATCCCGTTTCCAACGAAATCCTCAGAGAGGTCCAAATATCCACTTGTAGATTCTACAAAAAGTGTGTCTCAAACCTGCTCCATCCAAAGGAATGGTCAGCTCTGTGATTTAAACTCAATCATCACAAAGTATTTTCTGAGAATGCTTCTGTCTAGATTTTATGCGAAGATATACCCGTTTCGAACGAAGGCCACAGAGTGGTCCAAATAGCCACTTGCAGATCCTACAGAAAGAGTGTTTCAAACCTGAACTATCAAAGGAAGGTTCAACTCTGGGATTTGAATGCAAACATCACCAAGAAGTTTCTGAGAATGCTTCTGTTTAGTTTTTATGTGAAGATATTCCCGTTTCCAAAGACATCTTCGGAGAGGTCCACATATCCACTTGCAGATTCCACAAAAAGAGAGTTTCAACACTGCTCTATCCATAGGAGGGTTCAACTCTGTGAGTTGAATGCAATCATCACAGAGAAGTTTCTGAGAAGGCTTCTCTCCAGTTTTTATGTGACCATAATTCGTTTTCCACCACAGGCCTGAAAGCGCTCCAAATGTCCACTTGCAGACACTACGAAAAGCATGTTTCAGAACTACTCTATGAAAAGCAACGTGAAACTCTGGGAGTTGAACACAAACATCACAGAGAAGTTTCTGAGAATGCTTCTGTTGAACTTTTCTGTGAAGATTCTCCCGTTTCCAACGAAATCTTCAAAGAGGTCGAAATATCCACTTGCAGATTCCACAGAAAGAGTGATTGGAAACTGCTGTTTGAAAAGGAACCTTCAACTCTGTGAGTTGAATGCAATCATCACAAAGAAGTTTCTGACAATGCTTCTATCTAGCTTTTACGGGAAGATAATTCCTTTTCCTCCACAGGCCTCAAAGCTCCCCAAATGTCCACTTGCACATTCTGGAAAAAGAGTGTTTCAAAGCTTCTCTCTCGAAAGGAAAGTTCAACTCTGTGAGTTGAATGCAAGCATCACAAAGAAGTTTCTGAGAATGCTACTGTCTAGCTTTTATATGAAGCTATTTCCTTTACTACCATAGGCCTCAAAGCGGTCCATATCTCCACTTGCAGATTCTACACAAAGAGAGTTTCCAAACTGCTCTGTCAAAGGGAATGTTCAACTCTGTGACTTGAATGCAATCATCACAAAGTAGTTTACTGAGAATGCTTCTGTTTAGTTCTGTGCGGTTTATCCCGTTTCCAACGAAATCCTCAGAGAGGCCCAAATATCCACTTGCACATTCTACAAATAGTGTGTTTCGAAACTGCTCCATCCAAAGGAATGTTCAGCTCTGTGAGTTAAACTCAGTCGTCACCAAGAGTTTTCTGTGAATGCTTCTGTTTTAGTTCTGTGCGGTTTATCCCGTTTCCAACGAAATCCTCAGAGAGGTCCAAATATCTACTTGCAGTTTCTACAGAAAGACCGTTTCAAACCTGAACTATCAAAGAAAGGTTCAACACTGTGAGTTGAATGCAAACATCACGAAGAAGGTTCTGAGAATGCTTCTGTTTAGTTCTGTGCGGTTTATCCCGTTTCCAACGAAATCCTCAGAGAGGACCAAATATCCACTTGCAGTTTCTACAAGAAGAGTGTTTCAAAGCTGAACTATCAAAGAAAGGTTCAGCACTGTGAGTTGAATGCAAACATCACGAAGAGGGTTCTGAGAATGCTTCTGTCTTCTTTCTATAGGAAGTTATTTCCTTTACTACGGTAGGCCTCAAAGAAGTGCCATTATCCCCTTGCAGTTTCTACAAAAAGAGTGTTTCAAACCTGAACTATCAAAGAAAGGTTCCACACTGTGAGTTGAATGCAGACATCACGAAGAAGGTTCTGAGAATGCTTCTGTTTAGTCAGCTGAAATTATCCCGTTTCCAACGAATTCCTCAGAGAGGTCCAAATATGCACTTGCAGATTCTGCAGAAAGTGTGTTTCTAAACTGCTACATCGCAAGGAATGTTCAGCTCTGTGAGTTCCACTCAATCATCCCAAAGAATTTTCTGAGAAAGCTTCTGTCTAGATGTCATGTGAAGATATACCCGTTTCGAACGAAGGACACAGAGTGGTCCAAATATCCACTTGTAGATCCTGCAAAAAGAGTGTTTCAAACGTGAACTTTGAAAGGGAAGTTCAACTCCGGGATTTGAATGCAAACATCACAAAGAAGATTCTGAGACTGCTTCTGTATAGTTTTTATGTGAAGATGATTCCGTTTCCAACGAAATCTTCAAAGAGGTCTACATGTCCCCTTGCAGATGCCACAGAAAGAGAGTTTCAAAACTGCGCTCTCAAAAGGAGTGTTCAACTCCGTGAGTTGAATGCAGTCATCACAGAGAAGCTTACTGAGAATGACTCTGTCTAGTATTTAGGTGAAGATATTTCCTTTTCCACCACAAACCACAAAGCCCTCCAAACGTCCACTTGCAGATTCTAGAAAAAGAGTGTTTCATAGCTGCTCTTTCCAAAGGAAAGTTCAACTCTGGGAGTTGAATACAAACATCACCAAAAAGTTCCTGAGAATGCATCTGTCTAGTTTTTCTATGAAGCTATTCCCTTTACTACCACAGGCCTCAAAGCGCTCCAAATCTCCACTTGCACATTCCACAACAAGAGTGTTTCCAAACTGCTCTATCAATAGGAATGTTCAACTCTGTGAGGTGAATGCAATCATCACAAAGCAGTTTCTGAGAATGCTTCCGTTTAGTTAGGTGCAGTTATCCCGTTTCCAACGAAATCCTCAGAGAGGTCCAAATATCCACTTGTAGATTCTACAAAAAGTGTGTCTCAAACCTGCTCCATCCAAAGGAATGGTCAGCTCTGTGATTTAAACTCAATCATCACAAAGTATTTTCTGAGAATGCTTCTGTCTAGATTTTATGCGAAGATATACCCGTTTCGAACGAAGGCCACAGAGTGGTCCAAATAGCCACTTGCAGATCCTACAGAAAGAGTGTTTCAAACCTGAACTATCAAAGGAAGGTTCAACTCTGGGATTTGAATGCAAACATCACCAAGAAGTTTCTGAGAATGCTTCTGTTTAGTTTTTATGTGAAGATATTCCCGTTTCCAAAGACATCTTCGGAGAGGTCCACATATCCACTTGCAGATTCCACAAAAAGAGAGTTTCAACACTGCTCTATCCATAGGAGGGTTCAACTCTGTGAGTTGAATGCAATCATCACAGAGAAGTTTCTGAGAAGGCTTCTCTCCAGTTTTTATGTGACCATAATTCGTTTTCCACCACAGGCCTGAAAGCGCTCCAAATGTCCACTTGCAGACACTACGAAAAGCATGTTTCAGAACTACTCTATGAAAAGCAACGTGAAACTCTGGGAGTTGAACACAAACATCACAGAGAAGTTTCTGAGAATGCTTCTGTTTTAGTTCTGTGCGTTTTATCCCGTTTCCAACGAAATCCTCAGAGAGGCCCAAATATCCACTTGCAGATTCCACAGAAAGAGTGATTGGAAACTGCTGTTTGAAAAGGAACCTTCAACTCTGTGAGTTGAATGCAATCATCACAAAGAAGTTTCTGACAATGCTTCTGTTTTAGTTCTGTGCGGTTTATCCCGTTTCCAACGAAATCCTCAGAGAGGACCAAACATCCACTTGCAGTTTCTACAAAAAGAGTGTTTCAAAGCTGCACTATCAAAGAAAGGTTCAGCACTGTGAGTTGAATGCAAACATCACGAAGAGGGCTCTGAGAATTCTTCTGTTTAGTTCTGTGCGGTTTATCCCGTTTCCAACGAAATCCTCAGAGAGGACCAAATATCCACTTGCAGTTTCTACAAGAAGAGTGTTTCAAAGCTGAACTATCAAAGAAAGGTTCAGCACTGTGAGTTGAATGCAAACATCACGAAGAGGGTTCTGAGAATGCTTCTGTCTTCTTTCTATAGGAAGTTATTTCCTTTACTACGGTAGGCCTCAAAGAAGTGCAATTATCCCCTTGCAGTTTCTACAAAAAGAGTGTTTCAAAGCTGAACTATCAAAGAAAGGTTCCACACTGTGAGTTGAATGCAGACATCACGAAGAAGGTTCTGTGAATGCTTCTGTTTAGTCAGCTGAAATTATCCCGTTTCCAACGAATTCCTCAGAGAGGTCCAAATATGCACTTGCAGATTCTGCAGAAAGTGTGTTTCTAAACTGCTACATCGCAAGGAATGTTCAGCTCTGTGAGTTCCACTCAATCATCCCAAAGAATTTTCTGAGAAAGCTTCTGTCTAGATGTCATGTGAAGATATACCCGTTTCGAACGAAGGACACAGAGTGGTCCAAATATCCACTTGTAGATCCTGCAAAAAGAGTGTTTCAAACGTGAACTTTGAAAGGAAAGTTCAACTCTGGGATTTGAATGCAAACATCACAAAGAAGATTCTGAGACTGCTTCTGTATAGTTTTTATGTGAAGATGATTCCGTTTCCAACGAAATCTTCAAAGAGGTCTACATGTCCCCTTGCGGATGCCACAGAAAGAGAGTTTCAAAACTGCGCTCTCAAAAGGAGTGTTCAACTCCGTGAGTTGAATGCAGTCATCACAGAGAAGCTTCTGAGAATGCTTCTCTCTAGTATTTAGGTGAAGATATTTCCTTTTCCACCACAAACCACAAAGCCCTCCAAACGTCCACTTGCAGATTCTAGAAAAAGAGTGTTTCATAGCTGCTCTTTCCAAAGGAAAGTTCAACTCTGGGAGTTGAATACAAACATCACCAAAAAGTTCCTGAGAATGCATCTGTCTAGTTTTTCTATGAAGCTATTCCCTTTACTACCATAGGCCTCAAAGCGCTCCAAATCTCCACTTGCACATTCCACAACAACAGTGTTTCCAAACTGCTCTATCAATAGGAATGTTCAACTCTGTAAGGTGAATGCAATCATCACAAAGGAGTTTCTGAGAATGCTTCCGTTTAGTTAGGTGCAGTTATCCCGTTTCCAACGAAATCCTCAGAGAGGTCCAAATATCCACTTGTAGATTCTACAAAAAGTGTGTCTCAAACCTGCTCCATCCAAAGGAATGTTCAGCTCTGTGAGTTCAACTCAATCATCACAAAGTATTTTCTGAGAATGCTTCTGTCTAGATTTTATGCGAAGATGTACCCGTTTCGAACGAAGGCCACAGAGTGGTCCAAATAGCTACTTGCAGATCCTACAAAAAGAGTGTTTCAAACCTGAACTATCAAAGGAAGGTTCAACTCTGGGATTTGAATGCAAACATCACCAAGAAGTTTCTGAGAATGCTTCTGTTTAGTTTTTATGTGAAGATATTCCCGTTTCCAAAGACATCTTCGGAGAGGTCCACATATCCACTTGCAGATTCCACAAAAAGAGAGTTTCAACACTGCTCTATCCAATAGGAGGGTTCAACTCAGTGAGTTGAATGCAATCATCACAGAGAAGTTTCTGAGAAGGCTTCTCTCCAGTTTTTATGTGACCATAATTCGTTTTCCACCACAGGCCTGAAAGCGCTCCAAATGTCCACTTGCAGACACTACGAAAAGCATGTTTCAGAACTACTCTATGAAAAGCAACGTGAAACTCTGGGAGTTGAACACAAACATCACAGAGAAGTTTCTGAGAATGCTTCTGTTTTAGTTCTGTGCGTTTTATCCCGTTTCCAACGAAATCCTCAGAGAGGCCCAAATATCCACTTGCAGATTCCACAGAAAGAGTGATTGGAAACTGCTGTTTGAAAAGGAACCTTCAACTCTGTGAGTTGAATGCAATCATCACAAAGAAGTTTCTGACAATGCTTCTGTTTTAGTTCTGTGCGGCTTATCCCGTTTCCAACGAAATCCTCAGAGAGGACCAAATATCCACTTGCAGTTTCTACAAAAAGAGTGTTTCAAAGCTGCACTATCAAAGAAAGGTTCAGCACTGTGAGTTGAATGCAAACATCACGAAGAGGGCTCTGAGAATTCTTCTGTTTAGTTCTGTGCGGTTTATCCCGTTTCCAACGAAATCCTCAGAGAGGACCAAATATCCACTTGCAGTTTCTACAAGAAGAGTGTTTCAAAGCTGAACTATCAAAGAAAGGTTCAGCACTGTGAGTTGAATGCAAACATCACGAAGAGGGTTCTGAGAATGCTTCTGTCTTCTTTCTATAGGAAGTTATTTCCTTTACTACGGTAGGCCTCAAAGAAGTGCAATTATCCCCTTGCAGTTTCTACAAAAAGAGTGTTTCAAACCTGAACTATCAAAGAAAGGTTCCACACTGTGAGTTGAATGCAGACATCACGAAGAAGGTTCTGAGAATGCTTCTGTTTAGTCAGCTGAAATTATCCCGTTTCCAACGAATTCCTCGGAGAGGTCCACATATGCACTTGCAGATTCTGCAGAAAGTGTGTTTCTAAACTGCTACATCGCAAGGAATGTTCAGCTCTGTGAGTTCCACTCAATCATCCCAAAGGATTTTCTGAGAAAGCTTCTGTCTAGATGTCCTGTGAAGATATACCCGTTTCGAACGAAGGACACAGAGTGGTCCAAATATCCACTTGTAGATCCTGCAAAAAGAGTGTTTCAAACGTGAACTTTGAAAGGAAAGTTCAACTCTGGGATTTGAATGCAAACATCACAAAGAAGATTCTGAGACTGCTTCTGTATAGTTTTTATGTGAAGATGATTCCGTTTCCAACGAAATCTTCAAAGAGGTCTACATGTCCCCTTGCAGATGCCACAGAAAGAGAGTTTCAAAACTGCGCTCTCAAAAGGAGTGTTCAACTCCGTGAGTTGAATGCAGTCATCACAGAGAAGCTTCTGAGAATGCTTCTATCTAGTATTTAGGTGAAGATATTTCCTTTTCCACCACAAACCACAAAGCCCTCCAAACGTCCACTTGCAGATTCTAGAAAAAGAGTGTTTCATAGCTGCTCTTTCCAAAGGAAAGTTCAACTCTGGGAGTTGAATACAAACATCACCAAAAAGTTCCTGAGAATGCATCTGTCTAGTTTTTCTATGAAGCTATTCCCTTTACTACCATAGGCCTCAAAGCGCTCCAAATCTCCACTTGCACATTCCACAACAAGAGTGTTTCCAAACTGCTCTATCAATAGGAATGTTCAACTCTGTGAGGTGAATGCAATCATCACAAAGCAGTTTCTGAGAATGCTTCCGTTTAGTTAGGTGCAGTTATCCCGTTTCCAACGAAATCCTCAGAGAGGTCCAAATATCCACTTGTAGATTCTACAAAAAGTGTGTCTCAAACCTGCTCCATCCAAAGGAATGGTCAGCTCTGTGATTTAAACTCAATCATCACAAAGTATTTTCTGAGAATGCTTCTGTCTAGATTTTATGCGAAGATATACCCGTTTCGAACGAAGGCCACAGAGTGGTCCAAATAGCCACTTGCAGATCCTACAGAAAGAGTGTTTCAAACCTGAACTATCAAAGGAAGGTTCAACTCTGGGATTTGAATGCAAACATCACCAAGAAGTTTCTGAGAATGCTTCTGTTTAGTTTTTATGTGAAGATATTCCCGTTTCCAAAGACATCTTCGGAGAGGTCCACATATCCACTTGCAGATTCCACAAAAAGAGAGTTTCAACACTGCTCTATCCATAGGAGGGTTCAACTCTGTGAGTTGAATGCAATCATCACAGAGAAGTTTCTGAGAAGGCTTCTCTCCAGTTTTTATGTGACCATAATTCGTTTTCCACCACAGGCCTGAAAGCGCTCCAAATGTCCACTTGCAGACACTACGAAAAGCATGTTTCAGAACTACTCTATGAAAAGCAACGTGAAACTCTGGGAGTTGAACACAAACATCACAGAGAAGTTTCTGAGAATGCTTCTGTTTTAGTTCTGTGCGTTTTATCCCGTTTCCAACGAAATCCTCAGAGAGGCCCAAATATCCACTTGCAGATTCCACAGAAAGAGTGATTGGAAACTGCTGTTTGAAAAGGAACCTTCAACTCTGTGAGTTGAATGCAATCATCACAAAGAAGTTTCTGACAATGCTTCTGTTTTAGTTCTGTGCGGTTTATCCCGTTTCCAACGAAATCCTCAGAGAGGACCAAACATCCACTTGCAGTTTCTACAAAAAGAGTGTTTCAAAGCTGCACTATCAAAGAAAGGTTCAGCACTGTGAGTTGAATGCAAACATCACGAAGAGGGCTCTGAGAATTCTTCTGTTTAGTTCTGTGCGGTTTATCCCGTTTCCAACGAAATCCTCAGAGAGGACCAAATATCCACTTGCAGTTTCTACAAGAAGAGTGTTTCAAAGCTGAACTATCAAAGAAAGGTTCAGCACTGTGAGTTGAATGCAAACATCACGAAGAGGGTTCTGAGAATGCTTCTGTCTTCTTTCTATAGGAAGTTATTTCCTTTACTACGGTAGGCCTCAAAGAAGTGCAATTATCCCCTTGCAGTTTCTACAAAAAGAGTGTTTCAAACCTGAACTATCAAAGAAAGGTTCCACACTGTGAGTTGAATGCAGACATCACGAAGAAGGTTCTGAGAATGCTTCTGTTTAGTCAGCTGAAATTATCCCGTTTCCAACGAATTCCTCAGAGAGGTCCAAATATGCACTTGCAGATTCTGCAGAAAGTGTGTTTCTAAACTGCTACATCGCAAGGAATGTTCAGCTCTGTGAGTTCCACTCAATCATCCCAAAGAATTTTCTGAGAAAGCTTCTGTCTAGATGTCGTGTGAAGATATACCCGTTTCGAACGAAGGACACAGAGTGGTCCAAATATCCACTTGTAGATCCTGCAAAAAGAGTGTTTCAAACGTGAACTTTGAAAGGAAAGTTCAACTCTGGGATTTGAATGCAAACATCACAAAGAAGATTCTGAGACTGCTTCTGTATAGTTTTTATGTGAAGATGATTCCGTTTCCAACGAAATCTTCAAAGAGGTCTACATGTCCCCTTGCAGATGCCACAGAAAGAGAGTTTCAAAACTGCGCTCTCAAAAGGAGTGTTCAACTCCGTGAGTTGAATGCAGTCATCACAGAGAAGCTTCTGAGAATGCTTCTATCTAGTATTTAGGTGAAGATATTTCCTTTTCCACCACAAACCACGAAGCCCTCCAAACGTCCACTTGCAGATTCTAGAAAAAGAGTGTTTCATAGCTGCTCTTTCCAAAGGAAAGTTCAAATCTGGGAGTTGAATACAAACATCACCAAAAAGTTCCTGAGAATGCATCTGTCTAGTTTTTCTATGAAGCTATTCCCTTTACTACCATAGGCCTCAAAGCGCTCCAAATCTCCACTTGCACATTCCACAACAAGAGTGTTTCCAAACTGCTCTATCAATAGGAATGTTCAACTCTGTGAGGTGAATGCAATCATCACAAAGCAGTTTCTGAGAATGCTTCCGTTTAGTTAGGTGCAGTTATCCCGTTTCCAACGAAATCCTCAGAGAGGTCCAAATATCCACTTGTAGATTCTACAAAAAGTGTGTCTCAAACCTGCTCCATCCAAAGGAATGTTCAGCTCTGTGATTTAAACTCAATCATCACAAAGTATTTTCTGAGAATGCTTCTGTCTAGATTTTATGCGAAGATATACCCGTTTCGAACGAAGGCCACAGAGTGGTCCAAATAGCCACTTGCAGATCCTACAGAAAGAGTGTTTCAAACCTGAACTATCAAAGGAAGGTTCAACTCTGGGATTTGAATGCAAACATCACCAAGAAGTTTCTGAGAATGCTTCTGTTTAGTTTTTATGTGAAGATATTCCCGTTTCCAAAGACATCTTCGGAGAGGTCCACATATCCACTTGCAGATTCCACAAAAAGAGAGTTTCAACACTGCTCTATCCATAGGAGGGTTCAACTCTGTGAGTTGAATGCAATCATCACAGAGAAGTTTCTGAGAAGGCTTCTCTCCAGTTTTTATGTGACCATAATTCGTTTTCCACCACAGGCCTGAAAGCGCTCCAAATGTCCACTTGCAGACACTACGAAAAGCATGTTTCAGAACTACTCTATGAAAAGCAACGTGAAACTCTGGGAGTTGAACACAAACATCACAGAGAAGTTTCTGAGAATGCTTCTGTTTTAGTTCTGTGCGTTTTATCCCGTTTCCAACGAAATCCTCAGAGAGGCCCAAATATCCACTTGCAGATTCCACAGAAAGAGTGATTGGAAACTGCTGTTTGAAAAGGAACCTTCAACTCTGTGAGTTGAATGCAATCATCACAAAGAAGTTTCTGACAATGCTTCTGTTTTAGTTCTGTGCGGTTTATCCCGTTTCCAACGAAATCCTCAGAGAGGACCAAACATCCACTTGCAGTTTCTACAAAAAGAGTGTTTCAAAGCTGCACTATCAAAGAAAGGTTCAGCACTGTGAGTTGAATGCAAACATCACGAAGAGGGCTCTGAGAATTCTTCTGTTTAGTTCTGTGCGGTTTATCCCGTTTCCAACGAAATCCTCAGAGAGGACCAAATATCCACTTGCAGTTTCTACAAGAAGAGTGTTTCAAAGCTGAACTATCAAAGAAAGGTTCAGCACTGTGAGTTGAATGCAAACATCACGAAGAGGGTTCTGAGAATGCTTCTGTCTTCTTTCTATAGGAAGTTATTTCCTTTACTACGGTAGGCCTCAAAGAAGTGCAATTATCCCCTTGCAGTTTCTACAAAAAGAGTGTTTCAAACCTGAACTATCAAAGAAAGGTTCCACACTGTGAGTTGAATGCAGACATCACGAAGAAGGTTCTGAGAATGCTTCTGTTTAGTCAGCTGAAATTATCCCGTTTCCAACGAATTCCTCAGAGAGGTCCAAATATGCACTTGCAGATTCTGCAGAAAGTGTGTTTCTAAACTGCTACATCGCAAGGAATGTTCAGCTCTGTGAGTTCCACTCAATCATCCCAAAGAATTTTCTGAGAAAGCTTCTGTCTAGATGTCATGTGAAGATATACCCGTTTCGATCGAAGGACACAGAGTGGTCCAAATATCCACTTGTAGATCCTGCAAAAAGAGTGTTTCAAACGTGAACTTTGAAAGGAAAGTTCAACTCGGGGATTTGAATGCAAACATCACAAAGAAGATTCTGAGACTGCTTCTGTGTAGTTTTTATGTGAAGATGATTCCGTTTCCAACGAAATCTTCAAAGAGGTCTACATGTCCCCTTGCAGATGCCACAGAAAGAGAGTTTCAAAACTGCGCTCTCAAAAGGAGTGTTCAACTCCGTGAGTTGAATGCAGTCATCACAGAGAAGCTTCTGAGGATGCTTCTATCTAGTATTTAGGTGAAGATATTTCCTTTTCCACCACAAACCACAAAGCCCTCCAAACGTCCACTTGCAGATTCTAGAAAAACAGTGTTTCATAGCTGCTCTTTCCAAAGGAAAGTTCAACTCTGGGAGTTGAATACAAACATCACCAAAAAGTTCCTGAGAATGCATCTGTCTAGTTTTTCTATGAAGCTATTCCCTTTACTACCATAGGCCTCAAAGCGCTCCAAATCTCCACTTGCACATTCCACAACAAGAGTGTTTCCAAACTGCTCTATCAATAGGAATGTTCAACTCTGTGTGGTGAATGCAATCATCACAAAGCAGTTTCTGAGAATGCTTCCGTTTAGTTAGGTGCAGTTATCCCGTTTCCAACGAAATCCTCAGAGAGGTCCAAATATCCACTTGTAGATTCTACAAAAAGTGTGTCTCAAACCTGCTCCATCCAAAGGAATGTTCAGCTCTGTGAGTTAAACTCAATCATCACAAAGTATTTTCTGAGAATGCTTCTGTCTAGATTTTATGCGAAGATATACCCGTTTCGAACGAAGGCCACAGAGTGGTCCAAATATCCACTTGCAGATCCTACAAAAAGAGTGTTTCAAACCTGAACTATCAAAGGAAGGTTCGACTCTGGGATTTGAATGCAAACATCACCAAGAAGTTTCTGAGAATGCTTCTGTTTAGTTTTTATGTGAAGATATTCCCGTTTCCAAAGACATCTTCGGAGAGGTCCACATATCCACTTGCAGATTCCACAAAAAGAGAGTTTCAACACTGCTCTATCCATAGGAGGGTTCAACTCTGTGAGTTGAATGCAATCATCACAGAGAAGTTTCTGAGAAGGCTTCTCTCCAGTTTTTATGTGACCATAATTCGTTTTCCACCACAGGCCTGAAAGCGCTCCAAATGTCCACTTGTAGACACTACGAAAAGCATGTTTCAGAACTACTCTATGAAAAGCAATGTGAAACTCTGGGAGTTGAACACAAACATCACAGAGAAGTTTCTGAGAATGCTTCTGTTTAGCTTTCCTGTGAAGATTCTCCCGTTTCCAACGAAATCTTCAAAATAGGTCCAAATGTCCACTTGCAGATTCCACACAAAGAGTGATTGGAAACTGCTCTTTGAAAAGGAACCTTCAACTCTGTGAGTTGAATGCAATCATCACAAAGAAGTTTCTGACAATGCTTCTATCTAGCTTTTACGGGAAGATAATTCCTTTTCCACCACAGGCCTCAAAGCCCTCCAAATGTCCACTTGCAGATTCTGGAAAAAGAGTGTTTCAAAGCTTCTCTCTCGAAAGGAAAGTTCAACTCTGTGAGTTGAATGCAAGCATCACAAAGAAGTTTCTGAGAATGCTACTGTCTAGCTTTTATATGAAGCTATTTCCTTTACTACCATAGGCCTCAAAGCGGTCCATATCTCCACTTGCAGATTCTACACAAAGAGAGTTTCCAAACTGCTCTGTCAAAGGGAATGTTCAACTCTGTGACTTGAATGCAATCATCACAAAGTAGTTTCTGAGAATGCTTCTGTTTAGTTCTGTGCGGTTTATCCCGTTTCCAACGAAATCCTCAGAGAGGCCCAAATATCCACTTGCACATTCTACAAATAGTGTGTTTCGAAACTGCTCCATCCAAAGGAATGTTCAGCTACTGTGAGTTAAACTCAGTCGTCACCAAGAGTTTTCTGTGAATGCTTCTGTTTTAGTTCTGTGCGGGTTATCCCGTTTCCAACGAAATCCTCAGAGAGGTCCAAATATCTACTTGCAGTTTCTACAGAAAGACCGTTTCAAACCTGAACTATCAAAGAAAGGTTCAACACTGTGAGTTGAATGCAAACATCACGAAGAAGGTTCTGAGAATGCTTCTGTTTAGTTCTGTGCGGTTTATCCCGTTTCCAACGAAATCCTCAGAGAGGACCAAATATCCACTTGCAGTTTCTACAAGAAGAGTGTTTCAAAGCTGAACTATCAAAGAAAGGTTCAGCACT
Source organism: Homo sapiens (assembly GCF_000001405.40). Lineage (NCBI taxonomy): Eukaryota > Metazoa > Chordata > Mammalia > Primates > Hominidae > Homo > Homo sapiens. Next base: position 23,523,196 of record NC_000017.11, on the reverse strand, counting down.
GTGAGTTGAATGCAAACATCACGAAGAGGGTTCTGAGAATGCTTCTGTCTTCTTTCTATAGGAAGTTATTTCCTTTACTACGGTAGGCCTCAAAGAAGTGCAATTATCCCCTTGCAGTTTCTACAAAAAGAGTGTTTCAAACCTGAACTATCAAAGAAAGGTTCCACACTGTGAGTTGAATGCAGACATCACGAAGAAGGTTCTGAGAATGCTTCTGTTTAGTCAGCTGAATTTTCGCGTTTCCAACGAATTCCTCAGAGAGGTCCAAATATGCACTTGCAGATTCTACAGAAAGTGTGTTTCTAAACTGCTCCATCGCAAGGAATGTTCAGCTCTGTGAGTTCAACTCAATCATCCCAAAGAATTTTCTGAGAAAGCTTCTGTCTAGATGTCGTGTGAAGATATACCCGTTTCGAACGAAGGACACAGGAGTGGTCCAAATATCCACTTGTAGATCCTGCAAAAAGAGTGTTTCAAACGTGAACTTTGAAAGGAAAGTTCAACTCTGGGATTTGAATGCAAACATCACAAAGAAGATTCTGAGACTGCTCTGTATAGTTTTTATGTGAAGATGATTCCGTTTCCAACGAAATCTTCAAAGAGGTCTACATGTCCCCTTGCAGATGCCACAGAAAGAGAGTTTCAAAACTGCGCTCTCAAAAGGAGTGTTCAACTCCGTGAGTTGAATGCAGTCATCACAGAGAAGCTTCTGAGAATGCTTTCTATCTAGTATTTAGGTGAAGATATTTCCTTTTCCACCACAAACCACAAAGCCCTCCAAACGTCCACTTGCAGATTCTAGAAAAAGAGTGTTTCATAGCTGCTCTTTCCAAAGGAAAGTTCAACTCTGGGAGTTGAATACAAACATCACCAAAAAGTTCCTGAGAATGCATCTGTCTAGTTTTTCTATGAAGCTATTCCCTTTACTACCATAGGCCTCAAAGCGCTCCAAATCTCCACTTGCACATTCCACAACAAGAGTGTTTCCAAACTGCTCTATCAATAGGAATGTTCAACTCTGTGAGGTGAATGCAATCATCACAAAGCAGTTTCTGAGAATGCTTCCGTTTAGTTAGGTGCAGTTATCCCGTTTCCAACGAAATCCTCAGAGAGGTCCAAATATCCACTTGTAGATTCTACAAAAAGTGTGTCTCAAACCTGCTCCATCCAAAGGAATGGTCAGCTCTGTGATTTAAACTCAATCATCACAAAGTATTTTCTGAGAATGCTTCTGTCTAGATTTTATGCGAAGATATACCCGTTTCGAACGAAGGCCACAGAGTGGTCCAAATAGCCACTTGCAGATCCTACAGAAAGAGTGTTTCAAACCTGAACTATCAAAGGAAGGTTCAACTCTGGGATTTGAATGCAAACATCACCAAGAAGTTTCTGAGAATGCTTCTGTTTAGTTTTTATGTGAAGATATTCCCGTTTCCAAAGACATCTTCGGAGAGGTCCACATATCCACTTGCAGATTCCACAAAAAGAGAGTTTCAACACTGCTCTATCCATAGGAGGGTTCAACTCTGTGAGTTGAATGCAATCATCACAGAGAAGTTTCTGAGAAGGCTTCTCTCCAGTTTTTATGTGACCATAATTCGTTTTCCACCACAGGCCTGAAAGCGCTCCAAATGTCCACTTGCAGACACTACGAAAAGCATGTTTCAGAACTACTCTATGAAAAGCAACGTGAAACTCTGGGAGTTGAACACAAACATCACAGAGAAGTTTCTGAGAATGCTTCTGTTTTAGTTCTGTGCGTTTTATCCCGTTTCCAACGAAATCCTCAGAGAGGCCCAAATATCCACTTGCAGATTCCACAGAAAGAGTGATTGGAAACTGCTGTTTGAAAAGGAACCTTCAACTCTGTGAGTTGAATGCAATCATCACAAAGAAGTTTCTGACAATGCTTCTGTTTTAGTTCTGTGCGGTTTATCCCGTTTCCAACGAAATCCTCAGAGAGGACCAAACATCCACTTGCAGTTTCTACAAAAAGAGTGTTTCAAAGCTGCACTATCAAAGAAAGGTTCAGCACTGTGAGTTGAATGCAAACATCACGAAGAGGGCTCTGAGAATTCTTCTGTTTAGTTCTGTGCGGTTTATCCCGTTTCCAACGAAATCCTCAGAGAGGACCAAATATCCACTTGCAGTTTCTACAAGAAGAGTGTTTCAAAGCTGAACTATCAAAGAAAGGTTCAGCACTGTGAGTTGAATGCAAACATCACGAAGAGGGTTCTGAGAATGCTTCTGTCTTCTTTCTATAGGAAGTTATTTCCTTTACTACGGTAGGCCTCAAAGAAGTGCAATTATCCCCTTGCAGTTTCTACAAAAAGAGTGTTTCAAACCTGAACTATCAAAGAAAGGTTCCACACTGTGAGTTGAATGCAGACATCACGAAGAAGGTTCTGAGAATGCTTCTGTTTAGTCAGCTGAAATTATCCCGTTTCCAACGAATTCCTCAGAGAGGTCCAAATATGCACTTGCAGATTCTGCAGAAAGTGTGTTTCTAAACTGCTACATCGCAAGGAATGTTCAGCTCTGTGAGTTCCACTCAATCATCCCAAAGAATTTTCTGAGAAAGCTTCTGTCTAGATGTCGTGTGAAGTTATACCCGTTTCGAACGAAGGACACAGAGTGGTCCAAATATCCACTTGTAGATCCTGCAAAAAGAGTGTTTCAAACGTGAACTTTGAAAGGAAAGTTCAACTCCTGGGATTTGAATGCAAACATCACAAAGAAGATTCTGAGACTGCTTCTGTATAGTTTTTATGTGAAGATGATTCCGTTTCCAACGAAATCTTCAAAGAGGTCTACATGTCCCCTTGCAGATGCCACAGAAAGAGAGTTTCAAAACTGCGCTCTCAAAAGGAGTGTTCAACTCCGTGAGTTGAATGCAGTCATCACAGAGGAGCTTCTGAGAATGCTTCTATCTAGTATTTAGGTGAAGATATTTCCTTTTCCACCACAAACCACAAAGCCCTCCAAACGTCCACTTGCAGATTCTAGAAAAAGAGTGTTTCATAGCTGCTCTTTCCAAAGGAAAGTTCAACTCTGGGAGTTGAATACAAACATCACCAAAAAGTTCCTGAGAATGCATCTGTCTAGTTTTTCTATGAAGCTATTCCCTTTACTACCATAGGCCTCAAAGCGCTCCAAATCTCCACTTGCACATTCCACAACAAGAGTGTTTCCAAACTGCTCTATCAATAGGAATGTTCAACTCTGTGAGGTGAATGCAATCATCACAAAGCAGTTTCTGAGAATGCCTCCGTTTAGTTAGGTGCAGTTATCCCGTTTCCAACGAAATCCTCAGAGAGGTCCAAATATCCACTTGTAGATTCTACAAAAAGTGTGTCTCAAACCTGCTCCATCCAAAGGAATGGTCAGCTCTGTGATTTAAACTCAATCATCACAAAGTATTTTCTGAGAATGCTTCTGTCTAGATTTTATGCGAAGATATACCCGTTTCGAACGAAGGCCACAGAGTGGTCCAAATAGCCACTTGCAGATCCTACAGAAAGAGTGTTTCAAACCTGAACTATCAAAGGAAGGTTCAACTCTGGGATTTGAATGCAAACATCACCAAGAAGTTTCTGAGAATGCTTCTGTTTAGTTTTTATGTGAAGATATTCCCGTTTCCAAAGACATCTTCGGAGAGGTCCACATATCCACTTGCAGATTCCACAAAAAGAGAGTTTCAACACTGCTCTATCCATAGGAGGGTTCAACTCTGTGAGTTGAATGCAATCATCACAGAGAAGTTTCTGAGAAGGCTTCTCTCCAGTTTTTATGTGACCATAATTCGTTTTCCACCACAGGCCTGAAAGCGCTCCAAATGTCCACTTGCAGACACTACGAAAAGCATGTTTCAGAACTAGTCTATGAAAAGCAACGTGAAACTCTGGGAGTTGAACACAAACATCACAGAGAAGTTTCTGAGAATGCTTCTGTTTAGCTTTTCTGTGAAGATTCTCCCGTTTCCAACGAAATCTTCAAAGAGGTCGAAATATCCACTTGCAGATTCCACAGAAAGAGTGATTGGAAACTGCTGTTTGAAAAGGAACCTTCAACTCTGTGAGTTGAATGCAATCATCACAAAGAAGTTTCTGACAATGCTTCTATCTAGCTTTTACGGGAAGATAATTCCTTTTCCACCACAGGCCTCAAAGCTCCCCAAATGTCCACTTGCACATTCTGGAAAAAGAGTGTTTCAAAGCTTCTCTCTCGAAAGGAAAGTTCAACTCTGTGAGTTGAATGCAAGCATCACAAAGAAGTTTCTGAGAATGCTACTGTCTAGCTTTTATATGAAGCTATTTCCTTTACTACCATAGGCCTCAAAGCGGTCCATATCTCCACTTGCAGATTCTACACAAAGAGAGTTTCCAAACTGTTCTGTCAAAGGGAATGTTCAACTCTGTGACTTGAATGCAATCATCACAAAGTAGTTTCTGAGAATGCTTCTGTTTTAGTTCTATGCGTTTTATCCCGTTTCCAACGAAATCCTCAGAGAGGCCCAAATATCCACTTGCAGATTCTACAAATAGTGTGTTTCGAAACTGCTCCATCCAAAGGAATGTTCAGCTCTGTGAGTTAAACTCAGTCGTCACCAAGAGTTTTCTGTGAATGCTTCTGTTTTAGTTCTGTGCGGTTTATCCCGTTTCCAACGAAATCCTCAGAGAGGACCAAATATCCACTTGCAGTTTCTACAAAAAGAGTGTTTCAAAGCTGCACTATCAAAGAAAGGTTCAGCACTGTGAGTTGAATGCAAACACCACGAAGAGGGCTCTGAGAATTCTTCTGTTTAGTTCTGTGCGGTTTATCCCGTTTCCAACGAAATCCTCAGAGAGGACCAAATATCCACTTGCAGTTTCTACAAGAAGAGTGTTTCAAAGCTGAACTATCAAAGAAAGGTTCAGCACTGTGAGTTGAATGCAAACATCACGAAGAGGGTTCTGAGAATGCTTCTGTCTTCTTTCTATAGGAAGTTATTTCCTTTACTACGGTAGGCCTCAAAGAAGTGCAATTATCCCCTTGCAGTTTCTACAAAAAGAGTGTTTCAAACCTGAACTATCAAAGAAAGGTTCCACACTGTGAGTTGAATGCAGACATCACGAAGAAGGTTCTGAGAATGCTTCTGTTTAGTCAGCTGAAATTATCCCGTTTCCAACGAATTCCTCAGAGAGGTCCAAATATGCACTTGCAGATTCTGCAGAAAGTGTGTTTCTAAACTGCTACATCGCAAGGAATGTTCAGCTCTGTGAGTTCCACTCAATCATCCCAAAGAATTTTCTGAGAAAGCTTCTGTCTAGATGTCGTGTGAAGATATACCCGTTTCGAACGAAGGACACAGAGTGGTCCAAATATCCACTTGTAGATCCTGCAAAAAGAGTGTTTCAAACGTGAACTTTGAAAGGAAAGTTCAACTCTGGGATTTGAATGCAAACATCACAAAGAAGATTCTGAGACTGCTTCTGTATAGTTTTTATGTGAAGATGATTCCGTTTCCAACGAAATCTTCAAAGAGGTCTACATGTCCCCTTGCAGATGCCACAGAAAGAGAGTTTCAAAACTGCGCTCTCAAAAGGAGTGTTCAACTCCGTGAGTTGAATGCAGTCATCACAGAGAAGCTTCTGAGAATGCTTCTATCTAGTATTTAGGTGAAGATATTTCCTTTTCCACCACAAACCACAAAGCCCTCCAAACGTCCACTTGCAGATTCTAGAAAAAGAGTGTTTCATAGCTGCTCTTTCCAAAGGAAAGTTCAACTCTGGGAGTTGAATACAAACATCACCAAAAAGTTCCTGAGAATGCATCTGTCTAGTTTTTCTATGAAGCTATTCCCTTTACTACCATAGGCCTCAAAGCGCTCCAAATCTCCACTTGCACATTCCACAACAAGAGTGTTTCCAAACTGCTCTATCAATAGGAATGTTCAACTCTGTGAGGTGAATGCAATCATCACAAAGCAGTTTCTGAGAATGCTTCCGTTTAGTTAGGTGCAGTTATCCCGTTTCCAACGAAATCCTCAGAGAGGTCCAAATATCCACTTGTAGATTCTACAAAAAGTGTGTCTCAAACCTGCTCCATCCAAAGGAATGGTCAGCTCTGTGATTTAAACTCAATCATCACAAAGTATTTTCCTGAGAATGCTTCTGTCTAGATTTTATGCGAAGATATACCCGTTTCGAACGAAGGCCACAGAGTGGTCCAAATAGCCACTTGCAGATCCTACAGAAAGAGTGTTTCAAACCTGAACTATCAAAGGAAGGTTCAACTCTGGGATTTGAATGCAAACATCACCAAGAAGTTTCTGAGAATGCTTCTGTTTAGTTTTTATGTGAAGATATTCCCGTTTCCAAAGACATCTTCGGAGAGGTCCACATATCCACTTGCAGATTCCACAAAAAGAGAGTTTCAACACTGCTCTATCCATAGGAGGGTTCAACTCTGTGAGTTGAATGCAATCATCACAGAGAAGTTTCTGAGAAGGCTTCTCTCCAGTTTTTATGTGACCATAATTCGTTTTCCACCACAGGCCTGAAAGCGCTCCAAATGTCCACTTGCAGACACTACGAAAAGCATGTTTCAGAACTACTCTATGAAAAGCAACGTGAAACTCTGGGAGTTGAACACAAACATCACAGAGAAGTTTCTGAGAATGCTTCTGTTTTAGTTCTGTGCGTTTTATCCCGTTTCCAACGAAATCCTCAGAGAGGCCCAAATATCCACTTGCAGATTCCACAGAAAGAGTGATTGGAAACTGCTGTTTGAAAAGGAACCTTCAACTCTGTGAGTTGAATGCAATCATCACAAAGAAGTTTCTGACAATGCTTCTGTTTTAGTTCTGTGCGGTTTATCCCGTTTCCAACGAAATCCTCAGAGAGGACCAAACATCCACTTGCAGTTTCTACAAAAAGAGTGTTTCAAAGCTGCACTATCAAAGAAAGGTTCAGCACTGTGAGTTGAATGCAAACATCACGAAGAGGGCTCTGAGAATTCTTCTGTTTAGTTCTGTGCGGTTTATCCCGTTTCCAACGAAATCCTCAGAGAGGACCAAATATCCACTTGCAGTTTCTACAAGAAGAGTGTTTCAAAGCTGAACTATCAAAGAAAGGTTCAGCACTGTGAGTTGAATGCAAACATCACGAAGAGGGTTCTGAGAATGCTTCTGTCTTCTTTCTATAGGAAGTTATTTCCTTTACTACGGTAGGCCTCAAAGAAGTGCAATTATCCCCTTGCAGTTTCTACAAAAAGAGTGTTTCAAACCTGAACTATCAAAGAAAGGTTCCACACTGTGAGTTGAATGCAGACATCACGAAGAAGGTTCTGAGAATGCTTCTGTTTAGTCAGCTGAAATTATCCCGTTTCCAACGAATTCCTCAGAGAGGTCCAAATATGCACTTGCAGATTCTGCAGAAAGTGTGTTTCTAAACTGCTACATCGCAAGGAATGTTCAGCTCTGTGAGTTCCACTCAATCATCCCAAAGAATTTTCTGAGAAAGCTTCTGTCTAGATGTCGTGTGAAGATATACCCGTTTCGAACGAAGGACACAGAGTGGTCCAAATATCCACTTGTAGATCCTGCAAAAAGAGTGTTTCAAACGTGAACTTTGAAAGGAAAGTTCAACTCTGGGATTTGAATGCAAACATCACAAAGAAGATTCTGAGACTGCTTCTGTATAGTTTTTATGTGAAGATGATTCCGTTTCCAACGAAATCTTCAAAGAGGTCTACATGTCCCCTTGCAGATGCCACAGAAAGAGAGTTTCAAAACTGCGCTCTCAAAAGGAGTGTTCAACTCCGTGAGTTGAATGCAGTCATCACAGAGAAGCTTCTGAGAATGCTTCTATCTAGTATTTAGGTGAAGATATTTCCTTTTCCACCACAAACCACAAAGCCCTCCAAACGTCCACTTGCAGATTCTAGAAAAAGAGTGTTTCATAGCTGCTCTTTCCAAAGGAAAGTTCAACTCTGGGAGTTGAATACAAACATCACCAAAAAGTTCCTGAGAATGCATCTGTCTAGTTTTTCTATGAAGCTATTCCCTTTACTACCATAGACCTCAAAGCGCTCCAAATCTCCACTTGCACATTCCACAACAAGAGTGTTTCCAAACTGCTCTATCAATAGGAATGTTCAACTCTGTGAGGTGAATGCAATCATCACAAAGCAGTTTCTGAGAATGCTTCCGTTTAGTTAGGTGCAGTTATCCCGTTTCCAACGAAATCCTCAGAGAGGTCCAAATATCCACTTGTAGATTCTACAAAAAGTGTGTCTCAAACCTGCTCCATCCAAAGGAATGTTCAGCTCTGTGATTTTAACTCAATCATCACAAAGTATTTTCTGAGAATGCTTCTGTCTAGATTTTATGCGAAGATATACCCGTTTCGAACGAAGGCCACAGAGTGGTCCAAATAGCCAATTGCAGATCCTACAAAAAGAGTGTTTCAAACCTGAACTATCAAAGGAAGGTTCAACTCTGGGATTTGAATGCAAACATCACCAAGAAGTTTCTGAGAATGCTTCTGTTTAGTTTTTATGTGAAGATATTCCCGTTTCCAAAGACATCTTCGGAGAGGTCCACATATCCACTTGCAGATTCCACAAAAAGAGAGTTTCAACACTGCTCTATCCATAGGAGGGTTCAACTCTGTGAGTTGAATGCAATCATCACAGAGAAGTTTCTGAGAAGGCTTCTCTCCAGTTTTTATGTGACCATAATTCGTTTTCCACCACAGGCCTGAAAGCGCTCCAAATGTCCACTTGCAGACACTACGAAAAGCATGTTTCAGAACTACTCTATGAAAAGCAACGTGAAACTCTGGGAGTTGAACACAAACATCACAGAGAAGTTTCTGAGAATGCTTCTGTTTTAGTTCTGTGCGTTTTATCCCGTTTCCAACGAAATCCTCAGAGAGGCCCAAATATCCACTTGCAGATTCCACAGAAAGAGTGATTGGAAACTGCTGTTTGAAAAGGAACCTTCAACTCTGTGAGTTGAATGCAATCATCACAAAGAAGTTTCTGACAATGCTTCTGTTTTAGTTCTGTGCGGTTTATCCCGTTTCCAACGAAATCCTCAGAGAGGACCAAACATCCACTTGCAGTTTCTACAAAAAGAGTGTTTCAAAGCTGCACTATCAAAGAAAAGTTCAGCACTGTGAGTTGAATGCAAACATCACGAAGAGGGCTCTGAGAATTCTTCTGTTTAGTTCTGTGCGGTTTATCCCGTTTCCAACGAAATCCTCAGAGAGGACCAAATATCCACTTGCAGTTTCTACAAGAAGAGTGTTTCAAAGCTGAACTATCAAAGAAAGGTTCAGCACTGTGAGTTGAATGCAAACATCACGAAGAGGATTCTGAGAATGCTTCTGTCTTCTTTCTATAGGAAGTTATTTCCTTTACTACGGTAGGCCTCAAAGAAGTGCAATTATCCCCTTGCAGTTTCTACAAAAAGAGTGTTTCAAACCTGAACTATCAAAGAAAGGTTCCACACTGTGAGTTGAATGCAGACATCACGAAGAAGGTTCTGAGAATGCTTCTGTTTAGTCAGCTGAAATTATCCCGTTTCCAACGAATTCCTCAGAGAGGTCCAAATATGCACTTGCAGATTCTGCAGAAAGTGTGTTTCTAAACTGCTACATCGCAAGGAATGTTCAGCTCTGTGAGTTCCACTCAATCATCCCAAAGAATTTTCTGAGAAAGCTTCTGTCTAGATGTCGTGTGAAGTTATACCCGTTTCGAACGAAGGACACAGAGTGGTCCAAATATCCACTTGTAGATCCTGCAAAAAGAGTGTTTCAAACGTGAACTTTGAAAGGAAAGTTCAACTCCTGGGATTTGAATGCAAACATCACAAAGAAGATTCTGAGACTGCTTCTGTATAGTTTTTATGTGAAGATGATTCCGTTTCCAACGAAATCTTCAAAGAGGTCTACATGTCCCCTTGCAGATGCCACAGAAAGAGAGTTTCAAAACTGCGCTCTCAAAAGGAGTGTTCAACTCCGTGAGTTGAATGCAGTCATCACAGAGAAGCTTCTGAGAATGCTTCTATCTAGTATTTAGGTGAAGATATTTCCTTTTCCACCACAAACCACAAAGCCCTCCAAACGTCCACTTGCAGATTCTAGAAAAAGAGTGTTTCATAGCTGCTCTTTCCAAAGGAAAGTTCAACTCTGGGAGTTGAATACAAACATCACCAAAAAGTTCCTGAGAATGCATCTGTCTAGTTTTTCTATGAAGCTATTCCCTTTACTACCACAGGCCTCAAAGCGCTCCAAATCTCCACTTGCACATTCCACAACAAGAGTGTTTCCAAACTGCTCTATCAATAGGAATGTTCAACTCTGTGAGGTGAATGCAATCATCACAAAGCAGTTTCTGAGAATGCTTCCGTTTAGTTAGGTGCAGTTATCCCGTTTCCAACGAAATCCTCAGAGAGGTCCAAATATCCACTTGTAGATTCTACAAAAAGTGTGTCTCAAACCTGCTCCATCCAAAGGAATGGTCAGCTCTGTGATTTAAACTCAATCATCACAAAGTATTTTCTGAGAATGCTTCTGTCTAGATTTTATGCGAAGATATACCCGTTTCGAACGAAGGCCACAGAGTGGTCCAAATAGCCACTTGCAGATCCTACAGAAAGAGTGTTTCAAACCTGAACTATCAAAGGAAGGTTCAACTCTGGGATTTGAATGCAAACATCACCAAGAAGTTTCTGAGAATGCTTCTGTTTAGTTTTTATGTGAAGATATTCCCGTTTCCAAAGACATCTTCGGAGAGGTCCACATATCCACTTGCAGATTCCACAAAAAGAGAGTTTCAACACTGCTCTATCCATAGGAGGGTTCAACTCTGTGAGTTGAATGCAATCATCACAGAGAAGTTTCTGAGAAGGCTTCTCTCCAGTTTTTATGTGACCATAATTCGTTTTCCACCACAGGCCTGAAAGCGCTCCAAATGTCCACTTGCAGACACTACGAAAAGCATGTTTCAGAACTACTCTATGAAAAGCAACGTGAAACTCTGGGAGTTGAACACAAACATCACAGAGAAGTTTCTGAGAATGCTTCTGTTTTAGTTCTGTGCGTTTTATCCCGTTTCCAACGAAATCCTCAGAGAGGCCCAAATATCCACTTGCAGATTCCACAGAAAGAGTGATTGGAAACTGCTGTTTGAAAAGGAACCTTCAACTCTGTGAGTTGAATGCAATCATCACAAAGAAGTTTCTGACAATGCTTCTGTTTTAGTTCTGTGCGGTTTATCCCGTTTCCAACGAAATCCTCAGAGAGGACCAAACATCCACTTGCAGTTTCTACAAAAAGAGTGTTTCAAAGCTGCACTATCAAAGAAAGATTCAGCACTGTGAGTTGAATGCAAACATCACGAAGAGGGCTCTGAGAATTCTTCTGTTTAGTTCTGTGCGGTTTATCCCGTTTCCAAAGAAATCCTCAGAGAGGACCAAATATCCACTTGCAGTTTCTACAAGAAGAGTGTTTCAAAGCTGAACTATCAAAGAAAGGTTCAGCACTGTGAGTTGAATGCAAACATCACGAAGAGGGTTCTGAGAATGCTTCTGTCTTCTTTCTATAGGAAGTTATTTCCTTTACTACGGTAGGCCTCAAAGAAGTGCAATTATCCCCTTGCAGTTTCTACAAAAAGAGTGTTTCAAACCTGAACTATCAAAGAAAGGTTCCACACTGTGAGTTGAATGCAGACATCACGAAGAAGGTTCTGAGAATGCTTCTGTTTAGTCAGCTGAAATTATCCCGTTTCCAACGAATTCCTCAGAGAGGTCCAAATATGCACTTGCAGATTCTGCAGAAAGTGTGTTTCTAAACTGCTACATCGCAAGGAATGTTCAGCTCTGTGAGTTCCACTCAATCATCCCAAAGAATTTTCTGAGAAAGCTTCTGTCTAGATGTCGTGTGAAGATATACCCGTTTCGAACGAAGGACACAGAGTGGTCCAAATATCCACTTGTAGATCCTGCAAAAAGAGTGTTTCAAACGTGAACTTTGAAAGGAAAGTTCAACTCTGGGATTTGAATGCAAACATCACAAAGAAGATTCTGAGACTGCTTCTGTATAGTTTTTATGTGAAGATGATTCCGTTTCCAACGAAATCTTCAAAGAGGTCTACATGTCCCCTTGCAGATGCCACAGAAAGAGAGTTTCAAAACTGCGCTCTCAAAAGGAGTGTTCAACTCCGTGAGTTGAATGCAGTCATCACAGAGAAGCTTCTGAGAATGCTTCTATCTAGTATTTAGGTGAAGATATTTCCTTTTCCACCACAAACCACAAAGCCCTCCAAACGTCCACTTCCAGATTCTAGAAAAAGAGTGTTTCATAGCTGCTCTTTCCAAAGGAAAGTTCAACTGCTGGGAGTTGAATACAAACATCACCAAAAAGTTCCTGAGAATGCATCTGTCTAGTTTTTCTATGAAGCTATTCCCTTTACTACCATAGGCCTCAAAGCGCTCCAAATCTCCACTTGCACATTCCACAACAAGAGTGTTTCCAAACTGCTCTATCAATAGGAATGTTCAACTCTGTGAGGTGAATGCAATCATCACAAAGCAGTTTCTGAGAATGCTTCCGTTTAGTTAGGTGCAGTTATCCCGTTTCCAACGAAATCCTCAGAGAGGTCCAAATATCCACTTGTAGATTCTACAAAAAGTGTGTCTCAAACCTGCTCCATCCAAAGGAATGTTCAGCTCTGAGATTTAAACTCAATCATCACAAAGTATTTTCTGAGAATGCTTCTGTCTAGATTTTATGCGAAGATATACCAGTTTCGAACGAAGGCCACAGAGTGGTCCAAATAGCCACTTGCAGATCCTACAAAAAGAGTGTTTCAAACCTGAACTATCAAAGGAAGGTTCAACTCTGGGATTTGAATGCAAACATCACCAAGAAGTTTCTGAGAATGCTTCTGTTTAGTTTTTATGTGAAGATATTCCCGTTTCCAAAGACATCTTCGGAGAGGTCCACATATCCACTTGCAGATTCCACAAAAAGAGAGTTTCAACACTGCTCTATCCATAGGAGGGTTCAACTCTGTGAGTTGAATGCAATCATCACAGAGAAGTTTCTGAGAAGGCTTCTCTCCAGTTTTTATGTGACCATAATTCGTTTTCCACCACAGGCCTGAAAGCGCTCCAAATGTCCACTTGCAGACACTACGAAAAGCATGTTTCAGAACTACTCTATGAAAAGCAACGTGAAACTCTGGGAGTTGAACACAAACATCACAGAGAAGTTTCTGAGAATGCTTCTGTTTTAGTTCTGTGCGTTTTATCCCGTTTCCAACGAAATCCTCAGAGAGGCCCAAATATCCACTTGCAGATTCCACAGAAAGAGTGATTGGAAACTGCTGTTTGAAAAGGAACCTTCAACTCTGTGAGTTGAATGCAATCATCACAAAGAAGTTTCTGACAATGCTTCTGTTTTAGTTCTGTGCGGTTTATCCCGTTTCCAACGAAATCCTCAGAGAGGACCAAACATCCACTTGCAGTTTCTACAAAAAGAGTGTTTCAAAGCTGCACTATCAAAGAAAGGTTCAGCACTGTGAGTTGAATGCAAACATCACGAAGAGGGCTCTGAGAATTCTTCTGTTTAGTTCTGTGCGGTTTATCCCGTTTCCAACGAAATCCTCAGAGAGGACCAAATATCCACTTGCAGTTTCTACAAGAAGAGTGTTTCAAAGCTGAACTATCAAAGAAAGGTTCAGCACTGTGAGTTGAATGCAAACATCACGAAGAGGGTTCTGAGAATGCTTCTGTCTTCTTTCTATAGGAAGTTATTTCCTTTACTACGGTAGGCCTCAAAGAAGTGCAATTATCCCCTTGCAGTTTCTACAAAAAGAGTGTTTCAAACCTGAACTATCAAAGAAAGGTTCCACACTGTGAGTTGAATGCAGACATCACGAAGAAGGTTCTGAGAATGCTTCTGTTTAGTCAGCTGAAATTATCCCGTTTCCAACGAATTCCTCAGAGAGGTCCAAATATGCACTTGCAGATTCTGCAGAAAGTGTGTTTCTAAACTGCTACATCGCAAGGAATGTTCAGCTCTGTGAGTTCCACTCAATCATCCCAAAGAATTTTCTGAGAAAGCTTCTGTCTAGATGTCGTGTGAAGATATACCCGTTTCGAACGAAGGACACAGAGTGGTCCAAATATCCACTTGTAGATCCTGCAAAAAGAGTGTTTCAAACGTGAACTTTGAAAGGAAAGTTCAACTCTGGGATTTGAATGCAAACATCACAAAGAAGATTCTGAGACTGCTTCTGTATAGTTTTTATGTGAAGATGATTCCGTTTCCAACGAAATCTTCAAAGAGGTCTACATGTCCCCTTGCAGATGCCACAGAAAGAGAGTTTCAAAACTGCGCTCTCAAAAGGAGTGTTCAACTCCGTGAGTTGAATGCAGTCATCACAGAGAAGCTTCTGAGAATGCTTCTATCTAGTATTTAGGTGAAGATATTTCCTTTTCCACCACAAACCACAAAGCCCTCCAAACGTCCACTTGCAGATTCTAGAAAAAGAGTGTTTCATAGCTGCTCTTTCCAAAGGAAAGTTCAACTCTGGGAGTTGAATACAAACATCACCAAAAAGTTCCTGAGAATGCATCTGTCTAGTTTTTCTATGAAGCTATTCCCTTTACTACCACAGGCCTCAAAGCGCTCCAAATCTCCACTTGCACATTCCACAACAAGAGTGTTTCCAAACTGCTCTATCAATAGGAATGTTCAACTCTGTGAGGTGAATGCAATCATCACAAAGCAGTTTCTGAGAATGCTTCCGTTTAGTTAGGTGCAGTTATCCCGTTTCCAACGAAATCCTCAGAGAGGTCCAAATATCCACTTGTAGATTCTACAAAAAGTGTGTCTCAAACCTGCTCCATCCAAAGGAATGGTCAGCTCTGTGATTTAAACTCAATCATCACAAAGTATTTTCTGAGAATGCTTCTGTCTAGATTTTATGCGAAGATATACCCGTTTCGAACGAAGGCCACAGAGTGGTCCAAATAGCCACTTGCAGATCCTACAGAAAGAGTGTTTCAAACCTGAACTATCAAAGGAAGGTTCAACTCTGGGATTTGAATGCAAACATCACCAAGAAGTTTCTGAGAATGCTTCTGTTTAGTTTTTATGTGAAGATATTCCCGTTTCCAAAGACATCTTCGGAGAGGTCCACATATCCACTTGCAGATTCCACAAAAAGAGAGTTTCAACACTGCTCTATCCATAGGAGGGTTCAACTCTGTGAGTTGAATGCAATCATCACAGAGAAGTTTCTGAGAAGGCTTCTCTCCAGTTTTTATGTGACCATAATTCGTTTTCCACCACAGGCCTGAAAGCGCTCCAAATGTCCACTTGCAGACACTACGAAAAGCATGTTTCAGAACTACTCTATGAAAAGCAACGTGAAACTCTGGGAGTTGAACACAAACATCACAGAGAAGTTTCTGAGAATGCTTCTGTTTTAGTTCTGTGCGTTTTATCCCGTTTCCAACGAAATCCTCAGAGAGGCCCAAATATCCACTTGCAGATTCCACAGAAAGAGTGATTGGAAACTGCTGTTTGAAAAGGAACCTTCAACTCTGTGAGTTGAATGCAATCATCACAAAGAAGTTTCTGACAATGCTTCTGTTTTAGTTCTGTGCGGTTTATCCCGTTTCCAACGAAATCCTCAGAGAGGACCAAACATCCACTTGCAGTTTCTACAAAAAGAGTGTTTCAAAGCTGCACTATCAAAGAAAGGTTCAGCACTGTGAGTTGAATGCAAACATCACGAAGAGGGCTCTGAGAATTCTTCTGTTTAGTTCTGTGCGGTTTATCCCGTTTCCAACGAAATGCTCAGAGAGGACCAAATATCCACTTGCAGTTTCTACAAGAAGAGTGTTTCAAAGCTGAACTATCAAAGAAAGGTTCAGCACTGTGAGTTGAATGCAAACATCACGAAGAGGGTTCTGAGAATGCTTCTGTCTTCTTTCTATAGGAAGTTATTTCCTTTACTACGGTAGGCCTCAAAGAAGTGCAATTATCCCCTTGCAGTTTCTACAAAAAGAGTGTTTCAAACCTGAACTATCAAAGAAAGGTTCCACACTGTGAGTTGAATGCAGACATCACGAAGAAGGTTCTGAGAATGCTTCTGTTTAGTCAGCTGAAATTATCCCGTTTCCAACGAATTCCTCAGAGAGGTCCAAATATGCACTTGCAGATTCTGCAGAAAGTGTGTTTCTAAACTGCTACATCGCAAGGAATGTTCAGCTCTGTGAGTTCCACTCAATCATCCCAAAGAATTTTCTGAGAAAGCTTCTGTCTAGATGTCGTGTGAAGATATACCCGTTTCGAACGAAGGACACAGAGTGGTCCAAATATCCACTTGTAGATCCTGCAAAAAGAGTGTTTCAAACGTGAACTTTGAAAGGAAAGTTCAACTCTGGGATTTGAATGCAAACATCACAAAGAAGATTCTGAGACTGCTTCTGTATAGTTTTTATGTGAAGATGATTCCGTTTCCAACGAAATCTTCAAAGAGGTCTACATGTCCCCTTGCAGATGCCACAGAAAGAGAGTTTCAAAACTGCGCTCTCAAAAGGAGTGTTCAACTCCGTGAGTTGAATGCAGTCATCACAGAGAAGCTTCTGAGAATGCTTCTATCTAGTATTTAGGTGAAGATATTTCCTTTTCCACCACAAACCACAAAGCCCTCCAAACGTCCACTTGCAGATTCTAGAAAAAGAGTGTTTCATAGCTGCTCTTTCCAAAGGAAAGTTCAACTCTGGGAGTTGAATACAAACATCACCAAAAAGTTCCTGAGAATGCATCTGTCTAGTTTTTCTATGAAGCTATTCCCTTTACTACCATAGGCCTCAAAGCGCTCCAAATCTCCACTTGCACATTCCACAACAAGAGTGTTTCCAAACTGCTCTATCAATAGGAATGTTCAAC